>NC_000017.11:82523287-82885364 GCF_000001405.40 Homo sapiens | reverse complement strand
ACATTTTGAGCTAGAAAGACTTCAGGGTATCATCTGAGCTCCTGCATTTGAGAGAGAGAGAGAACCAACACTGCACCTGCACGGCCCCACTCACCAGGGGCCACACACTGCAGGGCTGACAGGAAACCATCACCGGTCCCAGCACCCCTTCCGCCTGGTCCCACTCACCAGGGGCCACACACTGCAGGGCTGACAGGAAACCCTCACCAGTCCCAGCACCCCTTCCACCTGGTCCACTGGCCCCCAAGTCTGACAGTATCAGGGAGTGTGAACGGCTCCCTCAACAGGTTCCCACTAAGCCAGCTATGCTGAGCCTGCACACAGAGTTCCAGCAGCTCGAGCCCATGAGGAACTGTGGGGCCCACCCCATCACCAAAAGCCAACCTCACCCCTCCATCTTTCTCAAAGGGCTGCCTCTCTGTTCTTACCCTCTTAAAACGTGTTCAGCGTCTTATCTGTATCTGAAATAAAGACTCTTATCTTGAGACTGGTCCACCGTCTCAACTGTCCGCTCTCTGTGGTCCCAAGAGACACAGGCCTCACTCCAGCCCAGCTCTGAGCCAAATGAAGTAGTCTGCTCAGCGCAGCAGCAGTTGCTACAGCTCCTCACACCCAGAATTCACCCCAAACGTCACAGGGCTCTCTCTAGAGGAAACCAGCCATCTGTGTTCAAGACGCACCCGGTCCTGCAGGCAGCTCCCACATCCAGCAAGGCCCAGGCGAGTGTGGCGGGTGAAGCAGAGCTGACCACTGCTCGCAACAGCCCCTCCCGAGGCTCAAAGCCACCCGGTGAGTGACCCGTCCCGCCGCCACATTCTGGCCACCCTCGCAGAACCCACTCTCTTCTGCGTCTTCAGCGTGCAGCTGCCTGCACCAAGACCTGTCATCGGGCACCTCCCACTCGCCTCCATCACCCATCAACCCCCAGCAGTGATGGCTGCAGCTCTGGGGATGCTTAACCCTGACCGCCCTTCACACGCTGAAGACGCCCAGAGACAGTAAGAACCAGTGGCCTGCCCGCAGCTGGCACTCTCAGCAGCTCCCTCGCGGCTCCTGCTGTGGATGGGTGAGCTGGCCAGGCAGCAGTGCACAGAGGAGCATCAGGGAGACCAGGCCCACCCCCCACCTTCAGGAAAGGAAATATCAAAATGAGAAAACTTACAGAGGCTGCTCTTCTGCAGTTTATGTCTCGGTCAAACACCGCAGCAATCACCAGTGCACTGTGAAAAAGAGAAAGGATTAATTAAAAAGAAATTCTGCAAAACAGTACAGACCACACAGTATCGATGAGAAAGCCTTTCTCTCACGACTCAGGCCCACTTGAGGTTCAGACATGCCCCACAGGCAACACACAGCTTGAGGCACCCAGGGACTGCAGACAGACACATGTGACCCCCAAGACACCAGACGCCATGTGGGAGCTGGGGGTGGCCGACCCTGGTTCTAACGAGAGCCACGAGACGGTGCACACCGAGGGCACAGGATCAAAGAGCCACGAGGACAGGGCCTGGGGGCAGAACGCACCTGGCCTGCTGTGGTGGGGCGGCGCAGGAGGTGGGGAGGTCCAGTGAATGAAAAGACAGAAACGGAGTGCCCTGGAGGACGAGAACTGGCAGCGTTTGGACAGGGGGGCAAACCAAGGTGGCCGACACAAATGCCCCGGGGCAGGGGCTGTCCAGGTCCTGCAGACCACGCCATGCACAGAGCCTAACCCTGCAGAAACACATGAACACCCACCGTGCCCAGAGGGACCTGAGGCCCTGAAGACAAGGCGTCTGGCAGAGGCCCCTTCCACAGAGTGGCAGGAAAACCACCGCACCACACACAGACGCCAAGGCGCTGCCCCCATGCGAGCCACACTCAGAGCAAGGCCTCTCCCGGCCCCCACCAGGCTCCTTGGGCTTCATTATGTCCTCTTGTGAGATCACCCAGCTCAGTTACTGTGAATAACCCAGAACGCTCTCATCAGGCGTTGCACAGAACACAGGGGGTTTGGGGCAGGGTGGAGGACAATCATCCTTTCTAAGGAAGGCTTGAGAGATTGCGCCTCCTACCAGCCTAAAGGGAAAAGGTGGAAAACAGAATTTCAGACACGCGGAGATAAGCGGCCTCCAAGGCCGCCAGCGCCTCCGAGGTTCCTGGTTTCCAGGTCTTCCAGGGGCCAAGTGCTCTGCCTTGTTCCAGGGAAGTTGACAGACCTGAGCCGTGGGGCGGGGCCCGCGTCAACATGAAGGACGCCGGGGACATGCACGGGGGACAATGGTGACGCCAGGTGTGCGTCCTCTCACCAGCTCTGCTGTTAAGCTAAATGTGAAAGATACATCCAGCTAAGGAAAAGTGAGCAGGTCCCACTGCAGAGAGAGCAAGCTCCGCTCCAGCCCGGTAGGGCGGGCACCGTCACCCGCTCCAGCCTGGCAGCGCAGGCACCGTCACCCGCTCCAGCCTGGCAGCGCGGACACCGTCAGCACCACATCCTGACTTCCGGGGCGTGTGTGTGAGGCGCCGGCCCTGCCAGCCACAATGCACATGACATCCCGTCTGTTCTCCTGTGTCTCGCACTGTCTGTCGCCCCAGACCCAGACCCAGACCCACTGGCCTTGCTCTCCGGTTTCACAGCATCCCGCCTGTTCTCCTGTGTCTCACGCTGTCTGTTGCCCCAGACCCAGGCCCACTTGTTCTCCAGATTCACAGCATCTCGAGCCTGTTTTCCTGCATCTCGCACTGTCTGTCACCCCAGACCCACTGGCCTTGCTCTCCAGGTTCACAGCACACCTCTCAGGCAAGGGGCTCACGTATCCTCATGTTCTCTGCGCTCCTCTCTCCTCGGCCCCATGAGTCCCCAGGGCATGGGCTCGGGGATGCTGAGCTAGGAGACCTACAAACTACAGCCACAGAACTGAAACTCGGGGGCATTTATCAGAGAGAGCACTTGTCCCCCAGCCTCCAGTGCTGGGCACAGGTGCCCGCTCCAGGCCCTGGAGATGGCCCAGAACACGCCACAGGGCCACAGTCTCCTCCAGCATGTCCAACGTCAGGGGCTGGGGGGGAATGGGCTTGACAGCGGGGTGCTGGGCACAGACTGAAGGAGGCAGGAGAAACAGGTGGGAAGGTCCCATGGGTGCGAGTGGGTCTGAGTGAGCAGCCCACAGAGGTGAGCCCACAGCAAACAAGGAGGAGCAGGACAGCTGGCCCCAGGGCCGGTTGAGAAAGTCCTCCCTGCGGCTGGACTCTGCACTTCCTCGGAGAAGCTGGGGCATGTGACTCGGGCCTTGTGACCAAGTGCTCTGCTGATGGGGATTTGGGACGCCCAACCATCCAGGAGCCCCAGGAGAGGCCAAAGGTTGGGTGGGGCAGCAGCCAGATGGCCAAGAGGGCCTGGGTTCTGGGGAAATGCCTGCAAGTCTCACAGGCTCTGCCTAGGAGGGAGGGAGGGAGGAAGGGAGGAGGGGAGAGGGGGGAGAGACAGAGAGAGAGAGAAAGGACCCCTAGAGTGTGGTCACTGAGAACCACAATAAAAACAGAAATTCATAGATGGAAAGGGTAGGAAGTTAAACTAACAATATAGCATAAACATAGGAAGCATCTTTTGAAATAAGAATGGCAAATGAAATTAAATAAAACAGAAACAACATAATACAAACCACCAGGTGCATTTTCCACCCCAATCAAGCTCAGACGTGCCGAGGCCCAGAGCGGGCTCCACAACGACATCAACGCAGCCCAAAACACGGCCACCAACCATGGGCAAAGCCAGGAGGGCACGTAGGCACGGGGTACCCCAAGGCTCAAGCAGAGGGGCCCCTCCAGCCCCAGCAGCAGGCAGCAGGCCCGTATCGGCTGGGAGCGAGAAGCTTCCATCCAGAGCGGGTGCGGGGCTGTCAGGAGTGGCCTGGCAGCTCTCCCCGCTGGCTGCTCCAGCATCAGCACAGCCCAGACCCACGTTCCGGGACCTCCCCAGGATGCTGCAGAAGCTCTGCACCCCTCATCGGCGGCAAGCGGCCTGACCGAATGAGCTACCGTTTACTTGGTTTAATTACTAACAACCACGGATCACCAGTGGATAAAGCGTTTATCTCACATTTTAGAGAAATGTTTGCTTATTGCAGGGACAATCTGTGGTCTCAGCGTGGAAAGGCCCTCTTCTACCACAGGGCCGCTTCTCAGCTCACCACCGGGCCGAGAGAGACCCCAGCGTCCAGGCCACAGCAGCAAGCCCAGGTGGTTGCAGTGTCCAGCCAGCCTTGCAAACAGACGCCAGGAACCAGAGCCAGAAAAAAAACAGAAGGATGGAGCCCAAGGGGAATAGGGTGGGAGGCTTCTGAGGGCTGGGGGAGGCCCTTCCCAAAAGCACTGGCCTCCCTGCCCTGAGGCCCTGCCCTGTGTGGCCACAGCCACAAACAGAGCCCAGAGCTATGGGAGTACACGGCCTCCTTCCCCGAGTTCCGCCTGGAGCCATCCAAAGTCTACCCCTCGGCCACTTGCTCACTCACACTGCAAGGATGGCCACAAACCACCACGCTCTGCACCCTGGGGAGACGGCAACAACAAAGTCCCTCACGTACGGGCCACTGCTATGCTCCGACAGACCCTGCGTCCTCCCCGCCCAGCCCCTCCTGCTCCTGTGGACAGACGGACGGACAGACAGGTGTCACTGTGTGGGGAGCCTGCGGTAGGGACCCTGCAGTTCCTGCTGATACCTCCGGGCCCAGCACCTCCCAACACCACGGAGGCCCACCCGCTACCTGCCCTGAGGGCCTGGATGCCTCCTCCTGCCAGATCCTTGGGGCATCCAGCAGCACACCCAGGTCTTTCAGTTCCTCCACGTAAACAACAACAAAGTCATAAGCCCAACTACCCTGGTCACAGCATATCTGTCCCCACCCTTGTCTTCAGCAGAATAATACCCACTCCCAAAGATAAGGGTGTCCCACTTCAAACATGTTCCTTTACCTGACAAAGGGGAATTAAGGTTGGCAATCAGTTGACCCTAAGATGGGGAGAGGGCCCTGGATTACTCCTGCAGCCCAGCGGGTGCCGAACACAGTGGTACACACCAGCGGCCCTGGCTACACCTGTGCTCCATCTGTCTGTGGGAGGCAGAGGCAGGAGGATCCCTTGAGCCCAGGAATTTGAGTACAGTCTGGGCAACACAGCGAGACCCCATCTAGACAGACTGATAAGTAGACAGGTAAGGAGATAAATACATACAGGAAGGAAGAAGGAAGGACAGACACAGGAGGCAGAAGAAAGGACCACAGGCATAGGGTACGTGAAGGATGAAGCGAGACGTGGACGTGGCTGGCTGTGAAGGTAGATGAAGAGCCCATGAGCAAAGGAATGCGGGCAACTCAAGCAGGGAAGCAGAGTCTTCCCTTGAGCCCCCCTGAGCCTCCAGAAAGGACTGGAGACACCCAAGGAGACAGGTAGGCCTGTGACCGCCAGGTCCGTCCAACAATACACCACTCCAAAAAAAAAAAGGAAAGATCACTGGGATGAGTCTTAAGGGCACTGTGCCAAGTCAACGAAGCCAGAATGAAAAGCCTACTGATTATTTCCGTTTATAAGACACTCCAGAAATGGTAAACTATCAGGACCAAAATCAGACCAATGTTGGCCCAGGGTTGGGGAGCAGACTGGGGAGTTTTTGGGGGAGACGGACTGTCCTGTTTGGTGCTTGAGTTGTAGAACACAACCACATGCAGATTGAAGAAGCAACAATCACAGACCTGGGGAGCCCAGCACAGAGGGAAGCGGCAGACGTGTCTGCATCCCGGACCAGCACAGAGGGAACCGGCAGACTTGTCTGCATCCCAGACCAGCAGCACCAGAAGGGCTCACCCGAGCGATGGCCTGGCAACGCTATGCCCAGGGTGAGGAGGATGCACAGAGCGTCCCACCCTGAGTGGTGAGTCTGTTGCTCACACAGGTGTGGGCTGGCAGCTCCAAAATCACGTCAGATGCATGACGGCAGACGCACGGCAGCAGAGCGTGCTACACAGTAGGCCCAGAAGCGGCACACGAAGGGAGGCCAGGAGGAAGCTGGGCTAGAGCTGGTGTCTGTGCAAACATGGACTGTGAAGAGGGGCACACACTCAGCTACAGAGGGAGGGGACCTAGAGGCAGCTGAGGCCAAGCCCGGCGTCCTGGATTCCAAATACTGTTCTCCACCGAGAGGATGTGAGACTCCTGGGAAGTGGTGGATGCTAGGGCTGGGGCAGGGGCAAAAAGATAAGCCAGGTGCATCTTGTGGTGCCAGAAGGAAAGAAAAAAGGCTCAGGAAAAAAGAAAAAAAAAAAAAAAAAAAAGAACAGGATCTTGCTGAAAGGACACAGAAGCCAACCTGAAGTGGCCAAAGCTGGAGCAATTTGAGCAACATTAATAACAATAGTTAGTGTTAGATTATAACTCAAACAAAACTAGTAACAATAGTGTTAGATGATAACCCCCAAACAGGATGAGCACCCATGAGTCCACACTGGCAGGAGCGAATGATGAAATAAAGCTGGGAGAGGAACGAGCCTTCCTTAAGAACAAGCTGCAATCACTGAACGTCGGGGTGGGGACACAGGAACCACCACCAGACCACACAACAAGGTCTTTGGACAGAGCTCGGATGGGGTGAAAACCAAAGGAGAAACAGCAGGATGTTGCATAACCTTCGAGTACCCCACAAGAACACTGCTAGTTACAGAGGAAAACACAGTCTCCTCAAGTGGAGGCACCTGGCAGGCCCCATCTTGACCAGGGATCAAGGTCCAGACCACGCAGGACCCGTTGTGGGGCACTATATGGGCCCAACAGCACACGGAGGAGGGCAGGTCACCTCACATCACTCTTTCCAGTAACACACGAGAAAGCATCAGAGAGAGGGGCGTCCTACAGAACATCTGGCCAGTCGTCTCTGGAGGTCTCAGGGTCAAATCCACAGGGGCGGAAAGCAGGCTGGCAGTGCCAGGCTTGGAGCGGGTGACGGGACCTGGTGCACATGGCTTCTGTCTGGGGTGAGGTCTCCTCAAGTCTGAGAATACACTAAAAACCACTGAACTGTGGACCCTAAAGGGGTGAATTTTATGGCAAGTGAATTCATCTCAATAAAACCTATTTTTTAAGTGCCCCAAGATCAAGAAAGATAAAGACTGAGGAGCTCACAGAGCAGAGGAGGCTGAGGGCACAGGACCACCAGATGCCATGCGGGGTCCCGGGCAGACCAGCCTGTTAGTGGCCTTTATCCCACACTGCACTTCCTGGCTTCCAAATGTGAGATGTTCACATCGGAGAATGCTGTGGAGGGTCTAGAAGAACTCCACTGGTTTTGCAATTCTTCTTTAAGTCTAAAATGAGTTCAGAATTAAAAGCTATTTTGGAAAGCAACTAATTATCTAAAGATCTTAAAAGACCCAGGATTAGTATCTGGGAAACTTTCTGTTAACACTGCTTTCACTACTTGAAACTGAAAATTTTGACTTTAATTTCAGAAAAACTCTATGAACAGAAAAGCACTCCATTTTCCTCTCTATACTCTTTATAACAAACTATAGCCTAAATAAGAAGAGAAAAATACTGGTTTAAAATTAAAGGGAACTCACGTTACATTAGCACGAACGTTTTAAGATCAATCCTATTTCAATACATCATAATGGCTTTTGTTAATGATATCTTAGAAATCATTAAACTGATCAAGACATATGAATGTGATCTTCTAATAACTAAAAGTTATATAACTACAGCCGGGCGCAGTGGCTCACGCCTGTAATCCCAGCACTTTGGGAGGCCAAGGTGGGTGGATCACGAGATCAGGAGTTCGAGAACAGCCTGGCCAACACAGTGAAACCCTGTCTCTACTAAAAATACAAAAAACTTAATCGGGGGTGGTGATGCGCACCTGTAATCCCAGCTACTAGGCAGGCAGAAGAATTGCTTGAACCCAGGAGGCGGAGATTGCAGTGAGCCAAGATCGCACCACTGCACTCCAGCCTGGGCGACAGAGGAAGACTCCGTCTCAAGAAAAAAAAAAAGTTATATAACTGCTATTTTTAACAACAAATGGCAGTTTATTCTAAATCTTTTCAGAATGCATAGAAATGTGTGTCATATTTACCATATGAACAAGAGTTTCATTTTTTGAAACCTGTAAAGCCACGTGTTCTAGGGAAAAATATGAATCAAGAATTTCTGGTTTCCTTTAACATTTGCCACAAGAGGAACACAGGCTTCTATCTTTATTGCCGCCGGCTCCAGCCAATACTACTGAAAGGTCACATGTTACACTGAATTCTTGAAATGTGTTATTTGTTTAAATTACTATATTTAAAGTGTGGAACATTGATTAATGAAGAAAGAATGGAAAAAAGAGAAGAAACTTAAAATCATCTACCATCCTCACCAAGTCTAACCCTCTAAGGTTACTGTTGTTCAGTCCACTTCAACAGCTCCGCTCAGGCAGTCAGACCGGCTGACAGCAGGAGACGCAGGCACTCCCGGCTCCCTCTCCCGGCAGTACTCAGCAATTTGGACACAGACCACAGGGCTGCAGCAGGCAAAGCTGGCCTCACTTCAGCCTGGCCCACTTCAACGAAGCTGGCTCCTGCCATGAGAAGTCAAAATGGTTGCTGTTGCGTGTATATTTTACTGAACCTCACAGAAAATACAGCAACGCCTGAGAAACGCTGTTTTTAACTAAACACAGACTCCCAAGTTAATTCGACCAATCAACTATATATGGACTTACAACAAATTTAACACTGTCCTGATTTGGACATTTATTAAAACGGCTCTATTTTCTCATTCTCAGAACAAAACTGGCTCATCGAGAAATAAATACAAACAGGTTTAATGATGCTAGTTAAATATAAATATAAAAGCTCCTTCCTAAAGGACTACTCCAACAGGACACCCAACGTCCCACGTGGGCCTCTCAGTTTCCCTTCGCAGGAACACCCTGAGTGAGTCACCACGTTCATCTACCATCCCCGGGAACCTGGAGAGAGACACTGCGAGGCCGCGAGAAGGGCCGGCCTGTCTGCGCTGAAACGTGCCCTAGGTGTCCTCGCCCGTTTGCTTTCGCTGGAGAAGTTTATGTGATACTTCACCAGGATTTCCCAACACAGAGAAATGGTCTGTGTCAAACAGAAAGGGATTCTCTTTCCTGTCCGAGTCAAGGGGAAGTGCACGCCTCGACTTGTCCCAAGCTCCAGGCACCTCATTTTCGGCAGGTACAGCAAAGTGCAGACCTCACCCCAGCTCAAGTTTTCTTATTTATATAATATTTTATAGCAATAAAAAGCCAAATACACTGTTTTTACCTTAAGAAACAATAATTCTGTGTCATTTGAAAGTCAGACATTTAAAAAATATCAGACTAGTAATTTGTTATTTAGCCATCCTGTTTTTTGAAAGTTGCAAATCATATCGGACCTGCCTATGGCTGAATTTTCCTAACCCCCAAGAACCAAAGCTCACACTAATCAACACAGTGGTAAAACACGAGAATTTTTTAAGTGCTTTCGAGTCACACCTGAGCTGACGTGGAGGCAGGATTTGCCGGGTTTCACAGGGTTAGGACTCTGCTCGGTAATGGCCACTTAACTTTTCTTGAAAAACACGTGTTGTCTTCCCCTGGAAGCTGTGCCACTGAGCAACACCGGTGAGGGAGAACAAGACGTAGCTCTGAGCAATGCCTGCCATTTCCTGATTTTCCAGGACAATCCTGCCCCCGAGGAAGAGATCTCGGATCTGCAGGCCTCGGCGGATCCTCCCTGGGCCGCGCCGCTCAGCAGGTTTGCTCGAGGTGGAGGCCGAAAGTCAGAGGCTGCCCCCTGGCAGGGGAGGGCCCCGTGGCTGCCTGGGCGGAGCTGATGTCAACATGAGCTGCTTACAAAAGAGTTTCAGGTGAGGAAATCACTGGACACACAATGGCAGCAGCAGCAGCGTAGGGCTCGGCTTTCTTTTCCTTCTTGCAAATTAGACTGTGATTACTGGTTAGGAGGGATTTTGCAGATAACACATAACCACTCTGTCCCACTTTAACTTCGCACTGTCACTGCCCCTAAATTGCACTTGGCTTCTCAGGGAAATCCATTCACTACTCCAACAATTATCCCACCTCTTAAGCTACCCGTGTGCGACACTGAGGAAATCAGGTTTTCAAAACCAATGCTACCTTCAACACATGGTAAAAGTTACCTACGAAGCTCCTTCTGGTATTTATAAAACAGGAACAGTATAAATTCACACCATGAGGCAAAAGAACAGTTAATCCAAGTTTCTTTAGCAAAAAGCTAGGAACCAATTAGAAAAAGTGAGCCACTAAACCCCCGAACTGACTCTCAGAAGAGCCAGGCACCTGAAGAGTGAGGAGCGGCTGCTGCCACCGCCCAGCTCGATCAGGCATTTCCATTTCCCTGCGAAAATTCCACTCTGATGCTCTGATCCCAAGCACCCACTGTTACAGGACCCACCGAAGAACTTGTGAAAGTTAGAGAAATCAAGATTGTATCACGTTCCCAAATTGACGGGCATAAAAGCTGGTAATTAAAATGTGGTCACCTATGACAAACCAAGGGAGGGAGATCTGGAAGGGCACACCCCAACCGATACCCGGGTGCGCAGGGCTCCTGGGCAGGGAGGCTCGCACCAGCAGCATCCCACACGCTCACCTGGTGCAGCCTGACTCACAGCCCGCCCGGCCGGATGCCTGGAGTCTGCGTGGGCCAAGGAGGGATGGGGCCCAGGTTCTCTAAGAACCCGTTGGACAAGCCTGACACCCAGGCCGGCGGGCACGGCTCCAAGGGCACCCTTGGGTCTGCGGCCGGGATGGCACAGGTAAAGGGGCGAGGGGCACAACGCCAGCTCCAGGCTGAGGCGTCAGAAGCCTGTGAGCTGCGAGCCCTGAGGCCCCAGCAGCTGCTGGCTCGGTGTGCGCAAGGGAACCCGGGAGCCATGGTGGAGACGCACCCAGGACCTCCAAAAACCAAAGCCCCACGAGATCAAAGCCAAGTGGGACCCAGGCCAACGCTGGCCCCGCCACATGCCGGGGAGGCCCTGGCTGTGCAGTCCAGGCTACTCCAGAAACTCACATCCTTCTTCAAGCCTGCAGCCCACAGTGCGTCCTACAGTCCTTCAGGCCTGAGAAACTCAGGAGTCCCAGGACCCCCTTGCACGCCCACCCAACATGCCCCAGACAGAAGTCACACTCACCCCAACCCCACCTCCCACCGTGGGACCCACACACACACAACCCCCAGGGAGCACCCCACAGCATGATGGGCTCAACCCCACACCCAGCTGGGCAGACCACGACCATGCCCGTGCCGGTCCACACGTGGCAGCTGCTCCAAAAGAGGAGCCCCAGTCAGGACCCTCACGGGGCCAACAGGAGGCTGTGCAGGGGCGGCTCAAGGGGCTTCAAAGTGAGAAAGATGACCCTGGAGCAAGAGGGTCCCCTGTGGAAACTGCACAAAAGAACAGGAGTCCAGCCCTGAAGGTTCATGCCTGAGAATGTGCGAACAGATCACTGAGTGGCCCCAGCCTCTGTGAATCAGGCCTAAGAATAAGCGAGCAGGCCACCGAGCGGCGCCAACCTCCATGAAGCACGGGGCCCGCCTGCACCAGGACCTACCGACCGGCCGGCCCCCAGCCCTCCACACCCAGACCAAGGCCAGGCTCCCCGCGCATCGGCAGGTTTTTATAGGTATTTTACTCTGGAACGATGACATCTAACGTTGCCAAAGGCAGAAGTTATGTATCTGCCTGTCCAGGACCTTAGGTAAGAACTTTCTTGCTCGTGACTTTTCTCTCCGGCCCCAGCTGAGCTGCCAGCCCCGTCCAGTAGCGGGGACTTGATTTGTTCGGACAGTTGCACCTGCATTTCTCCAAAGTCGGCACCTGATCTGGAGACTCTCATTACAGTCACCCTCCAGTGGGATCAGCTTTCCCCCAAAACAGAGAACCCATGAGTGATGGCCCATACACGACCCTGGGTTCCGTGCCCACCTAGACACCCTCCCAGGTGAGTGGAGGTTTCGTCTCACCCCCATGTCCTGTGCCAGCCCTCAACCCTGGCCCGACTCCTCCTGTGACACTGGACCAGGGAGTCCTCCCCAGGATGAAGGGCAGGCCCAGGTTTCAGTGATGTTGACAGCTCTTAGACAAAATATGAGGCTGAAAAGGAAATCCGTGAGGATTTTCACCATGAAAGGGGAACCACCATCTGAGGGGCCAGATGCAGCTGCAGCCGTCACACGTCTGCATTCAGGGTCTTTCCACGGCCTCACAGCAGGTGGTGAGGAGCTTCTCAGCCACGAGGCAGCGCTGAGCCCCGGGCCAGGGCCTGGGAGCTGCTGCCCAGACGGGCCTGGCTCAGAAGCCGTCGGCCACGAGGTGCCGGGCCTGGCTCAGAAGCCGTCGGCCACGAGGTGCCGGGCCTGGCTCAGAAGCCGTCGGCCACGAGGTGCCGGGCCTGGCTCAGAAGCCGTCGGCCACCAGGTGATGGGCCTGGCTCAGAAGCCTTCGGCCACCAGGTGATGGGCCTGGCTGGGAAGCCGTCAGCACAAGGTGCTGGACAGGTGTCTTCAGTGCTGTCCTGACTTCCTCAGTGAAACCAGAATGACGGTGGCCCCTGCCCACCTCTCAGGGTTGCTAAGGAAACTGAATGAGATATCAACGTAAGGAAGTTTTCTCGTTCTGTGACTATTCCTATCAACAATAAGAAAGATACATTTTTTTGCTTTCACTTCCTAGTTACAGGATCAACTTCCTAGAAGTGCAGGAGCAGCACAAGGAAGTAACAGGAAGAGCCTTTCCTGAGGCTGATCACACACAAGAGCTCCCGCACACAGACAGCAGCGCTGCAGGCTGGCACAGGCACGCGGCAGGGCCTCAGGAGCTCGGCAGGGGCCTAAAGCCGGACCTCTCCGTCTTCTCTGCTCCACTCTGCAAGGCACTGCTCCCTGAAGACCACCAGCAGCCAAGCCCCTGCCCAGCAGCGCTGCCAGAGTGGCCACTGGGGAGAGCAGCAGACAGAGGCCACAGCCGCTCTCAGCCACCCCAGACCTCCCTGGCCTCAGGTAAGCCACACTCTCCATAACACGTTGGCCAGCACCAGCACCCTCCAGCCGCGCTGTTCTCCTCCGAAGAGGAGCAGGACAAGAGGGACGTGCGTGTTCACAGCTGCCTCGGGAAACACACGGTCTCCCTGGATAGGAGGAGGACCCTCGGCTCCTCTCAGGCTTCGCTCTGATGCAAGAATCTAGACTATGAGACGCTGGCCACGTGCTGCACACCCAGGGAAGTAACCGGGTTGAGGTCCCTCTCCGGACGCTACTGAGTATTTGGTAAGATGGAACAGCAGTGGGCAGGAACAAGAGAAAAGCGCCTGTCACCGAGACCCTTCGGAGCCTACACCAGCGTGTGCCTCACAACGAGCTGCTTACCAGCGTGTGCCTCACAACGAGCTGCTTGTCGGACACAGGCAGTGGCGCTTACACCCGGGTGCGTGAGGGAACCCAGGAGCCACAGTGGAGGCGCACCCAGGACGTCCAAAAGACGAAGCCCCACGAGATCAAAGCCAAGCGGGCCCCAGGCCAACGCTGGCCCCGCCACATGCCGGGGAGGCCCTGCTGGTGCTCGCGGGGCGTGCGGGGCAGAGGGGACCCAGCACAGTAGCCTGAGCCTGCCACCAGGGGCATCTGCCACCGGCGCCCCGCCCCGCCCAGACCAAAAGGAGCAGTGCACTTCCAGGTGGAAGCTTCAGACGCTGCATCCCATGACCCCTTCAGGCGTCTTGTAGTGAGCAGGGGACGCTCGGCTCCTGAACAGCTGCAGGAGGAGCTTCTAAGACTTGGGCATAATTCTGAAGTCAGTTTCCCTAGTTCATTTTCCTAGTAAAAGTTGTCAGGTGAAGTGCGGGTGTGAAACCTTGTGATGATTCAGCCGTGGGCTCACACACCCATGACGGACAGTGACACTGAGTCGCCTTCCTCGGTGTCCCGCCTCCAGCTCCTTCATGCACAACAAGAAAGGAAGCACCTGCCTTCTTCAGCACAAAAGAACTCATTTCAGTCCAAAAGCAGTGTACAAAACCAGCGCACACGGTTGAATTGAATTGAATCGTTTCCTGCGCTGGGGACACATGTTTTGCATGTTTCCTAAGCAAAAAGTATCAGATCCTGAAAGTCCCTGGCACAGGACACCACTACGGGGCTCAGCTGGGTGCGCGCACTGGACACCGAGGCAGGAGCCCCGCCCGCCACAGGCCGCACAGCTTCTGGGGTTCTGGTGATCCCATGAAACCTGCTGGCTTCAGTTTTCTCATCAGGAAGCCAGAGGGAAAAAGTGTCTCCCTACCTCCCAGAGGTTCTGAAGTGTTCACTTACATCTCAGAGGAGCTGACATCAGGCATGCCAGCGAAGGCTATTGCTACTGAACATTCTCTCAAGTGCTGGTCCACAAAAACACAAAATCCAGCTCCTCAACAAAAACAAACACCATCTGAAGACTGCCATGTCCAACATGCCTGCTGTATTCCAGAGGAACTTGAAAGGAGATAGAGACAGAATTCGCCTCTCGCCAAGACCCACGACCGCAGGGAGCACGCACAGGCGATTCCCGTGCCCCACTTGCTTCCTCCCACGCCACCCAGCGTGCCGATCACCTGCGCCCAAGAATCTGCTGCCTGCAGGGTGACCAAGACCTCCGGAATGTTCCTCCACACACTTCTGCTCTGGTTGTCGATCACCTGCGCCCAAGAATCCACTGCCTGCAGGGTGGCCAAGACCTCCAGAATGTTCCTCCACACACTTCTGCTCTGGTTGCTCACCCACAGAAAAGGAGCTTGACCTCCAAGCGGTGGCTTTGTCACAGATCCTCTGGCCAAGTAATTTCACCTTTTCACGAGCATCTGCTGTGCACACCTCTCATGGAGGAAACGACACACGGCGCCGTCAGGGGGCACGGCGCATCCGATGTACCTCGACGAATGGGCCTACCTCGAGATTGCAGTCACAAAGGGCTTCAGCTCCTGAGGCTCATAGGCACGCGCGAAGGCCCAGCACACGTAGCAGGCGGCGTCCCTGACGTTGGTGCCCACGCTGCAGGCACCCCGCTTCTCGTCGTAGGTCAGCGCCTTCAGGATCACGGCGACAACTGGGCAAGGACAAGAGAAAAGACGGTGAGGAGCAGACCACACGGGCAACACGTGAGGCTTCAGAGAAGTGGGGCTCAGGGCCGGAGCGCGGTCACGGTGCCAGATGAGTGAGGCACGCAAGCGACACGGAGCCCACCCAGAGGTTCGGGGCTCCTGTTAGACCCACGGCCTGGTCAGAAAACAAACCTACGAAAGGAAGATGCATGCTCACCAACTCAGATCCAGTGAAAGGATTTTTTTCAAGTGCCATGAAGCAAAAGCTCCTTCAGAATAGCACATGATACCACCCAGGGGTCTGCCGAGTCTGAGGAGACTCAAGGAAACGCAGCTCCTGCCAGGCAGGGAGGAAGAGGAGCCCCTGGTTCAGGGGAGGGAGAGGCGCCCCTGGTTCAGGGGAGGGAGAGACGCAGATGCCAGGCAGTGCCTGGAATTGTACTGTCGTGGACACGCAAAGGCAGAGCGTCCCAGGGGATGCCTGGCTCTGCCCAGAGCAGGTCTGGGGTGAACCAGGATGAAAATGCAAAGCCGGCCACGGCTCCTACAGTGCTGACTTCAAGAATAACCCATGCAGGGCTCCTATGCAAAACAGCCACGCAGAGAAATCCGAGGTAGGTGTGGATTATCCTTCCAGCTCCATTCAAAAGTGGGTTAATGGGTAATCTGACATCACACAAGTGTGATTTCATTTATTTCTTATTTTTTTGAGACAGGGTCTGGCTCTGTCTCCCAGGCTGGAGTGCAGTGCCACAATCTTGGCTCACTGCACCTTCCACCTCCCAGGCTCAAGCGATCCTCCCTCCTCAGCCTCCTAAGTAGCTGAGACTACAAGCATGCCACCATCACACCCAGCTACTTTTTAAATTTTTTGTAGAGATGGCATCCCACGTTACCCAGGCTACCCGATTTTTTACATAGACATGAGAGGATTTTAGGACGTGGTGTAAGTATATGGGGATGTTCCAAGAAGCTAAAGTTTTACTGTATTTGTTCGATTTATTAGGTTCATGTATTTCAAGTGCTTTGGAATAAATACTTGAGATCAACTGCTGAACAAAGAAAACGGAACACAGCTATGAAGCCAGCAATGGAGACCCACGGAGCCAGGGGGAGCACCCAAGCCTCCAACCCAGCTCAGCCTCCCCAGATAAGCACTCCTCCCCAGGTGGCCCTCACGCTGAAGCACCCACACACCAAGGCCTCATTCAGGGCTCTGCACACGACCCGCTCCACGCACACGCCAGGGTCTCGTTCGGGGCTCTGCACACGACCCGCTCCACGCACACGCCAGGGTCTCGTTCGGGGCTCTGCACACGACCCGCTCCACGCACACGCCGTCTGTACACTTCACACCCACCAATCAAGTTCACTAACACTACACACAGTCTGAGAAAAGGCACTCCCGGGATGGATACATGAGAGGCCGGTTATCTGCACATGCAACTGTCATCAGATACATTATCTCCCAGAAAAATGCACCTAGAAATGGTCTTAGGCAAAACACCATAAGCAACAACTGTAGGACTACGAATATTATATGCAAATTTCCCCTCTGACTTTTTGCATCTAAGGATCTTTTATTCTCTATAAACAGCAATAAAAATGGATGTTTCTGCACAGTGTATTTTATATACATATGGTGATTACTTTTAATAAGATTATTACGTTTATACACTTACTAAAACTACATAAAAATGAACTTTCCTCAAAATAGAAAGTTCAAAGATACCGTGGTATCAAGAATGTGAAATTCGCCAGAGTGAGGGGCTAGGGAAACTGCCTCCTCTCAGCCCAGCCACGACGCAGGGCGCTGCACACAGAGGCCCGGGGGAGCAGCAGGACATTCCGGGGTCCCTGCCAGACACCAAGGTCTCCCCAGCCTGCCAGGGCTCCAGGCAGGGGCCCACCCCTCTCCAAGCCACCTTTCCTCAGGACACCCCACCTGGATGCGCTGCAGCTTCTTCAAGCCCAGTGCCCACAGAAGAGCTGTCCTCCGGTGTGGTGCCCCCGCCATGGCCAGCCCTCTCCTTGGGTGCAGCTCAGGGCCGGCTCCTCCTCACTCCTCCACATCCAGACACCGCGCCATTCCCAGAGCCCGCCCCAACTGCGGCAGCCACGCCTCTACAGGACCGGACCACCTCCCACCATGGTCAGACCACCATCAGCTCTCACCCCCAGGACCCCACAACTCACTGTGGAAGGCCCTGCACGGCCACACACGGCAGCTCTGCGTTCCCTCTCTCGGCCATGACTCCCTCCCGCAAAGCACCTCCCGGAGTCCTCCCCCTGGGGGACCTGTGCTCTCCAAGGCCCTCCTCACACAGGTCAGAGCCGGCAGCACCATCACCGGCAGGAGGCACTGAGGGTAAAGGCCAGGGCTGCCATCAATCTGCAAACCAGAAACTGCTGGATGATTTGCAAGAGTATCTCTCACTTCTTGTAAATGTCAAACATTTTCCTTCTAAAAAGTCAGTGAGGATCACAGAATGCATGTGAGACGCGAAACCAAACAAGAAGGCGGCTGTGAGACAGAAAAAGCCACTGACTCTAATAAGCGGGTTCAAGATGATTACCTCGATCCGAACTAAACCAAATCTGTGACGCCCAAAAGGCCCTCAGTTGTTTGCCCCGGAAAGTCCACTCTGAGCCTTCTCGCACTGCTCACGTTCACTTTCTGTGCTAACAGGGCAGCCTGTTCGTGGCCAACACATCAAAACTAACAGGCTGTGGCACCTTCAAGAGGAAAGCGCTGCCCAAATGTGGCATCCCTGCCAGGCCAGATCCCCAGGGACAGTCACTGCAACACCACTCCAGGCAGCCCCAGGCACGACCACCCGGCAACTCCATAGCCTCGGGCATCTGGGTGCAAACCGCTGAGTCCCAATTTATTCATCCACTGGACAGACCGACTCCCAACAGACAACCGCGAGTGGCAGTGGCCAGCATGGACAATGGCCTCAGGCCTCCTGCACGCCCAACGCATGCACCTGGACACTGCTTGGCAGCCCTGTGAGAAGCCCCCAAGGGAGGACACAGACCCCCCACCCCAGGCCACGGAGGTGCTGGGGGAGCTGATCCCACCACACCCCCAGGACCTGACCTCGGTAGGGGAGCCCAGGTTTCTGTCCCCAAGTCCGTGTAAGATGGTTCTCTTTAGCACCATCGTAGTCAGCTGCTGGGATGAATCAGCCACCCAGAGACAGCTGTGCAGACACAGCGTCCACTAACAGGCATCTGGGCCAACACACACACGCAGGCCTTCCTTCAGTCTGATCAGCACTTCCTGCTGGGAAAACTGATGGCCTAGGAGGTCCAGCCAGAGGCCCACCTGGCGCACTCCTCTGTCTTAAAGAGAAGAGGCCAGTTCCTGAGAGGGCTGTGGGTGGCCCGTGCACACTGGACTGCTGTCCCCAGCTGTGGACAGAGCCACAGAGGGGCTGGGCTTCCAGCTGTCCTCCCTGTGCTCCCGCAGGGCTGAGTCCCAGCAGCAGAGAACAAAGCCTGCCTCGGCCTCTGGGGCCTCTGGGGCCTCTGCCCAGGTGGCAGTGCTGCTACAGGCATCCAGAAGGGCCCAGCCAGCCTCCTTCCAGGCCAGGCCACAGCGCAAAGTCCTGGGGCCTTTCTCCTGCCCTCCTGCTGCTCAGAAACCTCCAATCCTGCTCCATGACACCCGCAAGAGACGTCAGGGCCCCACACGCCAGCACAGGTGAAGCGGCAGCTGCCAAGGCCTGGCTGCTGACGGCATCCCCGGGAGTCCTAGAAGCTGAGGATGTTTCTCCTCGCAGGTCCCTAGAAAGGAATCTGATTTGCACAAAGTAAAACAGCTTGAGAGGGTGTGAGATGATCAATTTCCTTAACAAGAACAGAAAAACCAAGCCTCTTGGCTCTGATTCATCCCAGGGTGGTAGGTGCTGCTATACCCTGGGGTGAAAAATGGAGTGAGGACTGCTTCTCCTGCTCGGGATAAAGGGGAGGACTTGGGCTGCCAGCTCTGACATCTCGGGACCCTGAACACAAGGGACAGGCCAGCCTTGACAGCCAGGCACCTGGGCGACCACAAAGCTCGGGGAGGGGCGTGTGGAACAGAAACTCCTCTGCCATAAACTTTTATATAACGTTATTATCAGAAAAAAATTTCAAAAACAACTCTTTCCAGATTCAACAGGTTTAAAATAAGGAAACTATCCAATAGCTCTGAACAAAAACCTTTCTCATGGTTCCAATTACACACAGCAAATGCATGTCGCGTATAGAACACACCCCAGGAGGCTTCCTTTTGGCAACCCAGGTCCAGCCATGTAATTGAAAAACCCTTCTCTCTAGACAGCCTGTCATTTGTTGAACGCCAATTGCCTGAGGAAAAAGCAGCCTCCAGGTGACAGAAACAACTTAACCCTCAGAGCACCACAGTCCCCACTGCAATATGTGACCCCAAGGGGCAGAAGGGATCCAGGCATTCTCTGCACAAAAGGTAGAAATAATCCCTCCACAAAAAATCATCATATAGTTACGCCTTCTGATAACTAATGAGGTTTTACTAATTTTAAAAACAAACATCACTGCCAGGCATAAACTGCATCGTGCTGGACTTCTGCAGATGTAGCTGGTGCAGACCGCATCGCCCTGTCAGGCCTTCCCATTTCGGCACTGGGCGGTGAGGGCTGTGCACAGTGCAGCCGAGTACCCCCGCGGCACAGACAGCCCGCCACACCCTCCACGAGGAAGGCGTGGAAACGTGGGCACCTCCCACATAGCCCAGAGAGGGTGGCTGTGGGCAGGGGGTGTCTCCCCGACTGCTCAGGCCCCTGCAGAGCACTGAGCCTCCCTCCCACGATGGGGTGGATGTGGAGGGACCCTCAGCGTGGAGCCTGCCGGTGCAGAGCCCGAGCGCAGGAAACGGCTCCCGAGAGCCGCGTGGCCGTCCCTGCAGACCCTCCCTTCAGCACCAGCACACACAGCCATCCGTGTGGCCGTCCCTGCAGACCCTCCCTTCAGCACCAGCACACACAGCCATGGCTCCTGTCCCAAAAATGCAGCTCAACTTGCTCAGAAAAAAAAACGCCAGTGTTGAATTTGCTAGGAGGTAAGAGGCAGTGATGGACAGAACACCTGGTTCCACTGACATCTGGGTTTCCAGTTCCCACAGGACGTTGTAGAGAAGCCTTCCCAGAGGCCCTCAGCTGCCTGCAGGGAGCAGCAGCTGGCCTCATGTCTGCTGCACCTGCAACGCTGCACAGTGGGGCAAGCACAGACTTGGTGCTCGGCCTGCCCTTGGGGGGCAAGGAGCCCCACCCCCAACACAAGCAGGCCCCCGCTGTCCCCACGGTGCCCCAGGGAGTGAGCAGGCCCCCGCTGTCCCCACGGTGCCCCGGGGAGTGAGCAGGCCCCCGCTGTCCCCACGGTGCCCCGGGGAGTGGTGATCCCAGCCCTTCCTGTGCTGCTAGGGTGGGCGCCCGGATATGCATCACCTGCTCTGCTCTCCCCCAGTGCCCCAAGCACAACCCCGGCCTCGGTGGGATCACGCACCAAGCCCCAAGCCCGCTCTTTCCACAGGAAAGTCACCCAGCCACGCTGGCCCAGCAACTCTCCCCACCTGTGCCTGTGAACCAAGATCCCACCTGCCACCACCCACTGTGCAGGGTCGCAGAGTCAAGGACCCTCTGTCAAGGTGCTGGGGACAGTCACAAATCCCCACCACACGTGAGGCACGCAGGCCAGGCCAGGTGTATGACACACCCTGGCCAACACGAAGACACAGAGCCCGGGTCACCCAACTGTCACCAAGCTCAGATTCTTACAGTTGTTAAAATAAGAGCACAGAACGTCCCTGCTGTGAAAGGCCACCTCCTGGAGAGCACAGAGAGCCGGCACTCGATCTGCCTGGATGGGGGCGATGAGGAAGCCCCACAGGCTGGGCACCCGCAGGTCACACAGCAGCTTTCTGTTCTCTGCACTACATTTGTTTCTTCATGAAATTAAAAAGTGAGACGCTTCAAAGAGCCCTGGAAGCACAAGTGAAGCTGATAAATCACACAAGAGATGACTCATCTTTTACCCACTCTCTAAGAAAGTCCCAGGCCACAACACAGATGGCAGCCATGCCGCAAACCTCCTGTGGAGCGTCAACAGCAGGCAGCTCCCTTCACTGGTAAGACAGCCCCTAAGAACACTGGTTAGGAGGTTCCAGCACCAAAACTGTAAATGCTGCACCCAGTGAAGATGATTTTGCATTTAGTCCTGAGGGTGGTAATCTACTCAGCTGTCACTGACTGCACGTCGGACTGCCGCTGTGAGGCATTTGAAAGGCTTGAGAAGCACAACTCTATAAAAAGCTCCACGTGAAAACCAGACAGGACTGAACTGGGCCCCTGCTACCCTCTCTGCCCCCATCACCCACCTCTGCTATCAGGCAGCACCTCCTACTCCTCTCCAGGTTCCTCACCAATCCTGCTCTCCCAACAGGATCTGAGGCCAGCTGCATCAGGAGCCAACTGCTGCTTCCCGAGGAGGCTTACAGTCTGAGACCAGGGAAGGCGCCCAGTTCCTCCAGGGGTCAATGCTGAGCTCAGGGGCACTGATGAGCAGAGTTTTGGGAGGGCACTGGGTCCAAAGGCTGCGTCCCGAGCACTAACCCCTCAACCAGCACCCTCCCCGCTCACACTGGACCACACTGCCTGCACCCTACCCGCACACAGTAGGTGCAACATTATTGTGAGTGAGTGCTTCTCTCCCATTCTTTCTCCAAGAACACAGATCATTTGCAATTTTTCAGAACTGCTTAAGCCGTCGCTCTCGGAGAGCTTTCCCTAGGACCTGGCTGGAGCCTGGCCACCCTCATCACTGAAGGGTCCTGTACAGACACCGCTTGGCCTCCACGCTGCGTCCGGGTCTGCGAAGCCACAGCACCTAAAGGTTCCAGGCACACAGCACAGGCCAAAGCCCTGGGAAGAAATGCTTCTCCTCCTCCTGGGGGCATCTGCCACCCAGCCTGCAGCCAATGTGGTGAAGCAGCTGATCTGAGGACTAAGCCTGGACAGACACAGGCACCACGAGGACGGTGGGGCCAGCACATGGAGGCCTGGTTCCCACAGCTTGGTCCCTGGGCTACTGGAAAGCAACACAAAGAAATTACGATCCCATCCTCATATCTTCACTTTTTGACATTAATAAGCCTCCCAAAAGGGAGGTCAAGAGGTCAACACAAAAGGCGGACGGCTACATTCCACCCAGTAATCCTCTCCCCAGCCACACCGCAAGACCAAGCAGGGGCAGCCGTCACCAGATATCCCAGCTCAGAGCTCTCATCGACAGTCACACCCGCACGCCGGCAGCCACCTCGGACGCGTGAGAGGACAGACACCTGGCCCTACTTAACGGAATGAGGCCCCGGCCTGGGGTGGCCGCCTGGACTTCCATAACTCCACAGGTGACTGACTTCTGCCACAGCTGAGCCGGGGCCGGCAACACACGTGCACAGGCAGAGAGGCCAACTCACGGCAGAAGACAGTCCCTAAGCTAAAAAGACATGGCGGGGCATCACCCTCCCGTGCTAAAGATAAATCATGTGCTTAGAAATAACCCTCAGATCGAAAAATAACCTACCCATTCACTGAATTTTTTATTTTTTCAATACAGACACTGAGAACCCATACTTTGAAACACTTTTCTCTAAGACTGAGAGATTATACTCTTTATAAATCTCCTCTTAGGCCTCATCACACATTATTCACCCAAACTGCAAGGAGGAAAGAACCCAAGGCCATGTTCCCACCTCCCCCGTCTGGGCCAAGGACCCCCAGGCTGGTCTCTGGGTGAAGGTTCCTCCACCGAGAGGCTTCTCCCTCCGGCTTCCTCCGCCGAGAGGCTTCTCCTGACCCAACTCTTCCACAGAGGCTGAGGCTCTCCAGGGAGACATTATGCAGCCCCCCTGCATAAAAATCTGACAAATATAAAATGATGGAAATAAATATAAACTCACACCACAATATAAGACCTTCAGGTTTTGGCCGGGCGCAGTGGCTCACGCCTGTAATCCCAGCACTTTGGGAGGCTGAGGCGGGCAGATCATGAGGTCAGGAGATCAAGACCATCCTGGCTAACACGGTGAAACCCCGTCTCTACTAAAAATACAAAAAATTAGCCGGGCAAGGTGGCGGGCGCCTGTAGTCCCAGCTACTCAGGAGGCTGAGGCAGGAGAATGGCGTGAACCTGGGAGGCGGAGGTTGCAGTGAGCCGAGATCGCGCCACTGCACTCCAGCACTCCAGCCTGGGCGACAGCGAGACTCTGTCTCAAAAAAAAGAAAAAAAAAAAAGACCTTCAGGTTTTTAAAAGAATTGTCTACCTCTTAATAATTTTAAACGTTCTCTATGAAAGCACCTTACTTTCTAAAATAAGCTGTAATACTAACAGAACCATTTACTAGAAAATTCCCTATTAAAATTCCCATACCTTAGCCATCCTATGCCCACCGACTCACTCCCTAGAAGAGACGTAAAAAGCCCGGTATGTGCCACGGCCACACCAGCACAGCTTGGTGAGGTGCAAAGACTCCCACATCTTTAGAGGGAAACCTTCTCAAAATCCATCTGTGCATTTACCAAGCTGCAGCTCCAATGGACAGGGCTGACAGCCGCAATCACAGCCCTCTCCGGACACATGGCCAGTGCGCGGCACACCGGGGCCGGGCTCAGGTCTCTTGACGCCCCTGGATCTGAGTTTAAGGGATGATTATCAATATAAACAAACATTGATTTTATGCCCTCACAGCTTTATTTCTCCATCCACTGATCCATCCCCCAAGAAAGAAAAGCATCATGCGAACACTCAACACCAGCAGCTGACGTGAACCAGCAGCTGACGTGAACCAGCGGCTGACGTGAACCAGCGGCTGACGTGAGGTGGAATTCAGGGCTCGCCAGGCACACGGCCCAGACTCACGGGGACCTGCGGCATGAATGTGTGCCCCCAGCCGGCCGCACATCCCAAGCCCAACGCCTGGCAGGACTGGGTGGGTCCCTGACCACCGGGGCCTGCCCTATGCATGGCCTCTGGGGCTGCCGCTGGTGCGAGGCCGTGCATCCGTGCAGCTGACCCCCACCAGCA
Source organism: Homo sapiens (assembly GCF_000001405.40). Classification (NCBI taxonomy): domain Eukaryota; kingdom Metazoa; phylum Chordata; class Mammalia; order Primates; family Hominidae; genus Homo; species Homo sapiens. The sequence continues at coordinate 82,861,122 of NC_000017.11, read as the reverse complement.
GCAGGCGGTGACAGGGACCACCCCAACCCTGCAGCACCTGGGACAAAGCTGCCAACGCCCACACTCTTCTTGCAACGGGCCGCGGTTTTACTAAAATTAAACAGAAGAATACCAAAGCCATAAAGCATTCACGTGCATGTGACAGATTCTGAAGAGCTCCCCCCGCCAAGTCCCTGGCCACCCTGTGTCCAGGGCCGGATGCGGTGGCCGCCCTGTGTCCAGGGCCGGGTGCAATGGCCGTGTCCCAGTGCCGCCCGCCAGAGCATCCAACAAGGGCCTCCTGGCCTCCCTCAGGGGCGGGGCAGAGACCCTCCGCTCGGGACAAATGGACATGCTTCTTACACAGCCCGGACACGGGCGATGAAACAAGACAAGGGCGCTGGGGTGGAACCGAACCCCGTCCAGGGAGACCCATGGTGCCTGCAAACACAGCACACAAGGACCCCCCACAAATGGCAGAAGACACCAGGACCCTCTCCATCATCCATCAAAGCCAGTGGCGTCTGCTGGCTCTCCACTGTCACAGTGGGCACTGGATTCCAGTGTGGCCAGCCCTCCTCAGGTTCCTGTTCTAAGCTAGAACTTTCTTTTCAAGCAATCCCAAGTAATTGCTGTTTGCAAATTAATCAGCCTCAGGATCTCCTGAGCCACTGTCATTGTTAATGAAACCCACCGTGGTTCCTTCCACCTGTGTCTGTCCCCCTCGCTGTCCGCTCACTGCCACCCGAGCAGCCACCACAGGGAAAAGAGCCAGTCAGTTCCTGCCCCTCCACCACTGCGAAAGGCCACCAGAGGGGAGGGGACGCTCAGCGCAGCGTGACCGCCATGCAGGGGGCGGGGGCCCTCCCTGAAGCCAGGGCGCTCCTACCCGCTCTGCTCAACACTGTGCGCTGGCACTCGGAACGCCCACAGCTAATGACAGAGTGGCTCAAGCACAACAACTTGAAAGAAGCAAAAACAGGCATTCGGGAGAATTAAAGGCTTAACCAGGAAGTCAGGGGCCAGTTCTGCCATGACTCACTGCCTAGGACTCCCAGCCCCCATACTCAGACCTCCACTGGCCCCAAGACAGTGTCCCTGGCACAGGCACTTCAGAAGCAGCAGGGCCCAGAGGACGCCATGCTGGAGCTGACACCCAAGGACACATGAAGCCCAAGAGCAGGACCACGAGGCCCAGGCCAGACGGCTGGGGAGGCCAAAGGCCATGTCACCAGTGCACAATGACAAGCCTGCTCCCTGTCTCCAACCCAGTTATCTCAAGGGTTTTCTTTCTGTTCCCAACTCACCGCCCACTGATGAATCTTTCTGGGTCACTGCCATGAACAGGCAGGACAGGTGGCTCTGAAGACACTTTATTCAGGGTGAGTCTGGGCAGCAGCCCCCACTGTGGACTGGAATCTTTCCACAGCCACACTCCCGGCGGGCAAGCCCTGGCCTCCAGCCTCTGCTGGTCCTCAGGAGCCTGTCCACAATTCTGAACTCCAACCTCCACTCTTTGTCCTCACTACAGGGCTCACACTTGGAGTCTGCAGTGCCGGAAACCACAGAGCAACTTCCGTAGCCCTGAAGTCACAGCTTGTGTGTCTGCTCACCCAACAGGACACACAAGGCCCAATCTCCCTGAAAGCCAGTGTGTGAGTGTAGGGAGGACACAGAGCTGGCAGGCCAGACGACCCACGAGACTCTCTTTCCCTGAAAGCCAGTGCGGGGAGGACACAGAGCCGGCAGGCCAGACGACCCACAAGACTCCCTTTCCCTGAAAGCCAGTGTGTCAGTGTAGGGAGGACACAGAGCCGGCAGGCCAGACGACCCACGAGACTCCCTTTCTCTGAAAGCCAGTGTGTCAGTGTAGGGAGGACACAGAGCCGGCAGGCCAGACGACCCACGAGACTCTCTTTCCCTGAAAGCCAGTGCGGGGAGGACACAGAGCCGGCAGGCCAGACGACCCACAAGACTCCCCTTCCCTGAAAGCCAGTGTGTCAGTGTAGGGAGGACACAGAGCCGGCAGGCCGGATGACCCACGAGACTCTCTTTCCCTAAAAGCCAGTGCGGGGAGGACACAGAGCCGGCAGGCTCCCCATGGCCTCTCGGGGCCCCGAGCAAAGACAATGAGGGTGGGACTCAGGGTTGCCACGCAGCCTGGCCCCGGCCTCACGGCCCAAGACCCCCAGCCCCACAGAGGCGCTGAGAGCCGCACTCATCCCCCCGCAGGAAGCGCCACTGACAGCAGTTCTCTTGTCTAGACAAAGTCCCAGCAAGTCTACACGGGGTAGCCCCAGGCAGCCACCCACGAGCCGCACCCTCCTCGCCACCAAGCGGGATCCTAAGACAGCCATGGACCGGCTGAGCAGGGCCCGTTCACACCGACAGGCCCTTCACACACTCAGTCGATTTTCCATCCACAGGAGGGTCAGAAAATATGAAGGTAAGTACAAGGAAAACACAGGAACCTCACCTCAGGCACATTCAAAAGCAACCCTAAAAAGTGTCCTGTGTCTGTGAGGCACACCCAGCGAACCAGGCCGTCCACACAGCACTGTCATCAACAGAAGCCCCAGCCAGCTACTTTCACAAGCAAAACCTGAATTTCAAGTCAACTGGGATCCTCCAGCCGTAGTACCTGTAGAACTGCCCAGCCAGACTGGCCAACCTGCATTTTATTTTAAATGCCGAATAGGCCTGGAGCTAGCAAAAACACGGAAGACAACAAAATTAGGAAGGTGTGAAAGTAAGTTTAGTAGGTAAAGGGTTTCTTCCAGGTAGAAAGATGTTCATTAAAAGATTCATGAAGAGGTTGCTTTCTGCACATGGTGTATAACCAAACCTAACTAGATCACTTCATGTTTATATGTCACAGCTTAGCTTTGATCCAAAAACATGAATTTCAACTTTCAAAAACAACAAAGGCTGGCTGGGCACAGTGGCTCATGTTCGTAATCCCAGCATTTAGGGAGGCTGAGGCGGGAGGATCACTTGAGCCCAGGAGTTCGAGACCAGCCTGGACAACATAGGGAGATCCCATCTCTACAAAAAAATACAAAAGTTAGCCAGGTATGATGGTGTGCCCCTGTAGCACCAGCTACTTGGGAGGCTGAAGCAGGAGGATCGCTTGAGCCTGGGAGGTCAAGGCTGCGGTGAGCTGTGATCATACCACTGTACTCCTGCCTGAGTGACACAGCAAGACCCTTTTTCAAAAAAAAAACTAAAACAAATTAAAATAATGCTAGATGACGAGTTAGTGGGTGCAGTGCAGCAGCATGGCACATGTATACATATGTAACTAACCTGCACAATGTGCACATGTACCCTAAAACTTAAAGTATAATTTAAAAAAAAAATGAAAAAAAAATTAAATTAAATTAAAAAAAAAAAAAAACCATGAGACACAAGCAGCAAGGTTGTATCATTTGTATGGCTCCTGTGGCTATGCCAAGTAATAACACTCCGACAAGCTTCATACTTTCCTGTCATTCAACAATACGTTACTCCATACAGAATCTCAACTCCAATTTAAAAGTGTCAAATATTTAAAACAAAAAAACAAAATACTTTTTAGACACCTGTATATGTGCATGTGTGTATGTACACATCACACACACCCAAAAACTGCACACACACAGAAAAGAACTGAAAAGAGGGAATTAAAACAATGGTGAAATGTTTACATTAAACACGACACAATACAAAGACATTATCAAAAGAAAAAAAAAGACAACCAACAGAATGGGAGAAAATACTTGCAAATGATATATCTGATAAGAGTTTAATATCCAGAAGATACAAACAGCTTTACAACTCAACAACAAAAGGACAAACAATCCAATTTAAAAATGGTCAAAGGACTTGACTAGACATTTATCCAGAGAAATACACAAACAACCAAGGAGCACATGAAAAGATGCTCAGTGTCATTCGTCATTAAGAAAAATTCAAATCAAAATCACAAGATACCCCCTCACACCTACGAGGCTGATTATAATTTTTTAAAAAAGAACAACACAGGTGTTGGTGAGGACATGGAGAAACCAGAAGCTCTGCGCCTTGCTGGTGGGAATGCAGGGCAGCACAGCGTCTGTGGAAACAGCTTGGGGACGCCTCAGTAACACACCGAGGGTCCGCACGCGGTCCAGCGATCCCGCCCTGGATGCGCACCGAGGGTCCGCACGCGGTCCAGCGATCCCGCCCTGGATGCGCACCGAGGGTCCGCACGCGGTCCAGCGATCCCGCCCTGGATGCGCAGCGAGGGTCCGCACGCGGTCCAGCGATCCCGCCCTGGATGCGCACCGAGGGTCCGCACGCGGTCCAGCGATCCCGCCCTGGATGCGCAGCGAGGGTCCGCACGCGGTCCAGCGATCCCGCCCTGGATGCGCAGCGAGGGTCCGCACGCGGTCCAGCGATCCCGCCCTGGATGCGCACCCAAAAAAGGGGAAGACAGGGATTCAAACAGACACTTGTACGCAAACGTTCACAGAAGCATTCTTCACAAGGGCCAAAAGGTGGGAAAACTTAAGTGTCCGTCAACTGTGTAAGGGCCCTGATAGCATTCATCAAGCTCTGTCCCTGTGACTCATCATCTACGAAAGGCCACACCTAACACTGTGCCCTTGGGAGTCAGGATTTCAGCAGGAATTTTGGGGAACGCAAGCATTGGGGCGTCTGTTTTTTTTCTTTTTTTCTTTGTAGAGACAGGGTCTCACCATCTAGCCCAGGTTGGTCTTGAACTCCTCGCCTCAAATGATCCTCTCATCTTGGCCTCCCAAAGTATTGTGATTACAGGCATTAAGCCACTGTTACTGGCCCCAGCTTTCTTTTGGTTAGTGTTTTCTCAGCATATTCTTTTCTGTCTTTCCTTTTAATCTTTTTATATTCTTGCATTTTAGATGTATGTTGAGTAAAATTCTACCATATGATTTTAAGCTGGTGAGTTTAGTCCATTTACTTCACTGACATGTTTGGGTGTCTTTGTCTTACTATATGAATTTTGCTTTTTCAGATTCAGGCTCATGCCTGTAATCACAATACTTTGGGAGGCCAAGATGAGAGGATCATTTGAGGCCAGGAGTTCAAGACCAACCTGGGCTAGATGGTGAGACCCTGTCTCTACAAAAAAAAAAAAAAAAAAAAAAAAAGTGGGGGGGGAGTCTACCCATACAAAGCAATATTATTCAGCCATAAAAACAAATGAAGGCCTGACACATGCTACAATACAGATGAACCAGGCACAAAGGGTCACGCATTGCAGACTCCATGTGTATAAAATTCTCAGAATAAGTAAACGTAGAGGCAGAAAACAGCCTGGCAGGTGCCAGGGGTTGGGAATACAGTCATGTGTCGTGATGTGTCATGACTATGTGAATGGACACCAGAGTATTTTTTCGGTGACAAAAATGTGTTAAAAGTAGACAGAAGTAATAGCTGTGCAACATTGGGTATGTACTAAATGCTCTGAGTTTTTCACTTTAAAGTTAATGGTTATTTTTATGTTATGTGAAATTTTACCTCAAAACACAAATACACACAGAAAGAGAGAAATGACTTTTTAAGAGCAAACACCTGGCCAGGCACAGTGGCTCACACCTGTAATCCCAGCCCTTCAGGAGGCCGAGGTGAGTAGATCACGTGAGCCCAGGAGTTCGTGACCAGCCTGGGCAACATAGTGAGATCCCATCTCTTCAAAAGATAAAAAAAATTAGCCGGGCACGGTAGCATGCACCCATAGTGCCACAGTGACTTGGGAGGCTGAGGTGGAAGGATCGCTTTAGTCCAGGAGGCCAAGACTGCAGTGAGCCGCGACTACACCATGGCACTCACTCCAGCGTGAGCAACAGAGTGACCCTGGCTCTAAAAAATTAAAAAAAAAAAAAAAAAAAAAAAAAAAAAAAAAAAAGCAAACACCTTTCCCTGCCCCTCTGGAAAATTCAGTCTTGAAGCATCAGGTGGCACCGCATAGGGTCTGCACATCCAGGAAGGGGTGGTGGGGGCCAAAGTGGCCCATATGGGGCGAAGAGGGGTCCGTGAGGTGGACAGCAGGGTGAGGGGGCAGCTGGCAGGCGGAGGAAGGCCACAGGGAGGAAGGCCACAGGGAGATGCGACGCCCCAATGCTTCTGTTCCCCAGAATTCCTGCTGAAATCCTCACTCCCAAGAGCACGGTGTTAGGAGGTGTGGCCTTTCGTAGATGATGAGTCCCAAGGACAGAGCTTCATGAATGCGATCAGGGCCTTTACACAGAGCTTTGCTTGTCTTGTGATTGGCACTGTTAAGTGGCTTGTGTCCACTGCGATGCTGACAGATCCACTCTTTCAATACGTGATAGAAATTTCACGTGTAGCTTTGTGCAGGGTTTTTCTGGTCATCGTTTCCAGCACAGAACGTCAACCATTCCTCCTGTTTCTTAGGTCATCTCTGGCACTCACTCCAGCACCGTGCTCTTACACTGCTGCCCAGCTCCCCCCAGCAGTCTGACTTTCTGTGCGACATGCAAACGTGAATGCTTGCCCCTTTTCTGACCACTGTTACCCATACAAGTAACCTGCAGGCCTTTCTGACATTTTCAACAGTATCTGTACACCCCCATACAAGTAACCTGCAGGCCTTTCTGATGTTTTCAACAGTATCTGTACACCACAGAGCAGAGGATACGCAAACACACGAGCGGTGCGCACAGGTCTCGCCCATGTGGAGCCTCATAAGGAGCCTGCAGCGCCTGCGTCCGGCCTGCACCCGACATTTCATCGCCCTTTGTGGACGTGCTTGCATGAGGGAACCTGGTCTTATGTGGAAAGGATTTATCAAAGCTGAAGGGGGCTGGGAGGATCTTTTTCCCCTTGGGGTGCTGAATCAACTGTGTGTTGTTTACCTGTGTTTTGACTGCAGCCCATCACCTGCAGAGTGTCAACTCAGCATTCAAAAAGTTTTCGGTTTTGGATTTTCGGATTCAGGGTGCTCAACCTGTAATGTCTAATGTTAAACAAGAAGAACTAAAAACTCAACAATGTCAAATATGTCAGATGGAAAGTGATCGAGGTCAGGGTGTGCTGTGTGTTACTTGGAGGGTAGGCTAAGAAGCTGGCTGTTGGCTCTGAATATTCGTGGTACAAGCTGAATACGACCCCTGAAGAAACACAGGAAACAGAATAGATGATTCCAAACCAACAAGGAAGAAGATGTGGAATGGGACTGGGTTGGGGGCCCAATAGGAACCACAACTTTTAAAAACAAAAAAAAATCTGAAAAAGCAAAATTCATATAATAAGACAAAGACACCCAAACATGTCAGTAAAGTAAATGGACTAAACTCACCAGCTTAAAATCACATACGGTAGATTTTTACTCAACATACATCTAAAATGCAAGAATATAAAAAAATTAAAAGACAGAAAAGAATACACTGAGAAAACACGAACCCAAAGAAAGCTGGGGCCATTAACAGTGGCTCATGCCTGTAATCGCAATACTTTGGGAGGCCAAGATGAGAGGATCATTTGAGGCGAGGAGTTCAAGACCAACCTGGGCTAGATGGTGAGACCGTCTCTACAAAAAAAAAAAGAAAAAATGAGCTGGGTGTGCTGGCAAACACCTGTAGTCTCAGCTACTTGTGAGGCTGAGGTCAGGGGATGGATCTAGCCCATGAGTTCAAAGCTACAGTGAGCCGTGAGTGAGCCACTGCACTCCAGCCTGGGCAACAGAGCAAGACCCTGACTCAAAAACAGAAAAAAAAAAGGAGGGGGGGTGTTGCTGGATGCAGTGGCTCAAGCCTGTAATCCCAGCACCTTAGGAAGCTGAGACAGGTGGACTGCTTAAGCCCAGGACTTTGAGACCAGCTACATGGCAAAACCCTACCCTTACAAAAAAAGAAAAAGAAAAAAAATACGACAATTAGCTGGGCGTGGTGGCACATGCCTGTGGTTCCAGCTACTCAGGAGGCTGAGGTCAGAGGATCACTTGCGCCCAAGAGGTCAAGGATGCAGTGAGCTATGATCACACCACTGCACTCCAGCCTGGGCAACAGAGCAAGAACCTGTCTCGACAAAATAAATTAATTTAAAAAAAAAGAGAGAGAGAAAGCTGAGTAGCCACATTCACATCGGGCATAAAGAGGCACTCTCCATCACGAGCTCTCGTCCTCGGGAGCCGCTCTCCATCATCATCACTAACCTCAAAACAGAACGCATCGCAAGCCAGACACGGTTCTGAGCTCTGAATACGTTCATTCCCTTAACTTTCCGAACAGTCCTATGCTCCAAGCCCAGGCCTATACCCAAGACAAAAACCACATCCACACAAAAACTCACACACGAATGCTTTATTCACAGCAGCCTACAGTGGGAAACAACCCAAACGTCTACCAACTGACAGATGGATAAATAAAATGCGGCCTCCATGTACGTCGTGGGCTGAATTCTGTCTCCCTGAAATCCACATACTGAAGTCTTAACCCCAGTGCCCCCGAGTGCCTGTATCTGGAGATGTGGCCCTTAGAGATGCGTAAGGTAAAATGAGGCCACGCAAGTGGGGCCCGGATCTGCTATGACCAGTGTCCGCCTAAGAAGAGGAAACAAGGACACCAAGACACAGACCGAACGGCGAGCACGCAGCAGGAAGGCAGCGCCTGCAGGCCCAGGAAAACCCGGAAGAAACCGAGCCTGCTGCCGAGCCTGCTGGCACCTCGACCTTGGACACCCAGCCTCCAGAACTGTGAGGGATACATTTGTGCTGCTTGAGCCCCCATCTGTGGTGACTTGTTTCCACAGCCTGAGCTGACTAAGATGCCACACGATGGAACAGGCTTCAACAAGGAAAAGAAAAGGAGCACTGCTGGGGGCTGCATCGCCCACGGACCACGCCAACGCCACGCTCGGGGCAAGGAGCCACCACAGAGGACCACAGGGGGCACGGTTCCATTCACAGGAAATGTCCAGAATGGGTAGACACAGAGAACCCATCTGTGGTGTCTAGGAGGGGGGGTTTATCCATCTGTCGGGGGGGTTGGGGATGACAGCGAAGGAGCGTGGGGTAAAATGTTCTACAACTGACTGTGGCGATGGCTGCAAAACTCTGCAAATGCGTTACAAGCCACTGAACTGTACACTTAATGACAGAACTGAATGGCATGTGAATTGCGTCTCAACAAAATCATTAAAAATCCTATGGGGTCAACAGTAATCGTTCCCGCTTACAAGCAGATGCGCTGAAGCAGTGAGGAGTCACTTTTCTATTCCCACCTGGGTCAACTTTGATAAATTACATTTCTCTCGGAACGTCTATTTTGCCTAAGCTACCAAATTTCCTGGCAAAAGATATTCTTAACATGCCATTTTCCATCTCCACGGTGGCTGCACGAGGGCTCCCTTCCGTGTGTAAGGCTCCTGCTTTCTGCCCGTCGGCCACGCGTTTATTGGTCCCATCAGCCCTCTCGAAGAGCTGCGTTTGGCTCTGTGTGTCCTCTCTCATCTTTGTCTTCCACCTCCTTCATTTCTAGGGTTCTGCTCACTGCCCTCTTCCCACCCGCCCTGTGCAGAGTGAACCTTTCTCCTTTTCTGTACACGTGTCTGAGGCCGAGTCACCAAGTGATTCCTGCCAGGGCCAGAGAGAACCTCGGGCCCTGTGGGCCACATGCAGTCCACATCGCAGACTCTGCTTGGTTGTGTTTATTCTCATTGATAACATTTTTAAAATGTGAAAACCCTTCTTGGCTCCAAAGCTGTACAGAAACAGGCTGAGGCCCCACTGGGCCTGCAGGCCACAATTTCGTCACACCTGTTTAAAGGTTTAAGTTTCCTTAGCTGCATCCCAAAATTTTAGATAGAATAATTTTGTGACTGTTTATTTTTATTTTTAAACTTTTTTAACTTTTTATTTTAAAACCTCCTGAGACTTGACTCATGTGATTTACACATTTGTATATCTTCTAACTAAAAATTATCACCTTTCCTTTATTATTCTGTATCCAGTTTTTAATTTCATTACTTTGTGAGCATGGAATACCATCTGTCCGCCAGTGAGTCTCTGAAATGTCTCGAGACTTGTTTTATGGCCTGGCTGTGTAATATCTGTGAATGTTCCTCAGGTGCCTACAAATGTGTATTCTCCAACGGCTAGCTACACGGTTCTGTATCAATTATGGAATCATGCCAGTCGCCTCTGCTGTTGAAATATTGTATGTGCACACACAGTATGTAATGTGCGTTTTATACATATCTATATCTCCACTACATATTTAGTTATCAATAATTGGGAGGTGTTTTGAGCTCTCAGGAGGATACCGGGTCTGTCCATTTATCTCTGCAGACCTATTAACTTTTGCTTTTCAGCTTTTAGAAAGCTGAGTCAGTCCAGACTCACCACAAGCCCCATACGAATTCAATGCAGGGATGGATCAGGGCTGATGAGGCCATGGGGGCCAAATCACCAGTCCATGCACAGCCATACTGTAGGGGGTCCGGGGTCAGCACACACAACCAACAACAGCACAGCCAACAACAGCACAGCCAACAGCAAAACAGCACAGCCAACAACAGCACAGCCAACAACAGGACAGCCAACAGCAGCACAGCCAACAACAGCACAGCCAACAACAGCACAGCTAACAACAGCACAGCCAACAACAGCACAGCCAACAGCAAAACAGCACAGCCAACAACAGCACAGCCAACAACAGCACAGCCAACAGCAAAACAGCACAGCCAACAACAGCACAGCCAACAGCACAGCCAACAACAGCACAGCCAACAACAGCACAGCCAACAACAGGACAGCCAACAACAGGACAGCCAACAACAGCACAGCCAACAACAGCACAGCCAACAGCAGAAGAGCACAGCCAACAACAGCACAGCCAACAGCAGCACAGCCAACAACAACACAGCCAACAACAGCACAGCCAACAGCAGCACAGCCAACAGCAGCACAGCCAACAACAGCACAGCCAACAGCAGCACAGCCAACAGCAGCACAGGCAACAACAGCACAGCCAACAACAGCACAGCCAACAACAACACAGCCAACAGCAGCACAGCCAACAGCAGCACAGCCAACAGCAGCACAGCACAGCCAACAGCAGCACAGCCAACAACAGCACAGCCAACAACAGCACAGCCAACAACAGCACAGCCAACAGCAGCACAGCCAACAGCAGCACAGCCAACAGCAGCACAGCCAACAGCAGCACAGGCAACAACAGCACAGCCAACAGCAAAACAGCCAACAACAGCACAGCCAACAACAGCACAGCCAACAGCAGCACAGCCTCAAGAGCTGCCGCGCACGGGGGCTACTGCTTCGCTTCTGCCTCCAGATTGTGCACAGCCCTCTCCGAGGACTACCAGGGAAGGGGGTTCCAGCAGAAGGTCCTGCCTGGCTGAGGTGACATGACGCAAAGCCACCATGGTCGCATCCTGTGAGAGGGACCCGTGTGGCACCACAGGCAAAAGCAGGTCTCTCTGGACAATGGCAGTCCCACCCCCGGGGCGACCACGAGGATTCTCAGTTTATCCGTGTGCTTGGAACAATGCCTAGTGATTGCTAGTGCCACGCGGTTCTTACTTTACTTCCTACTTTCAGAGCTTGAAATGAACTTGAGATAACCTAAAAAGACACCATCAAAAAACAGGTTAAGGAGACGAAAGGGGAAATGAAAACCACAGCGAGGAAACAAGGAAGATATGAAAAGGGGCCAAAACCAAGGTCTGGAAATACCTGAAGGAAAAGATTTCACTGCAATGGATGGAAATGTGACTCTCAGGACTTAGCTGAGGAGAAACAGTGGCCCTGAAGACCAAGCCCGGTAGGCAGCCCCGACGCAGCAGACAGAGGGGGACATCGAGGTGGAGAAGACGCAGCAGGCAGAGGGGGACATCGAGGTGGAGAAGACGCAGCAGAGCGGGGGACATTGAGGTGGAGAAGACGCAGCAGGCAGAGGGGGACATCGAGGTGAGAAGACGCAGCAGGCAGAGGGGGACATCGAGATGGAGAAGACGCAGCAGGCAGAGGGGAACATCGAGGTGGAGAAGACGCAGCAGGCAGAGGGGGACATCGAGGTGAGAAGACGCAGCAGGCAGAGGGGGACATCGAGGTGGAGAAGACGCAGCAGGCAGAGGGGGACATCGAGGTGGAGAAGACGCAGCAGGCAGAGGGGGACATCGAGGTGGAGAAGACGCAGCAGACAGAGGGGGACATCGAGGTGGAGAAGACGCAGCAGGCAGAGGGGGACATCGAGGTGGAGAAGACGCAGCAGGCAGAGGGGGACATCGAGGTGGAGAAGACGCAGCAGGCAGAGGGGGACATCGAGGTGGAGAAGACGCAGCAGAGCGGGGGAAGACACAGAGGTGCAGAAGCCTCCAGGAGACACAGGAGAGAGGATGAGAAGGGATCAAGCCCATTGACCTTTTGTCTGTTCGCATCTATTTTCATCGTTAGGTTTTTCACTGTTATTTTGTAGCATGAAAAAAAAGAAGATCTGAGTGCTAATTTTTTTCATTTTACTTGTCCTTGTGCGATTTAACTCATGACTTCTGTACCTGGCTGCTGTGCATGTAGAGGCACCCTCTGAATAAACTCCCTAGACGGCGGCCACATGAGTTGCTCTGGAAAACTAACAAGTCTGAGTCAGGCGAGTGAGAATGCCGAAGCGTAAGACACCTCGCTGTCGGGGTTCAGGGAGGAGAGGAGCTGAAGAAAACTGTGGGAATTCTTAAACTTGGCCCAAGTTCACAAACCTGAATTGGGTTTCCCAATCAAAGACAAAACAAGCCATACATAGCTCAGGGTTTCAAGTTTCCCTCTCAACACAGAAGCCGCAGCGCCAATCCGCACAGGAGAGGAGGGAGCGACAGGACGCTGTTTAAACAGAAACCAAAAGCCGCTCGCCCTCCCTCTGACTCTGACGGTGCCTGCAGAGCCGCCAGAAGCCCCATTTCCGAGGCCGCTCAGGGCGAAGGTGTTGGAAGGGAGGAGCCGGGGACTGTGCGCCCAGTACAAAGGCTACCCACAGGCCACACACCCAGAAACTGCCAGCCCTGCCACAGAGCACCATCCCACAGGGCCGCGCCCACCCATCTCCTCACACTCACCAGGCAAGAGACAGCCTGGAGGGGCCTTGGTAGGAAAAAGGGGCAACAGACAGGGGCCGTTTGCTCTACTCCCACTCGTCTGAAAAAATTAAGTTAGCCCCAGTTCCATAAAAATTCAAATCGTGGGCCCGGCCCGGTGGCTCACGCCTGTAATCCCAGTAATCCCAGCACTTTGGGAGGCCGAGGAGGGTGGATCACGAGGTCAGGAGATCAAGACCATCCTGGCTAACATGATGAAACCCCATCTCTACTAAAAATACAAAATACTAGCCAGGCGTGGTACCACGCAACTGTGATCCCAGCTATTCGGGAGGCTGAGGCAGGAGAATGACTTGAACTCGGGAGGCGGAGATCGCACTACTGCACTCCAGCCTGGGTGACAGAGCAAGACTCTGTCTCAAAAAGAAAAAAGAATTAAATTGTGGCGTTATTTGTACAAACAAATTAAAATTTAGGTATTGGCATGACAAATCTCAGACTTCAACTTACAAATAAAGCCCTCCACTACTCATCAACGTCAACAAATGTCCAGAAAGAAAGCTTTCCCCAAATTCTCTCATACACCTTGGCTGTATCTCACCACAAGAGCCAAATCAACTCCACTTTCATTTCTCTGCATCGCTGAGTTGTCTGACACAGTCAGTAAAACCCCACTGATGTTCTCAGGGTTGTTTCTTTTTTTTTTTTTTTTTTTTTTTCTTTGACATGGAGTCTCGCTCTGTTGCCCAGGCTGGAATACAGTGGCATGATCTCGGCTCACTGCAAGCTCCGCCTCCCAGGTTCACACCATTCTCCTGCCTCAGCCTCCCGAGTAGTTGGGATTACAGGCACCCACCACCACGCCCAGCTAATTTTTTGTGTATTTTTAGTAGAGACGGGGTTTCACTGTGTTAGACAAGATGGTCTCGATCTCCTGACCTCATGATCCGCCCACCTTGGCCTCCCAAAGTGCTGGGATTACAGGCGTGAGCCACCACGCCCGGCCTGTTTCTTTTTAATGAGAAACCAAATGTCTCCTCGGCCACCTGTAGAAAATGGCTGAGCGGTGCCCACAGCGCCCAGAGCAGGTTGGGCCCAGACCTTGGCCACGACCACAGGCACATGGCGGGTGAGGACCCCGGGGGTGCAGCTGGGCTTGGCCATGTTAGCCTGTGTGGCCCAGAGACCAGACACCCGAGGCCCGGCTCCTGGACACGCGGTCCCAGGCAATGAGGGTGGGTGGGGAGGGAGGCGCCCCTTCTCAGCTGCGCTCTGTTCAGTTAAATCAACTTCCCAAAACACAGGGGCCTGCAGGGGTTCTCAGGCAGGTGACCATGTAACACAGGGGAAGGGCTGTGACCCGCTCCTGGGCTGCTGCTCCGAGGTGACGGGGGCAGAGAGGTGTCCAGGCCTGGCTGGCGGCTTCCAGACAACCCGAAGGCAGGGCCTAGAGCCCTAACCCAAGCCAGCAAGCCTGTGTACCACCATCTCCGAAATCTAGGACAGTCTCCAAGCTTCCCCTGGGTCTCAGCCAGTCTCACTACCGCCAGGGACGGAAGGCAGAGGCCACAGCAGGGCCCTGCAGCAGCAGGAAGGGCACCTCACTAGGGAAGAAAACCAGGAAAGGAAGGGGAAGGGGAAACAATGGAAGTCCCAAAGAGAGCAGCGGGCAGCAGAGGGCTGGACGAGAGGACACGGCACATGGGACACAGCGCATGGAGGGGGCAGCAGAGGGCTGGACGAGAGGACACGGCACGCTGGACGCAGCACGTGGAGGGGGCAGCAGAGGGCTGGACAAGAGGACACAGCACAGAGGACGCAGCGCGTGGAGGGGGCAGCAGAGGGCTGGACGAGGGGACGTGGCATGCCGGACGCAGCACGTGGAGGGAGGCACAGGGCTTACACCCTCACCCCCTAAGCCTCCCAGTCCCATCCCACAGTTCTGCCCACTGGCCTGAGTCCCTTTAGAAGCGCAGAGCCCTGAGACACAACACAGCCAGGCGAGAGGTGCCCTCCGGCCCGGAGCCGTTCCTGAAGCTGTGCCCTCGGGGGATAGAATGTTGCTGTGTCTCCCCTACAGCCGCGTCAAAATCAGACTGGGAGGCTGATGCCAGGCCTGTGGATTTTCCGCAGAGTTTTCATTTCCTTTCTCCTTTCCTCTGGATGCAGCACCTCACAAGGAACACAAAGGATTAAAACAGAAACAATCTTGTATTTTAAGAAGATCCAAGATGTGACGCCCTTCCTTCATCACAGGTGTTCTGTGAGAGATGCTCACAAGTCCCTTTCACGGACAGGAAGACCGAGGCCCAGGGAGGTCAGCAATTGCTGCCCCAAGTCACAAAGGGTGAAGATGGAAGAGCCAAGACTTGAGTCCCAGCACACAGTGCACTGGAGAGGATGCTGCTGCGGAAGGGACCGGGGTGGGCTGGGCAGGACGGAGAGGAAAGGGCTGAGCCGGACAGGACGGAGGGAGAGCAAGGGGCCAGGCCAGACAGGACAGACGGAGAGGAAGGGGCTGGGCCACACAAGATGGACAGGAAGGGGCTGAGCTGGACAGGACGGAGAGGAAGGGGCCGGGCCGGACAGGACAGACGGAGAGGAAGGGGCCGGGCCAGACGAGATGGAGAGGAAGGGGCCGGGCCGGACAAGATGGAGAGGAAGGGGCCAAGCTGGACAGGACGGAGAGGAAGGGGCCGAGCCAGACAGGATGGACAGAGAGGAAGGGGCCAGGCCAGACAGGACAGAGAGGAAGGGGCCAGGCCGGACAGGATGGACGGAGAGGAAGGGGCTGGGCCGCACAAGATGGACAGGAAGGGGCTGAGCTGGACAGGATGGAGAGGAAGGGGCCGAGCCGGCCATGTCCTGTGCCTCACCCCCGACCTGGAAACTAGGAAAGCTCAACCAGGACTGCACTTCCAGCCTGTGTGCCCCTAGGGAAAGAGGCCCTGACACAGAGGCCGCGGCGCCAGCACCTGCCTGGGTCCCTGGCACCCCCCAACACACACTGGCACCGGTGCTTACCCCCAAGAGCAGCCACCACCCCAGGTACCCCTCCTTCCCCACCCAGGGAAGCACCCCCCACCTCTGGTGTAACTCTGCTCATCGCCCTCTGGGCTGGGTACCTCGGCCATGTTCCCGACCTGTGGGTGGGGGGACTCCACAGGCCAGGTGCGTGGTGCTTCTGAGTAAATGGACCAGTGCAGGTGATGCACCTGGCACGGTGCCCCACACCATCAACACGCAAGAAACATCAGCTGCCACCCCCATGACGGTTCCTAAGATTTGGTCAAAAACCTAATCGCAAGAATTCTGAGTAACACAGGGGGTTGAACATGTAAAAAATAGCGGGTAAAATCCCACTAAAAACAGCAGAAACGGACCATTTTCTTTTTTCAAGAAATAAGCTACAGGGTAGAAGAGGAAGGGCAGGGAAGGCAGCACCAGGACCACGGAGGAGCCTGGAAGTGCAGGGACAGCAGGAAATGCCTCAGACCAAGAAGCCCAGCCCTCCCCTGGAGGGAGGCAACTCAGACTCCCCCTGATCCACAGGACAGGTCCCTAAAAAGCTCCAGATCTGTGGCACCAGAGAACTCTGTGGGGAGGGGCAGGGTAGGCCTAACCCAAGGAGCACTGGGGCAGGAGACAGGGCTGACTCTCCGAGGTGCTCAGCAGAGGCCCTGGAAGGCAGGCAGCCACACTGACGATGCAGGGAGGGCACCAGGCATGGCATGGCGCTCCTGCAGTCCCAGCTACCCGGGAGGCTGAGGCAGGAGAAGCACTTGAGACCCGGAGTTCAAGTCCAGCCTGGGTAACACAGCAAGACCCCAGGTCTTTAAACACACACACACACACACACACACACACACGGAGAACATCCACCCCCACTCCTCCACTCCCCACTAAAAGAAAGCTATCACTAAAATCCTTAGATAAGAAAAGCTACTGAAAGTACTGCATGAGAATGAGATGCTACAAAAGGAACACTCAGAACAAAACAGAGCTCATGGAAACCAAAATCAGAAACCAAGTACTTAACAGAAGTGTTGAAATATAAAGTTAAGAAAACTAAGACTACTGAGGATAAAGGAAAGAACCTGCAGGTGAGAAACAGCTGTCCATAAAAATCAGGAATCACTACTGACATAAAATTCTACAACACATAAAACTAATCCATGGTGGAAAAGTATCAGCCTGCAGTTGCCACGGTCTGGGTGGGGAAGGGTGGCACTGCTGTGACGGAACTCTCTGGGGCCATAATGGGAGAACACATTTGTCAAAACTCGTTAAATGATCCTCTTAAGACCTGTGCCCTTCACTGAATGTAAACCTTACCTTTGAAAGAAGAATCATAAACTAATAAGAATATGCCTGAAAAGTGTTTGGGGCAAAGCATACTGATGTCTGCAACTGACCTGAAATGCAGCAAGACGATTAAGCTGGATGGGGAGGGGAAGGGAAGGGTAAGTAAGCTGGACGGGGAGGGGAAGGGAAGGGTAAGTAAGCTGGACGGGGAGGGGAAGGGAAGGGTAAGTAAGCTGGATGGTGAGGGGAAGGGAAGGGTAAGTAAGCTGGATGGTGAGGGGAAGGGAAGGGTAAGTAAGCTGGACGGGGAGGGGAAGGGAAGGGTATGTAAGCTGGATGGGGAGGGGAAAGGAAGGGTATATAAGCTGGACGGGGAGGGGAAGGGAATGATAAGTAAGCTGGACGGCGAGGGGAAGGGAAGGGTATGTAAGCTGGACGGGGAGGGGAGGGGAGGGGAAGGGAAGGGTAAGTAAGCTGGACAGGGAGGGGAAGGGAAGGGAACACAGACAGCTGTGTTAACTGGAGAACCCCACCGTTGGGCATATGAGAGTTCACTGGAGCATCCTTACAACTTGTCTGTATTTTGAAAATTTTCACACTAAAATGTTAAGAGAGAAAGAATCAGGAATCAGAATGGCATCAAGGTTCTCAACCACAGTACTAGAAGCTAGAGAAAATAGAGAACACTTGCGGCCGGGTGTGGTGGCTCACACCTGTAATCCTAGCACTTTGGGAGGCCGAGGCGGGCGGATCACGAGGTCAGGAGATCGAGACCATCCTGGCTAACACGGTGAAACCCCGTCTCTACTAAAAATACAAAAAATCAGCCGGACGTGGTGGAGGGCGCCTGTAGTCCCAGCTACTTGGGAGGCTGAGGCAAGAGAATGGCGTGAACATGGGAGGTGGAGTTTGCAGTGAGCCGAGATCGCGCCACTGCACTCCAGCCTGGGTGACAGAGCGAGATTCCATCTCAAAAAAAAAAAAAAAAAAGAAAGAAAGAAAATGAAGAACACTTGCAAAAATCTGAAGGTAAATGATTTCTGGCCTGAAATTCTAGACTCAGCCAAACTATCAGTGAGGTTGAAGAGTAGATAAAAACATTTTCAATAATTCAAGACCTCCAAAAAAATCTCTCTTGCACTTTCTCAAGAGCCTATAAAAGGTGTGTGCCTCATGTCAAACTAAATGATTAACTCAAGAGAAAGACGACATGGGATCCGAGCAGCAGGCCTTCCAGTGCAAGAGAGAGGCAGGCAAAACCCCCTGGGTGACGGGGAAGGCAGACATGGGGGCAGAAGGGGCAAAGAGAGGCAAATTCCCATCTTCCATGAAGGGAAGCCACCAAACAACACCTCGACCAGGAGTGGAGAAGGGAGAGAGGGGGAGAGAGGGCACAGAACCACCAACAGATCAGTAAGGCTGGAATCGAGGAGGTAAACACCCAGCCAGGCGCTGGGATAAGCTCCCTCCCTGCCGTCTCAGCTCCCAAGGAGGACCAGGGACAGAGACTCTCAGGAGCAGGGTAGAGGGTGGAAGGTACACAGATTCTCAAAGGCCTCACTGGACCCTCCATGGCAAGGGTCAGAACACTCAGCTTAGGAAAGGCCAAGGTGGGGCTTCCGGGCAGAGGGAGTCGTAGCGCAGACACCTGGCACTCCTGCCGCTGAGAGGTGGAGCCCTCGGCTCCCGCCTTGCATCTGGGCAGCACGAGGCTGCCTCAGCAGAGAAAGGTGACAGAAGGGACACCCTGACAATCTGCGGCCCAGCCTTCTGGAGGACTGGAACCTTCCGCCTTGCTCTCTTGAAGTCCTGAGCCATCATACAGCTGACCACCCTGCTAGGGAGGCCTCTGAAGTGCTACTAAGTGAGGATGAGGTTCCAGCTGATCTCAGGATTCCAGCTGCCCCTCCAGGACAGAAGGCAGGTGAGTAAAGCTGTCCTGGACCCTCCAGACCAGTCACCTGCCAGCTTTCTCCCACGGAGCCACCTCAGTCAGTGTCCATGAAACAGAAGCAGCACTCGGCCAGGCCCTCCACAAACTCCTGACACAATATATCCTAAGACGTAATAAAACGGTGCTTGTTTTAAGCCACTAAGTTTGGGATAGTTTGCTATCCAGGAATAGGTAAGAGGGACAGGGAACTGCTGTTTTTTGTCATAAGACTTACATAACTCTTTTTGACTTCATAAAGTATATGGATGTCTCAATGGACAAAAGCCACCAAAAAAAATTTTAAGGTATTAAACCATCCTAGGAAACATGGCAAAACCCTGTCTCTACAAAAAATTCTCCAGGCATAGTGACCGTGCCTGTAGTCCCAGCTACTGGGGAGACTGAGGCGGGAGGATCACTCGAGTCCAGGAGGTTGAGGCTACAGTGAACCGTGATCGCACCACTGCACTCCAGCTTGGGTGACAGGGCAAGACCCTGTCTCAAAAGAAAAAAAAAAGGAATTAAATATAAAAGTAAACGCAAAGCCATGTAAAATCTTAAGTCTTAAGGAAAAAAATAACAAAAACAAAAAAACAGACCGGGTGCAGTGGCTCACACCTGTAATCCAAGCACTTTGGGAGGCCGACGTGGGTGGATCACAAGGTCAGGAGATCAAGACCATCCTGGCTAACACGGTGAAACCCCATCTCTACTAAAAATACAAAAAATTAGCCGGGCGTGGTGGCAGGCGCCTGTAGTCCCAGCTACTCGGGAGGCTGAGGCAGGAGAAACGCAGTGAGCCAAGATCATGCCATTGCACTCCAGCCTGGGCAGCAACAGTGAAACTCTGTCTCAAAAAAAAAAAAAAAAAAAAAAAAAAAAACCAGTTTGTCTGTCCTGGCCAGCTCGTCCCTATGCCACAGCCCTGCAGCCTCTGCCCTGCAGCCTCAGGCTCATCCAAGGGCCTGACACCAGCTCATCCCACCTCCTTTCCCAGTCCTCAAACCGACACCACATGCCAGCCTTCGCTACAACTGGGGTGCGGCCTCCGATTAAGCAAGCAAGCAGTTTTGGTGGGGGGGTGTGGAGGTAAAAACTGGCCCCCAAGTTAAGTGCCTCTGCAATTTAAAGTGGGGGGAGGGTGGTTTGCGGGAGTGCACAGCTGGCCCCCTCCCCCGCACCCACACACCCTGCTCCGCAGCTCTTGCGGTGCCTGGTGTCGGGCAAGCTCCGGCAGGTCCCTGCAGCCAGGCTCTGGGATAAGCTCCCTCCCTGCCGGCTCAGCTCCTGAGGAGGACCAGGGACAGAGACTCTCAGGAGCAGGGTAGAGGGTGGAAGGTCCACAGATCCTCAAAGGCCTCACTGGACCTCATGGCAAGGACGCCATGAATACTGTGCCTCCCAGGGTATGCGCGCTTGAGAATCAATCCAAGTGTTTGCCTCCTGCGTACACATGCTCAAGTTCTAAAGGAAAGTCTCACATGTCTTTATCATGACGCCAAATATTCATCGGGTGTGATTCTGATGAATATAGTAATCTCTATTCTAACTGCGGACACATCGAAAGCCCTCTGACATATGGCCGTCCAGGCAGCACCGACGCCGCACTCACAGACAGTTGAGTCTGGAGACAGCGCTGGGAGTCGGCGAGATAACTTGCTTGCTGGGTCCAGTGCTGGGGAGGCTGCCCGCAGCAGCTCGGTGGGTGCAAACACATGAATCGTAGCTGCGGGCAGGAGGAATATCAGGTGCATCTCTACGCCCCGAGGGCTCAACTCCTACACTTAAATCCCTCCCACTGGAACAGCAGGCTCCAGTTTCACCCAGCAAGCGTGAGAACAGGTACTGCTTCCTGAGCACCGCCAGCCACCGGCACCAAGACCGGCCACATCCCAGCACTGCCCACCTCTGGTAAGTACTCACTATTTCTTTTCAAATTCAAGTTTTATTTTAAAACTCTTCTCAGACGTATCTAAAATACCCAGCTGAACGCAGCGTTTGCTCCGTGTCTGCTCTGCCTTGCTCTGGGCTCCGAGGATTACTCAGGACCCAGCAGGTGCATGGCTGGGATGCAGACCACGATTACAAAACTTCTAATGAGGCTGACACTTTATTCTAAGAACATGAACAAGCTTATCTGGAAATTAACTCCTTGTTCTGCCCTAAAATTCATAAAAGTTAAACCAACACAAATTCATATTATTGCTTAACTGCTCCTAACCTCAAAAACAAACTACAATAAATGCTAACAAGAGGTAAGGGTCATATATATATGTGTGGTGTATGTACATTAGGGTGAATTTAGGGTTATATGTGTGGTGTATGTACATTAGGGCTGAATTTAGGGTTATATATATGTGTGGTGTATGTACATTAGGCTGAATTTAGGGTTATATATGTGTGGTGTATGTACATTAGGGCTGAATTTAGGGTTATATATATGTGTGGTGTATGTACATTAGGCTGAATTTAGGGTTATATATATGTGTGTGTGGTATATGTACATTAGGCTGAATTTAGGGTTATATATGTGTGGTATAAGTACATCAGGCTGAATTTAGGGTTATATATATGTGTGGTGTATACACATTAGACACAGCTGAATTTAGGGTTATATGTTTGTGGTGTATGCACATTAGACAGTGCCGAATTTACTATCTAGTTTAACTTTTAATAGTTTTAAAGTTTAAAATAAGTACATAAGCTTACATGAAGTTTAAAATTGGGCATAAGCTTTCGAAAACAAAACCAAACCAAAGGGGTTAAGTTTCTGTTTGGTTGTTAAGGTCTTCTGTACATATAGACACAGATACAAAAGGGTTTTTTTCCTTATATGAAATTTCTCATAAACTTGATTTGGAGGAGAACAATTACTGACCAAGCACAGTCCGTCCACATCTGTGCCCCTAATTTTCACTGCGCATTAGCAAAGGCCTTCCAGCATTTCTGACCGGAGTTTCAGGATGAGGCGGCGACTGTAAAGTGGTGAGCGTTTGTTTACGAGCTCAGGTCTGTAACTCGGGATCTCCTGCCGAAACTAGAGTTAAGAGCCCCTGGTTGTTTTTCTGGATCCATTCTTCCAAATTACATTCCCAAAGACTGTCTTTTCCCCAGGTCTTGGTTGTCCTGAGGTTTATCTTTCATTTTAAAGAACCGAAAGGCTGGGAGGGAGTGGCAGTCAATCACTGGAAAAGCTCAATTGGAGTAAAACTCACAAATCTCGTTCTTGCGACATCACAGTGGGTAGGCGACAATGGTGTGTCCTTGAGTTATGCAACAACGCCACATCACAATATTGTAATTACAGCATGCCCTTCACAATGCTCCAGCCGAGCAGGCTCCTTGCCAGACAGCTGGACACCACCAAAAGGAACATTACAGCACAATCTCAGGGCACAGGTTAGGACGCATGACAAGCATAGTTACCCAGCCTGTCACAGAAACGTCCCATAAAGTTAAACTGTAATTACTTCCGCTGTGTCCTATCAAAGTTTTTTTTTTTAAGAACTCTTTCTCTTGTCTATTTTTCAAAGTTCAAACTCCTTAGAAGCTTGTTAAGCATCCCAACTTCTCACTATTACCCTAACAACTGTCTGCTGCATTAACTGTCCACACTTAGGAACCTTTGGAAAGACAGTATATTGGCAATTTAGACACAACCCCATGGCCAACCGAAACCACTCACTCTTCAAAGCACTGTCTGTGTGGGCAGCTACGCCCCAACACCCGGCCCAGTGCACGTTGAGCAGGAAGAGAAGCGAGCTCTCAGCTCAGCGCACTTTCCAGAAGCCAAGTGCATCGGCTGAGCACACAACATTTAAAATATTTAGAAAGGCACAGAGTGGCATCTGTAAATATGGCAAGAAAAGCCTGGTGAAAGCTCAGCTGGATCCTGAGCATGTTTGAAGCCACTGCACCCCACTGTTCTTACGCCCTTTAGTGTAGACACTGTCTACATTGGCTGCTTGATCTGAAATAACTTGGAGAAAGAAGGCTTTGTGCCAGGCCAGGCTCGGAGGAGGTGTGTTGGAGAAGAGGGCACACATTAGCCAGCAGCAGTCAGGGAAGACTCTGCATAAGTATTTCAGCAACAGCCACCTTTGATCCAGATCTGGAAGCTCTGTGGCATGTCCACCCTGCTAACGCTTCCTGCCGATCCAGTGGGAAATGAGAGGAGGATGAAACCCTCCTTCAGGATCACACCGAGGTCTTCACTGTAAAACACGCTAGCACTGCAGTTCTCAAATGAAAGCAGATAATGAATGAGACTCTGCTTTATTAACAGACAGACAGACAGCTCTCCGGGCATGTTATTAACTAAAATGGAAACACACCTCCCCCAGGAGAGAAAGACGCTCCGCACTTCTTTATCCCCTCTAGAGAAAAACTGCACCTCTAAATACAAATCCAAATTACTGTAAACAGCTAGATTTCTGGGTTACACTGTTTGGGCAACAACATACTCTTTTGGGAATATTTAACACCAGCAGCTGCCAGAGTACAAAGTCGGGCTGGTAGAAACTGACCACACAGAGACTATTTCAAACGCTGTGCCCACAGACAGCTGTGACAGCCTGAGGTACTGGCCGTCGGGTTTGGTTTCTTCATCCTTATAAACCTCACTTAAGCAGGACACAGAACTCACAGGCTGACATCATCATCATTTGAAAGCTTACCAAAGCAACAATGTTATCCCACTTACTTCTCTGACACTATTGTAGTTTTACAGATCAGGTGACCTACGCCCGGCTTACAACTGAAGCAGCTGTGCTCCCTGTTTTAATTAGCAAATTGTGCAAGCCTGAGAGGTCGGTTTATCCAAGGTTACTAAAACCACTGCCCGAGACTCCATATCGACACCAATTCCCTTCGAGCAATTGAGCTCCAAACACTCTCACCACCAGGGGCTTCCTCCCTGCCACACCCGCTTACGTGAACTAACTGATCAAAGAACAAAAGGGCAAATCTGACTAGAAAACAGACATATTCATTTAAAAGCAATTATTTCCCTAATTACTATTTTGGGCAACAGCAGAGCTTACACGTAACCTGCCTGTTGTAAAGCTTTTGAGAAAATCTAACCAACACGGGTTTTGTGGGTTTTTTTGTTTTTTTGTTTTTTGGTTTTGTTTTGTTTTGTTTTTTTTTTTGCCTAAAAGTATCAGCAATGTGAAATAATGCTGCTTCGAAAACTGAAGTCCTCATTTTCTTAAATCCTGAGGGAATCATTTGCTCCTCTGAGCGCTTGTGTTTCAGGCGCTAGAGGTATCAGCAATGTGAAATAATGCGGCTTCGAAAACTGAAGTCCTCAATTTTCTTAAATCCTGAGGGAATCATCTGCTCCTCTGAGGGCTTGTGTTTCAGGTGCTAGAGGCGGCGTTTCGGTCTCGCGAGGACGCAGCTCTCACTTGATGAACATTTTGCAACTGTCATCGTTTCGATCCTGATGCTTCCAGCTAGTGATGAAATCATCAGCTTTCAGATCCCTGCCGTAACACATCCTATACAATCATGGGAACCTGACTTGCAGAGGTTCTCACGCCTTCAGAACCAGGGAGCGCGGCGAGGCATGCCGGCACAGGCCCCACTGACTGAGCTGGCTGGCCCAGCGTTTGGCTGGAACCAGGCACCCGGCTTCTCTACTTCCTGAAGGGAGGCAGGGAAACTGCTTTCATCACCCAGAGCAGGTCTGCCCCACACGGTAGGGACTGAGCCCATAAAGAATTATTTCACGTTCTTTCTTCTAATAGGGGGAAATTAGAAAGACAGAGCTATCATTACGTGTTTCATTTGCTTGGCCTTGACCCGGTGCCTTGTAGCTTCTGTGGCAGCCCACGGTGGGAGACGGGTGCTGAGCGCGGGGTCTGAGCCCAGGGTGTCACCCGACACCCTCCCTGGTTGTAGGGTAACAAACATCTTGTCCTCATCCAAACCGTGCCTCGCTGTCCCTGCTACACAGAAACTCATCACAGCGAAGGTGGCAGGTCAGCAGAGCCCCTTTTCTACCCAAACCACTTCTTAGTAAATAAATGTCTTAAAGAACTTAAAGTATGTTAATAGAGGCAGTTTGTAGGGGGAAGGGTGGTTGTGTTTTTAAGAATTATAAATAAATGAGCCAGGCACGGTGGCTCATGCCTGTAATCCCAGCACTTTGGGAGGCTGAGGCGGGCAGATCGCCTGAGGTCAGGAGTTCAAGACCAGCCGGGCCAACATAGTGAAACCCCATCTCTACTAAAATTACAAAAAAATTAGCTGGGCGTGGTGGTAGGCACCTGTAATCCCAGCTACTAGGGAGGCTGAGGCAGGAGAATCTCTTGAACCCAGGAGGCAGAGGTTGCAGTGAACCGAGATCGCACCACTGCCCTCCAGCCTGGGCAACAAGACCAAAACTCCGTCTCAAAAAAGAAAGAAAGAAAGAAATATGAATAAATCAGTAGAGAAACCAGTTTGCTGAGAACAAAATCAGAGCACTTCCCCAGAGTTCGGGGCAGCCATATGAAAGCCCAGCCACCACCCCTGGCCCCTGGCGTGTGGGAGGAAGGACACGGGTGCAGGGAGGAGGGGTGGCGCCTTGCTTCAGGGACAGCTGCCTCCTAGGCTCCCACACACGTTGCTCTATTTTCAAGGGGCGGCTTTTCACTTGACTTTTAGCCACCCTGATGTCTACACATAAAACCTCACAGACTCAAGAATGGGCACATCTGCCCATTCCTTAAAAAAAATACTGCAGTTGAAACAGTTTTCTTAAGTCATTTCCATTTAGCTTTTTTTTGAGGCAGGGTCTCATTCTGTTGCCCACCAGGCTGCAGTGCGGTGGTGGGATGACAGCTCCCTGCAGCCTCAATCTCCTGGGCTCAAGGGATCCTCCCACCTCGGCCTCCCAAAGTGCTGGGATTACAGGCATGAGCCACGGCCCCCAGCCCTCCATTTAACTTTACTTTAATGTATTTTTTTTTTATTATACTTTAAGTTCCAGGACACAAGTGCAGAACGTGTAGGTTACACAGGTAAATGTGTGCCATGGTGGTTTACTGTACCCATCAACCGATCATCTAGGTTTTAAGCCCTGCATGCATTAGCTATTTGTCTTAATGCTCTCCCTCCCCCCGACCCCCACCCCTAAACAGGCCCTGGTGTGTGATGTTCCCCTCCCTGTGTCCATGTGTTTTCACTGTTCAGCTCCCACTTATGGGTGAGACCATGCACGTTTGGTTTTCTCTTCCTGCGTTAGTTTGCTGAGGATGCTGGCTTCCAGCTCCATCCATTTCTCCCTGCGAAGGACATGATCGCGTTCCTTTTTATGGCTGCACAGTATTCCATGGTGTATATGTGCCGCATTTTCTTTATTCAGTCTATCACTGATAGGCATTTGGGTCATTTAACTTTATTTTTAAGCTGTTTGAAAATATTTAGACCCTAAAGACCTTTTCTTTTTTACATTTTTAATACGAATTAAAGTGCTTAGCCTTGATCCATTGCACCTCCACCCCATCTCCCACTCACCCTGTCTCCCAGGCACAGTTGCTGCTTGAGTCGCTCCAGGCCCAGCTGCCAGGTGGACAGTCCCAGACTCTCAAAGCCTTTGTTCTGGGACGGGTGCGGTGGCTCACGCCTCTAATCCCAGCACTTTGGGAGGCTAAGGCAGGTGGATCACCTGAGGTCAGGAGCTCGAGACCAGCCTGGCCCACATGGCAAAACCCCGTCTCTACTAAAAATACAAAAAAAATTAGCTGGGCATGGTGGTGGGCGCCTGTAATTCCAGCTACTCGGGAGGCTGAGGCAGGAGAATCGCTTGAACCCAGGAGGCGGAGGTTGCAGTGAGCTGAGATTGCGCCATGGCACTCCAGACTGGGCAACAAGGGAGAAACTCTGTCTCAAAAAAAGAAAAACAGCCTTTGTTCTCAGCCTTGGGCGTGCGGCACAGCCTCTGAAGGAAACCTGAGGCTGGTAAGGGGGACACAGAGACCCTCTGGAAGAATCCAAAAGAGCAGGCCAGCTCTGACATCACACACACAGCCTCTGGTGGGTCCCAGGACCTGAGTGGGTGTGGCCAGAGGGCTGAACCCACTCCCTAAAGGTTAAGGGCCAGGACAGCTTCCTCCCATGACCCAACCATCTCTAAAGCGGATACTACTCACTCTGGTCTCCTCTCGGGCAGGAGTGTGGCAAAGCTTTGGTTCTTCCATTTGGTGGTGCATCTGGACGGGCAGGCGCTGCTGGCCATGCCTCCTGGCCAGCAGGAACCGGGTGACCGTGAAAGCATGTCTCACAATGCTGCTGTCACTCACAGGATGTACAAATTCACCAACAGTATTTCAACCATTTAAGTCAACATAAATATAGCATTTGTATTCATATCTGAGACAACATAAATGCTACTTAATGATAAAGCTGACTTTAGAAGCAGTAGGGTAGAGTCTTGTGTTCGAATGTTCTTCATTTTTAAACAAGCACACTAGAATACACCAACGACGTGGCTAAAGTGGGCAGAAACTGCCACGAGTGCTTAGGGATCGGCCCCAGGGGAGGCAGCAGCATCCATGGTCTTGGGTTCTACAGGCCGACGGCAGGGGCGCACAGCACTTGGGAGAGCTCCCAGCCAGCAGGTAGGAGCAAGTAGACGGTGGCCAGCCCACGCTCTGTGTAAAAGTGAGGGGCACTCTGTGACTGTGGGTACATGTTAAGGGGAAACAGCCACAAACCCCTTCGTATTTCACGTGAGAGTGTGGCCGATCACACACCCACTGCTTCAAGCGTGTAACCCCCAAGCAGAGTCGGGCAGCCCTGGGACAGGACTCTGTCCAGACCCTGGGAGGGGGCTCGGTGTCCTCAGCCCCCGGCAGGGCGCTTTCGAGGAAAGGTCCAGGTCACAGGATGAAAGTTCCCAAAACTCAAAGGCTTACAGGCATTCTCAGAACAGACACTCAACGCACCACACACCACACTCCACCTCTAGGCCCCGAGGTGACTCTTTCAGATCAGACTCAGAAAACAGAAAACACGGTGGGGAGTCAGCAGCCAGGTTACCAAGGGTAGGGCAGGGCTGCTTCTGTGACCGGCAGCTGCTCCCCTCAGGAGCAGGCAGTTTCAGCCCTTCAGGGGTTCTGCTTCAGGGATCCTGTGGCACTGTGGCGAGCCGAGGCCGGCTTCTCGCCGACCCCTCACTCGCTGTCCTGACACCAAGACTGCTCTTTATTACAGCTCCCAGCCGCCAGATGACGGAGGCTCTCGCCAGACCCTCAGCACGCAGAGCTGGCTTCTGATAGAAGTGATCGGGAAAGAAAGCAAAGCGGGAGGTGCCTCTTTAGAAACCACGAAGTGCACGCGGCGTCGACAGTGATCACGCCACCTGGACAGCCAGAGTCCAAGGCATAAGGAGGAAAATGAGTCTCCTCAAAGAGCGGAAGCCAAAAAAGCCACATTACATCCCCAGGCCTCCAGGAAAGCCCTTCAAGTATAAATGTTTCCAATGTCCCTTTACTTGCAATGAGAAGTCACATCTTTTTAATCACATGAAGTATGGTCTTTGTAAAAACTCGATTACTTTAGTATCAGAGCAGGATCGAGTTCCCAAGTGCCCTAAATCTAACTCACTAGACCCCAAGCAAACCAACCAGCCCGATGCCACGGCGAAGCCAGCCTCTTCCAAGTCTGTCGCAAATGGACTCTCTGCCTTCGACTCGAAGCTTCAGCACAGCTCTGCCAGGGAAGACATCAAGGAAAACCTGGAGCTGCAAGCCCGGGGAACCCACAGGTGCCTGGGACAGAAGCCAGCCCTCCACAGGGCATCACCCTGCAAGAGCCCAGCTCCGGAAGCCGCCCTCGGTGCCCAGCCTGCTCTGGAAGGCGCAGCTCGGCCTTCTGCATTTGTTCCAGTCGGCGAGCACAGACTCAAGGGGCCAGACAACGCCGAGGCGCCCGAGACACTGGCTTTACACAACCCCACTGCCAAGGCCGTGTCTTTCCACACCAAGTCGGCCTTCCACACTCCTGGCTACCCCTGGAAAGCCGGCTCACCTTTCCTTCCACCAGAGTTTCCACATAAAATCTCATCTACAAAGGGGCTTGGGGCCATTTCCCCTTACATGCACCCCACAATCCCAGAGTACCCGCCTCACTTTTACACAGAGCACGGGCTGGCCACCATCTACTCGCCTTACCTGCTGGCTGGGAGCTCGCCTGAGTGTGACGCACCCCTGCTGTCAGTCTACGGAACCCAAGACCCGAGACACTTCCTGCCTCACCCGGGGCCGATCCCTAAGCACCTGGCTCCATCTCCAGCCACATACGATCACTACAGGTTTTTCCAGCAATATCCCTCTAACCTGCCGATTCCTTACGGATTTTACAGGCCAGAGTCTGCATTTTCCTCCTATGGTCTCAGACTCCCACCTGTCACTGGCCTCACCCGAGATCAGAGCTCTCACCTGCTTGAAGAAGCCACCCTGGTCTATCCAGCCTCGAGTCCTTCCAGGTTAAACCCTTCGGACCCCAACAGAAAACACGTCGAGTTCGAAAGTCCAATTCCTGAGGCTAAAGACTCCTCCAAGGCTGGGCAGAGAGACACGGAAGGGTCCAAAATGAGCCCCCGCGCAGGGAGTGCAGCCACGGGCTCCCCAGGGAGGCCGAGCCCCACCGACTTCATGCAGACGAGCCAGACCTGCGAAGGCCTGTACGACCTCTCCAACAAGGCAGCCTCCAGCGCACTGGGAAGACTCTACCCGCCAGAGCAAAGCCTCACAGCCTTCAGGCCTGTTAAGAAAAGCACAGAATGCCTACCTGCCCAGGCTGCTGAGACCACAGCAGAGTCTCCAGTAAGGTAAGAAAATGTCATTTTCAAAACCTCCAAGGGAATGTTTCTGGTTGGGTTCCATGAGCCAGGCTTATACTTGCTCACACTGCTTCACGCAGTTGCTTTTCTAAGCAAGCTCCTACTAAGCTTTTTCTTGGCTTCTTCTAGCCTCAATGTTGTGAACGGAGACCCTCCTGCTCCGACCGGAAGCGCCTCTCTCGTCTCGGAGGCCGCGCCTTCCAGTCCGGACGACAGCTCCGGGATGGGCCCCCTCAACCTCTCCAAGAAATCAGAGATAAACCTGGCAGCCACCCACGAACCCACGTACCAAGGCAGCCCCCAGGCGGAAACCGCCAGCTTCTCAGAGCTGCAGGACCTTCCACTCAATCTCTCGGTGAAGGACCCCTGTAACACCCAGGCTCCGAGGCCTGCCTTCCCCGGTCGACCACGAGCTGCAGAACCTGCTGCTGCTGTTCCACAGAAGACTGGGACAGAAGGTTCTGAGGATGGGCCCAGCCACCCTGAGACCAAGCCAGGCAGCCTCGACGGTGACGGGGCCCCACCCACAGGCCCCGGCGAGGAGGCTCCAGACGCATGCGCGGTGGACAGCAGCGAGGAGCAGAAGCAGACGGCAGCCGTGGCCCTGTGCCAGCTGGCGGCCTACAGCCCCAGGAACATCCGGGTGGGCGATGGGGATGCTGCGGCCCCGGAACCTGCCTGCCGGCAAGACACACCCACACTGAGCTCCATGGAGAGCCAAGAGGCCCAGTGTGACCTCAGACCCAAAGGACAAAAGAGGACAAGTCTAAGGGATGCTGGAAAATCCCAGCAAGGAGCTAAGAAGGCGAAGCTGCAGGACACGGCCAGAGTGTTCACACTACGAAGGAGGGCCCGGGTGTCCTAACGCCGGGTTCACACGTGTGTTCACAGAGCTACGGCCACACACACGCCTTCCAAGGTGGCAAGCTACAACACCTCTGAACTGGCACTTTCACATTTTTACAAATGCAGCTGCTGCTTCTCAAAAAAACAAACAAACAAACAAACAAAAAACCCTCCAATTCAGTTTTTATAAATATTAAGCATGAATATTAAAAGGTGCTTCTACTTTTGGTTGTAAAAACACCTGAATGACTCTAAGACTGATATGTATTTTCAAGTCTAAGCTGTCTTACAGAAGATCTTTTATAAATGTTTCCTTATAAATATCTCACCATTACAACAAATTGTTTTAACTGTTTTTCTATTAGCTCTAGCTGCATATTTGATGTAAATGACAATTACTGAAAAAATGTCAGAAAAAACATTTTCAGTACTAACATTAAAGTGCCATATGTAAAAAAGAAAAATGTGATTTGTATAACTAAATAACACACAAACATCAAGAGGCTATTTATACAAATAATTTATTTCCACTAGGGAAAGTGCATTACTGGTGAAGGTATTATCAATTTATTCTACTTGCTTATAATGTTACAGTGAATGTTCTGGCTTACTCTGCCTCACTTTCCATTCCCCAAAATGATGTGTATGTTGCTAATTTTCCAATAAACTCATATGAACCATAAGGAAACATAAAATGCAAATAAACATAAATCTATGTTATCCTTTAGAATATTTTGCCGTAACAGTCAATGAAAAAGAGCTGATAGCTGTGGCAGCGATTAACCTGTGAACGGGTGCGTGTATGCACATTCAATTGTGTGGGTGTACACGTGTGCTATCTGTGTGGGGGGGGTGTGCACATTCGCCCATGTGGGTGTGCATGTCTGCGAGTGCGTGTAGGTGTCTGCTTGTGCATGTCTGCAGATGCACGTGCACATTTGATCGTGTGGATGTGTGCATGTGCACGTCTGCGGGTGTGGGTATGCGCTTGTGCATCTCTGCGGGTGTGTGCACATTCTATTGTGTGGGTGTGCACGTGTGCATATCTGTGGGGGGTGCGCATTCAATTGTGTGGGTGTGCGTGTGTGCTATCTGTGGGTGTGTGCGCATTCGATCCTGTGGGTGTGCGTGTGTGCATATCTGCGGGGGTGTGTACACGTGATTGTGGGGGTGGGTATATGGGATTGTGTGGGTATGCACGTGTGCATATCCGTGGGGGGCATGCACACTCGACTGTGTAGGTGTGCATGTGTACATACCTGCGGGTGTGTACACATTTGTGTTAGTGTGCATGTGTACATATGTGGGAGGGGTGTACACATCTGATTAGGCGTGCACATTCGATCCTGTGGGTGTGCACATGTGCATATCTGTGTGGGGGTGCACATCTGATTAGATGTGTGTGTGTGCATCTCTGGGTGTGTGCACATTCAATCATGTGAGTGCATGCGCATTATGTATGGGTGTGTGCACACTCGATTCTGTGGGTGTGCATGTGTACATATCTGCAGGTGTGTGCGCATTCGATTGTGTGGGTGTGCATGTGTGCGTACCTGCGGGTGTGTGTGCATTCAATTGTGTGGGTGTGCACGTGTGCAATCGGGGGGGGCACATTCCATTGTGCCGGTGTGCACGTGTGCATATCTGCGGGGGGGGTGCATTCGATTGTGTGGATGTGCACGTGTGTGTATCTGTGGGTGTATGCATATTCAATCGTGTGCGTGTCCACGTGTACATATCTGCGGGTGTGTGTGCATTCGATTGGGTGTGCATGTATCTGTGAGTGCACATTCAATCGTGTGGGTGTCCACGTGCGCATATCTATGGGTGTGTGTGTGCATTAGATTGTGTGGGTGTGCACGTGTGCCTGTGGGGGGGTGTGTGTGCATTCAATTGTGTGGGTGTGCACATGTGCATATCTGTGGGGGGCGCATTCAATCGTGTGGGTGTCCACGTGTGCATATCTGCGGGTGTGTGCATTCGATTGTACGGGTGTGCATGTGTGTCTGTGGGTGTATGCACATTCAACTGTGTGGGTGTGCACGTGTGCATATCTGCGGGGGGGTGTGCATTCGATTGTGTGGATGTGCACATGTGCGTATCTGTGGGTGTATGCATATTGAATCGTGCGTGTCCACGTGTACATATCTGCAGGTGTGTGTGCGTTCGATTGGGTGTGCATGTGTGCGTATCTGTGAGTGTATGCACATTCAATCGTGTGGGTGTCCACGTGCTCATATCTATGGGGGTGTGTGTGCATTAGATTGTGTGGGTGTGCACGTGTGCCTGTGGGGGGGTGTGTGTGCATTCAATTGTGTGGGTGTGCAAAGGTGCATATCTGTGGGGGGGCACATTCAATCGTGTGGGTGTCCACGTGTACATATCTGCGGATGTGTGCATTCGATTGTACGGGTGTGCACGTGTGTGTATCTGTGGGTGTATGCACATTCGATTGTGTGGGTGTGTGCTATCTGTGGGGGTAGTTGTGCACATTCGATTGGGTGTACACGTGTCAACGTGCATGTGTCAGTGTGCACATGTACACGTGTGTATGCACTTCTGCATCGTGCATGTGTGTGAGCGTGCATGTGTGCACATGGGTTTAAAGCAGTGGTCAAGTACCGGCATGTGCGAAGCACCCCTGGGGCTACTCAATGGCCATCCATGGGGTCCTCAGGCTTCAGAGTGCTTTAGGAGCGTAGACTTCCGGAGCCTCAGCCCCTAAGGCTCTGCTTGAGAAAGGGTTTCTCCATCCCCATGTCCCCTCTCACAACAGCCCTTTCTCTCACTTTTCAAGAAAGGCAGCCTCTCACCCAACACACTGGAAACCATGCAGTGGACACTACGATGGGAACTGCTCCAGAGACTGGGAAATGCTTCCCCATGCAGGTGGCTGTCAACGCATCACTTCACAGGACTGAGGCCACCCTACTGAAGCTGCTCAGTGACAGAGCACAGAGGTCAGGCGTGAGCTTGGAAAAAGTTGAAACACCAGCATTGCTAAAGCAAAATTTCTGCCATTCCTAGCTACTTGAATAAGACTTGAATGAATAAGACTTCTTAGCACTTAAAACTGAAAGTAAAAATAGGGGCCGGGCGTAGTGGCTCACACCTGTCATCCCAGCACATTGAGAGGCCAAAGCGGATGGATTGCTTGAGGTCAGGAGTTTGAGACCAGCCTGGGCAACATGGAAAAACACCGTCTCTAATAAAAATAGTCAGCCAGGTGTGGTGGCACATACCTGCGGTCCCA
Source organism: Homo sapiens (assembly GCF_000001405.40). Taxonomy (NCBI): domain Eukaryota; kingdom Metazoa; phylum Chordata; class Mammalia; order Primates; family Hominidae; genus Homo; species Homo sapiens. The sequence goes on along the minus strand of NC_000017.11, from coordinate 82,826,907 downwards.
GCTACTTGGGAGGCTGAGGCGGGAGGATGGCCTGAGCCTGGGAGGCAGAGGTTGTAGTGAGCCATGATCACACTACTGCACTCCAGCCTGGGTGACAGAGTGAGACCTTTTCTCAAAAAAAATACATAAATAAAAAGCAAAAATTGTACTGTTGCAGAACCTTGCCTTATTCTGGTTAAAAGCATGGCTCACGGCCAGGCATGGTGGCACACACCCATAATCCCAGCACTTTGGGAGGCTGAGGTGAGAGGACTGCTTGAGCCAAGGAGTTCAAGACCAGTCTGGGCAACACAGGGAGACCCCATCCCTACAAAAAATACAAAAATTAGCTGAGCAATGGGATGTTTGCCTGTAGTCCCACCAACTTGAGAGGCTGAGGCAGGAGGATTGCTTGAGCCCAGGAGGTCAAGGCTGCAGTGAGCCAAGATCATACCACTTCACTCCAGCCTGGGTGACAGAGCAAGAATCATTTCAAAAAATAAAAACAAAAAAAGCCTGACTCATCAAAAGATAACTCAAACTAAACAGCTATCTTATTAAGAGCTAAATTTCAATAATATGCTATTTTATGTTGTTTTGGTCAACTCTGTACTCATAATTTTTTAAAACCCAATCTAAAAAAACTTCTAAGTAACTAGCACCTTAAAACTTAAAAGTATAGTTAAAAAAATAATAAAAAAAAAAGGTCATGAACACCTGTGGAAAAAATAAATAAATAACTAGCATCTTATGGCCATACAAAATGCAAAAGTTGAAGTTTATGTTTATGTTATTTTCTTTCGTTGCAGATAAATGATAGATCAATAAAGATTCTTAGGCACAGAAATACATTACATTAGGGTAAAATGCTCTGGGAAAAAAGTAAATGGAAATATGGGCTTAAGAAGAAAAAGGAAGAATAAAATTTCTGTGAGAGAAAAACTTGCCTATGAAATTGTTTTTTAGACAGGGTCTCGCTCACTGGCCCAGGCCGGAGTGCAGTGGCGCGATCACAGCTCACTGCAGCCTCAACCTCCCGGGGCTCAAGTGATCCTCCCACCTCAGCCTCCCAAAGTGCTGGGAGTACAGATGTGAGACATGGCGCCCAGCCCTGTAAATTTTTTAACGAAGAATGGTAGATTATTCTACCTCAATTTCCCAGATTTATTCAGATGAGTGACGCAATAGTTTTATTTTAAAATGACAATACTCAGGATGGCAAATAGTTATTTGCAACTGGTTAGAGTTCTATAAAACTTGTAAGAGGGATACAGAGTTTGTCACAATTCCAAGGGGTATCTGAGGACACTGCTTCAAGCTGTCCCTAAAGCAGCAGCAAGGACACCAGCAGGTCCCCCAGCCCTGTCAGGCACCCACCTCAGACAACCACTACACCAGCCTAAAAGGCACACGGTCAGACGCAGAACCATAAACACAGGCGCAGTGCTGAGTCGCTCACCTGGGCACTTCTGTTTATATACACCAGTATGTTTTGGCAAAGAACAAAAATATTATACTTCCAGCTTTCAGAAACTAAACAGCCGTGCAGGGAGCCGTGACAAGACATCACATGCCACGGTCCACACTCAGGACCCAAAGCCTCACACCCTGCAGACAAGGAGCTCTCACATCACACCCCCAAGAATACAGCCCTCCGTTGTCAAGGGCCCAAAGATTCTGAGAACACCATTTGATCGCTCACCAAAAAGCACCAGGAATCATCTTAAATGACAAATAGGGAGAAGCAGGGGCAGAGCATCCTCCTGCAACAGGGCAGCATGGAGAACCCCGCCCAAGCACAATGGTTGTGGCACAGGCTACATGTGCCTGATGCATGGCGAGCTACACTGTGAAAATTCTACACTCCGACACAATTCCTCCAAAGGTCATCTGCAATAGCTCACCCATTGCAACCAGGATAAGCCCTTTGTGTCTATCTCTAAAAGCAAAATCGATTCCTAGAGCTTTATAGCAAAAAGAAAAAAAAAAGAGACTTATTTTTTAACTACGTTTCTGCATTTATGCATGATCCGACTTAAGAACTAAACACTCGTAATTTTTACATACAAAAAGTGATAAGCTCTCAAAAAGCTGAACATAGAATTACCACATGACCCACTAATTCCACTTCAGGGTATATACCCAAAGGAACTAAAAAAAGGGGTGTCAAACAGGTTCTTGTATCCATGTCCACAGCAGCATTATTCACAATACCCAAAAGGTGGGAATAACCCAAGCGTCCACTGACAAATGAATGGATCAAGAAAATATGGCCAGGGGCGGTGGTGCACACCTGCAATCACAGCCACTCAGGAGGCTGAGGTGGGAGAGTCGCTCAAGCCCAGGAGTTGGAAGCTGTGGTGTACTATGATTGGGCCTGTGAATAGCCACTGCACTCCAGCCTGGACAATACAGTGAGATCCTATCTTTAAAAAATAAATATATGGGTCGGGCGCGGTGGCTCACACCTGTAATCCCAGCACTTTGAGAGGCCAAGGTGGGTGGATCATGAGGTCAGGAGATCGAGACCATCCTGGCTAACATGATAAAACTCCATCTCTACTAAAAATACAAAACGAATTAGCCGGGCATGGTGGCGGGCGCCTGTAGTCCCAGCTACTCAGGAGGCTGAGGCAGGAGAATGGCGTGAACCTGGGAGGCGGAGCTTGCAGTGAGCCGAGATCGCACCACTGCACTCCAGCCTGGGTGATAGAGCAAGACTCTGTCTCAAAAAAAAATAAAAATAAAAGTAAAAATAAAATAAATAAATATATGGTATGTCCATACAATGAAATATTATTCAGCCTTTAAAAGAAAGAAAATTCTGATACATGCTACAACACAGATTAACCTTGAAAACATGATGCTAAATAAAATAAGCCAGACATGAAAGGCCAAATATTGTCCAATTCCACTTGTACAAGATCTCTAAAACAGGCAAAGTCCTTTTTCAAGCAGAAAGTAGACTAGAGTTACAAAGGGTTGAAGGGAAGGAGCATCAGGGGCGAGTGACTTCTTAATCTGGGGTGATGAGAAGTTTTGGAACCAGATAATGGTGATGGTTGTACAAAAGTGAGAGTGTAATTAATGCCACTGGATTAACATGCTTAATAATAAAAAGAGCAAATTTGTTATACATATTTTGCCACAATTTTCTAAGTAATAATAGAATATTCTAAAAACCATGGAACTATATATTTTAAATGGGTGAATTATATGGTAGACGAATTACATATCAATAAAGCTGAAAAAAAATAAAGGATCCTTGAATTCACATGTAAGAGAAGATGCCGACAACGCCCTTTCTAAACAGTCTTAACGGGGGCCCACTGCCGTCTGCCCCCACCAGTGTTAACGTTCAGCCAAAATGCCACGTTCTACAGGGAGGGAGGGAGGGAGAGCAGGGCGGAGTGCAACACGAAACACACACGTTCACACAAGGAAAAAAACACCATTAACACAAAAAAAGAACAATCGGTCCACGTACAAAGTCAAAGATGTCTCATGCTTTGCATTTTCCTGAAAACCTGAAAGCTTAAAAGCCTACCAAGATTAAACAAGCCAACAAAAACAGGCGGGGAACTGGACACTGGGGCCATGTCAGGACGTGCTCAGACCCAACCTCTCCCAGGGCCCCTTGATCACCTGGGAACTGAGGTACACAGGCCTGCAGGGGGCAGCAGGGTCAGGCCAGGCCACAGCCAGGGCTGGACAGACAGCAGGGCCCCCCACAAGAGCCTGAGCCAGCCTCGGCACTGAGCCCCAACGGCTCTACCAGGGAGGGAATGCCCTGTCCCTAGACCTCAGCTGGAGCTGCTCTCCTGGAATTTACCATCCACCTCAGTGCTCCAGAGCCTGTGAGGAAACTCTGGTCCTCCACCCCTTCCCCCTCTCAGAATCGGACTCCTCTCCTATAAAATATCCCTTCTGAAGGAGCCTCTGCGGGTTTCCATGTCGGCTGCTTCCTCCCCTTTTCTCCACCTCCCCATGCCAGTGAGCCTGGGAACCCGGTTCAAGCTTTTCCACCCATTCACCTTCCTCATCTCTCACTCCCTCCTGTGTGAACTCATCAATCCATAACTTTGTAGACCATTACTATGTGGAAGGCTCCAACATGTCACTCACTGACCTTACTATCTCACTCTCTTTCACTGAATAGAACAGCAAAGTCGTTGAGTTCAGAATCCTACATGCAGCGTATTTCCTTTTCTCTTTCTTCACAGCTCTGGTCTCACTCCGAACACTGTGGTGGCTCCCGAATGGCCTCACTCTCCCTCGCTCTTCCTTTCCACTGCACCCCCGTGTATTCCCCAGTATCTGACTTTATGTTGAATAATTTCCAAACCCCTCACTGTGTTCCTGAAGCCCCTCTAGGATCTGGCCCCCAGGCGCTTTTCTGTGCCCACTCTTCTGCTCTTTCCGCTGTCCCAGCTCGTGCGAGCCTTCGTTCCTCTTTGAGATGCTGCGGTCAGGAGTCCATCCTGCTCGGCTCCTTCACGGTAGAAGCTCTCAGCGTAAATGTCGCCCCAGGAGGTCTTCCCCAAGTCTTATTCAAGTCACTGGTTGGCCCCATCACTGAGGATCTCACCGCCCTTTTGTATTTTCTTAACGACTTTATCCATTCTCTGAAATTGCTCCCTTCGTTTCCTTGTTTAATGTCTGAATCTCCCTCCAAACCCTGTCCCCTTCACCGTCACAGAAACGCTGTGTCCTCACCTCAACTGCCAAGAGCAGTGGGCGCCAATCGCACTTGTCATAGGAAGTACGTGCAGAGTTTTCGTCATCCAGAGAGAAAAACATGACAGTTTCTTTTGGAAGCCAGAAAACACAGTCCACAGGTGGGAATTAATCTACTGAATGGTGCTTTTAACAAGACCCCAAGGCAGCTGCAGCAACATCGTCGTAAGACGCTGCTTGTACGTCTTCGATGAACACTGAGAGCGTGTGCTCCAATGCAACTCTGTACATTTTTCAAAATTTATAACATTTATATAAACTTATAAAAATTTAATGTTTATTAAAATTTTTTCGAAATTTATAAAATGTATTATACATTTAAAAATTTTCTCAAAACATCACCTTAGATAAGAGTTAGGCAGTCTGTATTTCCGACATGCAGGGCTTACTACCTGATGCAGGTTCACAGGGACCTTGAGCCTCCTAGCAGTAAAACAAACATGCTCTCCAACCTTCAGAAAGTTGCAGGAAGGTTAGAATGGGCTTCTCTGTGGCTTTGGGACACCAGACCATTACACTTTATAAGACATGGGGTGACAGACTGCACCTTCTGGGGGAAGGGGTAGGCCTCCTTGAGAGGGGGCAGTGAAGGACCCCAGCCTGAAGATTGCATAGGGAGCTTCCTAAGTTTGAGGGAAGGCAGGAGAAAAGCTTTGTAGATGCTAATTTAACAGAGACCTGCTTTAGCCACACAGTGGGTATAAACAGACCTATGTCACCAACACAGCCCTCAAATCTGTTATTTGGGAAACACATATGCAAAGATTTCTTCCTTTTTAGGCTTTAAAGCAAAGGTTAAGTGCTGGGAAGCAAGTGTGAGCCACTGTGCTCAGTCTTAGACAAAAATATGCTCACAGATCTCAAGAAAACTGTGGACAAAGAACTAAAGGAGACCAAAAGAACAACATTTAAACTAACATGGAATGTTGATAAAGAGACAGAAATTATAAAAACAGGCTGGGCACAGCAGCTCACTCCTATAATCCCAAGGCAGGCCAAGGCAGGAAGATCACTTGAGTCCAAGAATTTGAAAGCAGTCTGGACAATAAAGTGAGATCCTGTTTCTACAATTTTTTTTTCCAGTGCAGCAGGCCTGTGGTCTCAGCTACTCAGGAGGCTGAGGCGGGAGAGCTGCTTGGGCCTGGGAGGTTGAGGCTGCAGTAAGCCGTGATACCACCACTGCACTCCAGCCTGGGCGACAGAGCAAGACCCTGTCTCAAAAAGAAATTATTAAAAGAGAAACTAAAGAGAAATTCTGGAACTGAGGACTCAACAGCTGAAATGAGTGCAGAACCTAAGAGACTCATAGGGCACCATCAAGCTTACCAACATGTATATTAACACAACAAGAGGACTCAACAGCTGAAATGAGCACAGAACCTAAGAGACTCATAGGGCACCATCAAGCTTACCAACATGTGTATTAACATAACAAGAGGACTCAAGAGCTGAAATGAGGGCAGAACCTAAGAAACTCATAGGGCACCATCAAGCGTACCAACATGTGTATTAACATAACAAGAAGACTCAAGAGCTGAAATGAGTGCAAAACCTAAGAGACTCATAGGGTACCACCAAGAGTACCAACATGTGTATTAACATAACAAGAGTCCCACAAGGAGAGGAGAGGGGCAGCAAAAATACCTGAAGAAACAATGACTGAAAACTACCCGAGTTTGATGAAAGACATGAATCTACACATCCAAGCTCAGAAAAACACCAAGTGCTAGTTATTATTACCCAAATCAATATGCACAATTCTCAATCAATAAGGATAGCAAGGGAAATAGGGTTCATACAAAATGTCCAAAGAGATCAGAACACTTGACATTTTTCAAAAAGCAAAATACTGATGAAAACCACAAAATGCATAATAAGGAGCACATGTATACATTTTATCAAAATAGTACAGTTGGCTGGGCGCAGTGCCTCACGCCTGTAATCCCAGCACTTTGGGAAGCCAAGGCAGGCAGATCACTTGAGGTCAGGAGTTCGAGACCAGCCTGGCCAACATGGAGAAATCTGGTCTCTACTAAAAATAAAAAAATTGGCTGGGCATGGTGGCGGGCGCCTGACTCCCAGCTACTCGGGAGGCTGAGTCATGAGAATCACTTGAACCTGGGAGATGGAGCTGGCAGTGAGCCAAGAGGGCGCCACTGCACTCCAGCCTGGGCAACAGAGCAAGACTCTGTCTCAAAAAAAGAAAAAAAAAAAAAAGGTAAACTTAAACCAATACATCCCCCCACCTGTGCTTCTTGTATCCAACAAAGGAAACCGTAAGGGTTCACAAACATTGTAGGAGCTTACTCATGGTGAGGAGTGCCCACCTCCTCCTGCCACAACAACAGAGGTGTTCAAAGAGGAGCCACAAAAAAGGTGAAAGGACCTACGCCAGGACCACTCAAGAAAAGTCCTGGAATTTGAATCACCTAAAATAAAGACCAAGTAGCCCTTTAACAGTAGTCCTCAAACAGAGGTGATGATGCAAAGAGAAAAAGAACATGGCCCACTGTCCACAGGCCGAGGCAGGAGGATCGCGTGAGTGCAGCACTGCGATCATGGCTCACTGCAGCCTCAACCTCCTGGACTCAAGCAATTCTCCCACCTCAACCTCCTGAGTAGCTGGGACTGCACCCAACTACCTTTTTAAAACAATTTTTGTAGAAACAGGATCTCATTTTGTTGCGCAGGCTACTTTCGAATTTCTTTAAAAAATTAGCTGGGCGTGGTGGTGTGCACAGAGTCAGAGACCAAGAAATAGGCTTACAGCACAACAGATGGAGATTCTGTGTGTGTGTGCACTGTATGTGTGGAGAGGAATCAGCAGGATTCCCTAAAAAGTAACCCAAAGAAAATGCGATGCTTTTTTCCTGAGTCCAGCAGGCAGAGTCCCCCTATTCAGAGGACTAAGGGCAGAAAGACCCAGGGTGCCTTCCAGGCAAACATCGCATCACTGCCTGCCCACCTGACTTCCCTAGTTTTACTTCTTCCTCCTTTAGCATGCACCAATGAAGCTCCACATTTCCTCTAAGACAAACAAAAGCTTTAGTCATCAAACATGCTCATCTATATTGTGTCTTTCTACGACATTTATTTGCCAAGCATTTGTTTTCGCGCTTTTTTTTCTTTTTTTTGAGACAGGATCTTGCTCTGTCACCCAGGCTGGAGTGCAGTGGTGCGATCTCGGTTCACTGCAACCTCTGCCTCCTGGGTTCACGCGATTCTTCTGCCTCAGCCTCCCGAGTAGCTGGGATTACAGACATGCACCACCACATCCTTGTATTTTTAGCAGAGACGGGGTTTCACCATGTTGGCCAGGCTGGTCTCGAACTCCTGGCCTCAGGTGATCCCCCCGCCTTGGCCTCCCAAAGTGCTGGGATTATAGGCATGAGCCGCCGTGCCCAGCCTGTTTTCACTTTTCAAACCAAACTGACAGAGAACCACAGTAACTCTCCAAGGAGACAAGGAGGTGCAGGGACAGCTCAGCCGTGTGACATGGAGGAGGCCGAAGGGCTGAGCATGAGCTGTGACACCAGAAAGACTTCCTGGCTCCCACAGCTGCAGTGTTTGTGTGTGTGTGTTTGTTTGTTCAGAGAGGGTGTCTCACTATGATGTCCAGGCTGGTATCAAATTCCTAGGCTCAAGTGATCCTCCTGCCTTGGCCTCCCAAGAGGCTAGGATTAAAGGCACCGCCACCACACGTGGCTCCCAACTATAGCTTTATATAAACAAGACGGCTCTCAGAGGAATGGTGTGAGGTCTAAAACAAAAACATAAAAAGCATGCTGCAAATGCTCATCAAATGTCAGCCCTGTCACCTCCTGAGTCAGCCCCAAGATGGGATCTCTTTCACCCCTGCCTGAAAGAACCCTTGCCCTGTGCAGAGACAGCACAGCTTCTCCATGTCCCACCAGGAACAGAATGGGGGCTGCAAAGAGGGTTCAGCTCACATGGAGGGCACCGCCAGGCAGAAGGGGCCAACCAACCATGCGAAGGTCATGGGCCAGTGTATTCCACATCACGTGTCAGTTTCTGAACCATAGCTTTACCCTTTTCGTTTATGATGCCAACACCCATATCCTCTCGCCCCAGCTGCCTGGGGTCAGTGCATGTTGCCATAAGACATGACAGAGCACACACACAAGCCAGTAGAGTCTCTTGTCTCCTTTGAGTGAACCTGGAGCTGGCTCCCCACAGGCAGGGACTTCATTCCATCCCAGCTACACATTCACACACACACCCTCACACACATCTAGTGTCACAAATAAACATTACGAGTCACTTACTTCGGATGGAACAAAACGTTAAATGAAACCACAACTTCATGGTTCTGGGGTCAGCAATGATTTCTTAGCTATGACACCAGAAACACAAGAAAGAAAAAGACTGATGAGCTGGACTTAATTAAAATTTAAAACCTGGGTCAAATATCACCATCAAAGAAATTGAAAACACACCAGGTACAGCCTACAATCCCAGCACTTTGGGAGGCTGAGGCAGGAGGATCACTGGAGGCCAGAAGTTCAAGACGAGCCTGGGCCACATAGTGAGACCCCCATCTCTACAAAAAACTTTTTTAATTAGCCAGGCATGAAGGCCAGGTGCAGTAGCTCACGCCTATAATCCTAGCACTTTGGGAGGCTGAAGCGGGGGGATCGCTTGAGCTCAGGAGTTCGAGACCAGCCCGGACAACATGGGAAAACCCCATCTCTATAAAAAATACAAAAATTAGCTGGGCATGGTGGCACATACCTGTAGCCCCAGCTACTTAGGGGACTGAGGTAGGCAGACCGCCTGAGCCTGAGAGGTGGAGGCTGCAGTGAGCTGAGATCACGCCACTGCACTCCGGCCTGGGCGATGGGAATGAGATCCTGTCTCAAAAAAAGAAAAAAAAGTTGCCAGGCATGGTGGTGCACCCCTGTAGTCCCAACTACTTGGGAAGCTAAGGTGGGAATATGGCTTGAGCCCAGGAGATCAAGGTGGCAACGAGCTGTGATGGGGCCACTGCACTCTAGCCTGGGCAACGGAGCAAGACTCTGTCAATCAATCAATAGAAAGTGAAAAGGCAACCATGGAACGCAATAAAACATTTGCAAATCATATATCCAATAAGAGACTTATATCCAGAATACATAAAAAAACTCTTACTTACAACAACAATTAAAAAAATATTTTTTTAAATGAGTAAAGAACTTGAAAAGACATTTCTCCAAAGAAGACATACAAACGGGCAAACACAGAAAATGCTCAGTGTCATCAGTCACTGGGGAAAAGCAGATGAAAAGCAAAACAAGGTGGCGCTTCACACTCACTAGGACGGCTTTTTTTTTTTTTTTTTTTTTTAAAGAAGCAGGGGGCAAGTGTGGTGGCTCACGCCTGTATTCCCCACACTCTGGGAGGCCAAGGCGGGTGGACTGCTTCAGCTGAGGACTTCAAGACCAGCCTGGGCAATGTGGTGAAGCCCTGTCTCTAACAAAACTAAAAAAAAAAATTAATGTGGCATGGTGGTGGGCACCGGTGGTCCCAGCTACTCAGGAGGCTGAGGTGAGAGGATCGCCTGGTCCTGGGAGGCAGAGATTACAGTGAGCAGAGATTGCATCACCACACTCCAGCCTGGGCAACAAAGTGAAACCGCGTCCAAAAAAAAAAAGATAAAAGCAAGTGTTGGTGAGGATCAGAGAAGCAGAACCCTCACACACTACAGGCAGGAACTTGAAATGGTGCAATCATTTTGGAAAAAGTTTGGCAGGTTCTTAGAAAGTTAAACGTGGAGTTACCGTATGACCCAGCATTTCTACTAGGCCTACACCCAACATCCACTCAAAAACGTGTACACGATGTTCATGGCAGCATTAACCTAACAGTGAAAGGTGGAAACAACCCAGATGTACATCAGCTGATGAAAAGGATGGACAAAACGTGGCGTGTGGTGCATTTACACAGCAGGACAAGGCTCTGCCACAGGAAGGAAGGAGGCACTCCACAGGCTACGACACAGAGAAACTCAGCCGAAGAATTCGGACGCCAAAGATCACATGTCGTAGGTTCCACTGTTAGGAAATGTCTATAAAAGACAAATTCACAGAGACACTGGAGACATGGCTGCCAGGGCGGGGGTGCTGGGGAGAGTAAAGAGTGAGTTCTTAAACACAGGGTTCCTTTGGAGGCAATGAAAATGTTCGGAAATTAAATTATGGCAATAGTTGCGCAACTCTGTAAATATATAAAAACCACTTAACCGTACACTTAAATGAGTGCATTTTATGGCATGTAAATTAGATCGCAATAAAGAGGTCTAAACATTAAAGAAGTCTGGAAAAAAATAAGCAGAGACATTAAAAAAAAGAACTGCAGGCTCTAAAAGCTCTCCCCATACATCAAAATGCCAAGTGCAAAGCGGTCACTTCAGACGCCACCACAGCTCCACACTGGGAAGACGTGAGGCCACCACATCTCAGGTGTCTTTATTTTGGACAGAATCAAGTCTCTGTGGTGAGGCCCTCTCAGGATGGGCCCCCACTCTATCCTGTACAGACATCCTTTCCTTCCTGCCCTCAGAGGGCACTGCCAGCCACACCCAGGGACTCTCCCCACCAAACACAGACAGGGCTGCGTGTGGCCACGGCACAAGAGCTGGTCTGGGGCAGTGCCCCTGCATCTGCCATGCTGTGCCCTCTGTCCCCACCCCACTGCTGGCCACTGCAGAGCTCCCCTGGCCCTCCACCCCAGTTCCCACCCTGGTTTCACGCTGGCGTGAGCCTCATCTCCAGGGAGCACCACGTCACTCCAGGTGACCCAGGATGCTGCCAGGGGTACCTGGTTCTACAACTGAAGCAGGTGCCACTGCATGTGTCCTTAAGGGGCGACAATGTCCCTCAAGAATGAAAACCGGTTTTGGGGAGTAAGAAAATCAGACATTACAAGGATTCGTGGCCCTCCAAAACCAGCTACACAGGGTAATCTGTGGCATTAAAATTCCACAGCAGACAAAAGAGGCAATTAGGAAATTACAAAGGCCAATGCGAGAAAAAGGTAGACAGACCTTGTTCTCAAGCTCTTCTGGGCGTGCCCGCGGCAGGGCCACACCGCGGAGATGGGTTCAGACGAAGGGCTGCAGCCTGCCACGGACAGCCTGGTGACGCAGCTGACCGTGCTTCAGCTACTCACCATCCACGAGTCGAGATGGCAGCAACAGGCCTCTCCTGCCCAGCTCCGCCAGCGCCAGACATCCCCCCTGACCGTGCCTCAGCTACTCACCATCCACGAGTCGAGACGGCAGCAACAGGCCTCTCCTGCCCAGCTCTGCCAGCGCCAGACATCCCCCATGCCACGCCTTGTCAGTCTCCTGGAAACTGAGAGCAACAAAGATCCTGAGACCACAGCCCACGTGTCAGCTTTTGGTTCAAAGCCCACAGCATGGCAAGGAGCACAGCCTGGCAGGTCCATATCCTCTGCCTGTAAGGCTCACGTAAGGCTCACTAAAACCCATTCCTAAGTTTTTAAAGTATCAAGGCTGGGCACAGCGGCTCACGCCTATAATCCCAGCTACTCAAGAGGCTGAGGCAGGAGAATCGCTTGAACCAGGGAGGCGGAGGTTGCAGTGAGCTGAGATCGCGCCACTGCACTCTAGCCTGGGTGACAGAGCAAGACTCCGTCTCAAAATAAAAAAACAAATAATCAGTTGGCTGAAGAAATAACACACTGCAACTGAGTATGAAGACAACAGCCGTGCCTACCCCAGGGCCTCTTCAGATCTCCCGAGAGTGAGGACAAGTCTTGGTCAGTCCCCAAACAAAGAGACCGTCCCGTCTGTGCCGTCCCAGGTGGGGTTTTCCCACCACAGTGGTGTCGCTCCAAGTACGGGCAACACCCACGCTCCCATAGAAAGAAATAAGACACTTCAGAAAAGTAGGAACTTAAAACAGGAATCCCAGCACAGGAAGACGTCAGTGGAAAAGGGAGCAGGAAGACCTTCTTTAAATGACACCCCACTGTTTAGTCAAACTCAGAATTAAATGCTACAATAATGAATTGGCATTTCAAGATTTTTCACAGTATTTGAAATATGAACTTTTAATGAACAATTGCAATGGCCATCGATCAAGTCATAATATTTTATACGTACTAATTTCCCCGGGGTGGTTCAGAAGCTCTCCTGATTCTAATTAAATTGACTTGACAGCAAATAAATGTTTAGGAAAACCCACTAAATTGTATGACTAGCTGGCAATCAGTATGGACAAGAATACTTAGGAAAATCGGAGAGTGCCTGTCCGCCCAGTGGCTGCCTCACCTCCTGCGTGCCCAGCCCAGAGAGGAGGGGCTGAGACAGACACCAGCGTCCACCAGCGGGCTCCTCAGAGCTCACTGTCACCGACAGACTCAATCACAATTAAACAAGTTCCAGACGTGTACTGTCTGCCCAGAGGCTCCGTGAGCCCCTTGCGTATTTTCACATCAGCACTTGCGTCCTTTAGGGTTTTCATTGGAGAAAGATGCTTCACACCTTTCACAAAGATTTAGTTAACATCTGAATGAACTTGACAAAACACCAAGGTTACCGTGACTTAAAAATACCAAAACAAATGCCTGTCAGACCAATGTCTACTTCTAAATCAGACACGTGTTCACTGTGGCACGGTGGCAAGGGTGGCAGGGTCCAGGGGATGCCGTCCGTCCATCCGGCTCGCCTCAGAGGCCCAGCACCACCACGGCACAGTGGAACCGGACAGGGGACCCTGTCCATGGACACCAGGGGCACAGGGAGAAGCCAAGCAGCCGGGGCGAGTTCCCGCCCTCAGATCCAAGCTTAAGGCACTCCTGGAAGCACAGGGGGGGTCTCAGAGGAGGGAAGACAACAGAAAATAGTGGAAGCTATGAGTGGGCGGATGAGCGGGAGAGGAAGAGAGAGAGAGAGAGAGGAGGCGGGTAAAGAGTGTCGCAGGTACACGGGTCTCAGATCATCAAGAGCAAGGGGAACAGCACTAATGTAAAATGACCTCAAAGATGCGTTTGGTGTTAAAGTGTGACAAGTAAGCCATTATCTGTGTAAAATGAAAGAGACAATTTTAGCCAGGTACAGGGCTCAGGTCTATAGTCCCAGCACTTTGGGAAACCGAGGCAAGAGGACTGCTTGAGGCCAGGAGTTCAAGACTAGCCTGGGCAACATAGCAAGTCCCCATCTCTACAAAAATGAAATAAAATAATTAGCCAGGTGTGGTGCTGCACACCTATAGTCCTAGCTACTCGGAGGCTGAGGCAGGAGGATCACTTGAACTTAGGAAGTAGAGGCCGCAGTGAGCTATCATGGTGCCTGAGCAACAGAGCAAGACCCCATCTCTAAAAACAAAACAGCCGGGCGCGGTGGCTCAGCCTGTCATCCCAGCACTCCGGGAGGCCGAGGCGGGCTGATCACAAGGTCAGGAGACAGAGACCCGACTGGCCAACATGGTGAAACCCCGTCTCTACTAAATACAAAAAATTAGCCAAGCGTGGTGGTGCACGCCTGTAGTCCCAGCTACTTGGGGGCTGCGGCAGGGGAATGGCTTGAACCCAGGAGGCGGAGATCGCAGTGAGCCAAGACCGCGCCACTGCACTCCAGCCTGGCGACAGAGCGAGACTCCATCTCAAAAACAAAACAAGAAAACCTCTGTATCCATCTGCTCACACCTGCATCAGTCCCCGGAGGGATGCGAAACGGGTGCCCCAGGTCACCTGCGGGGGGGCTCTGGGGTCTGGGGAGGCTGTCTTCTTCCCTTTGGTTTGACTTTTGAATGAACACATCACCCAGTCCAAAACCTCGATGAAACCGTAAAGCTCAACAGAAAGGAACCCACGTGGTGAGGCTCCTGCTGACACGGGGCGGCGGGCGAGGGGGAGGCACAGCGTAGTGCCGTGGCTTCCAGACGCTCCACACCGAGTGTCTCAGAAGATGCCCTCGGGCAAGTCAGCAGGACCCACAGCTGGGCCCGGGCACAGGTTCAGTTGGTTTGCTCACGGGAGAAACCAATGGGGTTGGCACAGACACAGACACACTCCTCTCCAAGGCACCCTGCTTCTGCCACAGCCTGGGGTCTGGCGCTACTTCCTAGGTCCAGGGTAATGCTGCAGGGCTGGTGATGGGAGTCAGGAGGGGGCCCCAGGTCCTGAGGGAGTCGTGCACGCTTGGGGGACAGCCACATCAGCCACACAGATCCTGAACCCCCTGGGGATGGGTGCAGTTCCACTCACTGCATAACCCAGCCCAGGAAAGGAGCGGGGAGTAAGTTAACCCTCCTGGGTGCTGGGTGTTCTTACAGTTAATATAATTAATGCCCTTTCTCGGACCCGTTTCAGAAGAGGCTGGCAGCTTACCACACGTCCCAGGGAAGGACAAGATTGGAGCAGCCACCATGCAGGGCTGTGGGCCGCCCCACACCCCAGCAACTCCTGGCTTCCTGGTGTCTTCAGACATCCTGCTCTGAGGCTGCACCTTTTTATGCCATGGTTGACAATCACATGCTGAGCACCCAGCGAAAGGGAAAGCAGGCGCTGTCCAGAGCCGCCTTTTTATGCCACGGTTGACAATCACACACTGAGCACCCAGGAAAAGGGAAGGCAGGCACTGACCAGAGCTGCATCCTGCGAGGACTCGGGATGATGGCCCTGCAGCTACTTTGGGATGAAGGCCCTGCGAAATCAAGAGTAAAAAGGCCACCCCGTCCCAGAACCTAGCTACAAAAATGGAATGAGCACATTAAAATAACAAAAATAAAGGTTAAAAAGCACCTGAAGATTAAACCAGCCAGGAAAAATGAAACTAGACCAAGAAGGTGAGCTAGAGTAAGGAACACACAGTCCAGAGAGGCTGCACGTTGTGGAGGGAAAGACACACAGTGAGTTTAGGAGACGCACTAGGCCTGATGAGCAGGCCGCCCAGCGGCTGGAGGAGAGAGGCAAAGTCCAGACAGGCACAGGCAGGCCCGGCCTGGAGCCCACCACACTGTTGTGAAGGCCGCAGGTGGCACCAGGCGACAGGAGGACATATGCCCACCATGACCACCAGAAAGGAGCTCCAGGGACACGCCTGAAACAAGGCTGGAGGTCGCCTACAGAGAAGCCAAGCACGTAGCACCCTCCAACCCCTGCCTCCCATCAAGCAGTTGTGGTAAAGAGCATGTTTTCTGCTAGCAATGTTTCCACTGGAAGAATATTTCTCACACATGCATGCACACTGCTCTGAAAAACATGACCCGTATCTGACACATTGTTTCCTGTGCTCCTGAAATTGTCACTGAGCAGGCTGGAGGCTAAGTGCACAAGAAATCTCCTCCAGAAGGAAAACAAGGCTTTGTGAACGGCTCCGGAGCTGTCCCTGGTGACTGACAGGCAACGCGAACTGGAGCCTCCAAAGTGCTGACAGCACAGCTTTCGCCACGGTGTCCAGGCTAATGAAGAGCAACAGCACGCCCGGGGTCCTGAGCAAGCTGGACGCCTGCTCTCGACCCTCCGCTTCTGAAACTGGGAGAGACATTTACACAAGCAAAAGGGAGAATTCCCTGGGGAGGTCACAGATCGATGCCTCACACGTGTGAGCACACCAGGGCAGGACTGCAGGCCCCAGGCTGAAATCCCAGGCCCTGCCACCCGCACATCCCAGCCCACAACTTACCACCCACAAGCCACACGGTCCCAAGACCCAGAACTCCCTGAAGGCTGACAAGAGAAATGCGGCACAGCACACGTGGCTGTCTACACTCAGTTTTGTTCTGAGACCGGGTCTCACTCTGTTGCCCAGTCTGGAGTGCAGCAGTGGCACCATCATGGCTCATGAAGCCTCAAACTCCTGGCCTCAAGTGATCCTCCCACCTCAGCCTCCCGAGTAGCTGGGACCACGTCTGGCTAATTTTTTAACTCTCTGTAGAGATGGGGTTTCGCTTCGTTGCCCAGGCTGGTCTTGAATTCACAGGCTCAAGCCGTCCTCCCACTTTGGCCTCCCAAAGCCTCACATTTCGTTAAAATGAAATCCAATTCAAACTCAGGCCTTGGTCACACCAGCCTCACTTCAAGGTCTGAGTGATACACGTGGCTAATGGGTAGGCGAGGGGTAGACCCGAACCTCCCACAGAAAGCTCTCGGAGCAGCCCCAACTCACTCAGTAGAGCTTTTCCTTTCAGAATAAACATCTACATGGGTATATGTCTAAACTGACTCTCTTTTTCCTTAAGGTTTTTAAATAGAATGGAATTGATAAAAGCAACATACCAGAAATAACAAGAGTTCTCAAGTTTAACTTCAAAAGGGGGAAAAAAGAGCTTCTGGAGTTCTGACAAACAGCTCAATGAAAAGCAAGCGTGAAAGGATATAAGGAAAGCCAGGGCTTCTCAACTCAGGGTCAGGCCCACACGCCTCCCCTGCTCTTCTCACATACCTGAAGCAGTCCAGCACAGACCCGACCACATCATCCGCCAGGGCTCTGGGAAGCCTGCCAGCCATCCTACCGATGCTGAAAGAGAAACGCAGCAATCCGTCAGGGGCACCACCAGCCTGTCGCCAAGGGCATGCGTGACACGTGTGAATGGCCTGAACACCCATCCTTTCCTCCAGAGACCAGGAGAGAAGAGGCCAACTCCAGGCAAGCCCGCACCCTGCTTGGAGCCCCCGCGCTAAAACACGCTGCAGGGTAAAGGAGCCTGCAGCCAGATTCAAAGGGGACGAGTGAGCACACGCGGCACAGGGTAGGTCACCATGTACCACTGTAACGCGGACGCTGCAGGCCACCAGTGACGGCTGAGGGTACCGAGGCAGCAGGCGAACGCTGAGGGCTTCACCCTGACCCTCCCTACTGGAGCCGGGCTTCCTCTGTGCCACCCCAAACGCTGACTGTGCAGGCACCCATCAGGCCAGGTGATGGGCTCACGGCCCCACATGGAGGCCGCCTGAGGCTGGCTCACAGGGTCCAAGTCCCTGGAGATGGCCCCGTGGGGAAGGTCCTGGCCAGGGGCCTCCAGGAAGGACACTGGGAAGGCCTGCCCAGCCTCTCACTGCGTGGGCCCATCACACCCAACCAGACGAGGCTCTGGGCTGAAAAGCCATCCCCTGCGTACAGCAACACAAAGGCCTATGTGAGCCCCTGCACAGCCCTGTGGAGCTCCTCCCAGAGATCATGGTATGGACGGACCCAGCACAGACGCATGGGAGAGCAATGGCAAAAACCAGCCTCCCCGTCCCCCAGCACCTGCTGGCCCCTCTACCTGCCTCATCCCCCAGCACCTGCCAGCCCCTGCACCTGCCTTATCCCCTCCACCTGCCTTGTCCCCTCCATAGCAGGGACCACCCTGATACCTCAGCACCTGCCAGCCCCTCCACCTGCTTCATCCCTTCCACAGCAGGGACCTCCCTGACACCTCAGCACCTGCCAGCCCCTCCACCTGCCTCGTCCCCTCCACAGCAGGGACCTCCCTGACACCTCAGCACCTGCCGGCCCCTGCACCTGCCTCATCCCCTCCACAGCAGGGGCCTCTCTGCCCCCCAGCACCTGCCAGCCCCTCCACCTGCCTTGTCCCCTCCACAGCAGGGTTCTCTCTGCCCCCCAGCACCTGCCAGCCCTTGGACCTGCCTCATCCCCTCCACAGCAGGGGCCAACCCGCCCCCCAGGACCTGCCACCCCTCCACCTGCCTCATCCCCTCCACAGCAGGGGCCTCCCCGCCCCCCAGCACCTGTCAGCCCCTCCACCTGCCTCGTCCCCTCCACAGCAGGGGCCTCCCCCCACCTCAACACCTACTGCCCCCGCACCTGCCTCATCCTCTCCACAGCAGGGGCCTCCCCCAACCCCAGCATCTGCTGGCCCCTGCACCTGCCTCATCCCCTCCACAGAAGGTACCTCCCTGACACCTCAGCACCTGCTGGCCCCTGCACCTGCCTCCTCTCCTCCACAGCAGGGGCCTCCCCGACACTTCAGCATCTTCTTCACGTGTATCGCTGTCCCTGCACAGCCCGAGCCCACAGGGCCACCGGCTCCTCCAGGCCAGGGCTCCACCTGTTGTGTTCAAGGCCAGGCCCCACTGGATCTGCCCCACGACCTCCACTGAGGCCTGGGGTGCAGGGTGCATGTCGACTCCCACAGGTATGACAGGTGCTAGTGAGGGGTGAATGAGGGACTGGCACCTGCTCACCCCACAAAAGAGGGCTCTTCCCTGAGCACCGTCATTGTAGGAGCCGTGACCCCCATCTGTGGGGAACGATAGGTGGGGGGCACAGTGATGAGGATGTGGAAAAGCAAGGGAACATTTTGAAGATAAACAGGTAAACCCGGCCTGCTCGTGACCCGGCAGGGCCAGCCAGAGGCAGGAGGACGGAGGAGACCGAAGCTCCGCCTCGGGAACCATCTTCACGCCAACACGTAAAGCAACACACATAAGTTGGAGGGGGCCGAGGAGGGGGCCGCGCTGCCACTCCAAAGCTGTTGGGTATTTGTAGCTGCTGAATCGCACAGGAGAGGCCGGCCCACCCCCCGGGGTGCTTCTGCGGCCACAGACACCTACCCCTTGGCTGCAGACCACCGCACGACCGTGTCCTTGTCCTTCAGCCCGACCAGCAGCTGCTCTGTAGGAAGAGGAAGGTGATGCGTGACAGAGTCCACACAAAGTTCCTAGTTTCCCAGCTGTAAGGTGACCCATCCTGTACGCTACTCAGTGCACACGCCGAAGGGAATTACATTAACAATATTAATTTTAATGACAGGAAAAGAACATTTCCTTCCCTCCGTTCTCAAATCATCACATACAGCCATGTTCCCAAGTTCTCTGTTCCTAAGAAAGAGATCTACCCCATTAAAGCCGGCTACAGGGAGCAGCTGCCTGCCCCCAGGGGAAGGCCAACATCAAGGGCCCCACCCAGGCCAGGGGAAGAGCCCGCAGCTCACGGGTGACCAAAGTGGGCTGGGAAGCTTCCAGAGAAAACCCCCAGCCAGCGGCTGCACGAAGACGTCTCTCCCAGGGACCAGGCCTTGGCGGCAGGCTGAACTTTTAAGAACCACACAGAAGCCTAGAGGATGCAGGGAGGGGTCAGGTCACACGGTGAGGGCCCTGCAAGCCCCAGCAAGGGTGAAGCCTTCGCCTGTGGGCACCAAGCAGCCCTGGGAAGACCCTGATGGACAAGCTCGCTGAGTGACCACAGGGGAGGGTGGAGAGACAGTCTGGAGCCAGCACAGCAGCTGGAATGCGGGCAGGGGGGACTGCCTGCAGCGGGTGGGAGACGGGAATGAACCTGGGGCAGGCTGCGGACACGGGGAAGGGGCAGACCCAGGGCCCCGCCCGGGACTCAGAGCCGCCCAGCACAGATGCGGGCGCCTACCACGCAACCAGGGAGGGCTCTGAGAAGCAAAGGTCAAGGGAAGGGCCGGAGTGGATGCTGGCTCGGGGCTGGCAACGGTGCCACAGGCGCCCTGATGGTCACGGTCGAGGTGGGGTGCAGATGACTGGGGAGAAACCTGCCCTGGAGGGAGCGGCGGGGATGTGAGCAGAGTGCAGCACAGCACAGGCAGCGTGGCCCCGCCTGCCCATCAGGAAGCTGGGAGATACTGGGAGGATGGGGGCCTCACAGGGAGGGGACATGAAGAGGCCCTGCCTGGGTCCAGGGAAGACTTCATCCAACCGCGGCAGGAGGGCAGGACAGTGTGTGGACAGGAGCCCAGGATGGCCGCCATGAGGGGCTCCGCTGATGGCTCTGTCTCTGTGCAGCAGGAGACCCCACAGGAGGAGAACAGGGCAGTGGATGGAGACCCCTGCAAGGTGTAATGTGGTTTAAGGGAGTTTGAAATGGCTCCTGAGGTAAGGAACTGAGCAGGGTTTAGGGGCCAAGGAGCCAGAGACCTGAGCCCCAGGGACCCCAACTCAATTTCCTGGGAGAACTGTTTCCTGAGGACACACCCAGCTGCCCAGAACAGGCAGCCCAGGTCAGGAAGGAGGCGAGGCGGTGGGAAAAAGGGCTTCTACGGCACACAGGAAGAGACTGTCCATGGTCAGGGACAGGCCTGGGTTCAGGAGCCAGAGGACGGGCAGTGACCGTGCACTCAGCGAAGGGGACGGGTGGCCAGACAGTGCCGGCACCAGCAAGGAAGAAGGAAGTGTGGTCCTGGAGTAGAGGGGAATTGGCCCGACGGTGCCCAAGAGCAGAGGCCGCCGCTTAGACCCCACGCACCTATCACACGCTCCACCCCCTCTGGGACGTCGTCATCTTCGTCGTCATCTTCGGTCAGGATGAGTGGCTTCTGCTCACTCTGACCCTGAGTGAGGAGCTGCAGATTTGCAGCCAAAGATCGGCAGCCACGCTGGTACCTGTGCAAAGCAAAGCATCCTCAGATCAGCTTTGTAGCTCACAGCATCCTGATGACTGGAACCAGTCATTCAGTGTCACTTTGAATCTTAAAGCGTGCCTGTGAAAATTCCATGCACTTTGCAGAGACCGGATAAGAAGGGAGAACCTGGAGGCAGTGCCATCAGCACAAACTGCCAGGAAGATCCTGGTGTGGGCCACAAAACACGCCCCGAGTCCAGAACATCCTCAGCTAGTGTCCAGCTTTGATTAGGGAAAGTCAGGAGAGAAGGCAGATGATGGGTACACAGACGACAGGACCAGCGCCTTCCCTGGGGAAGCACCCGGCCTTCGGGACCCTCTGCCTCCTGGCAGCCCCTTCCTGAACGGCCACCACTGCCACCGCCCAGGCCACACACCGCCCCTTCATCACCAGGTGCTGCGTCTCACCGGTCACCAGTTCCTACAGATCCTGCCTCCCGAATGCCCCTCAAAAGGCAGCAACGTGTAGCCCTCTTCACACCCACATGGGGAACCTGCATTGTCATCCCCTGGACACGCCATGAAGGGGCCCATGGCACAGACCCTGGGACCTGGCTCCTGGTCAGGCCTGCTCTACGCCTACTTGCTGTGTGATTCTGAACAGCTCCTGAGCCGCTCCATGCCCCCACTTCCCCCTCTATAAAATGGGAACGCAGTCCTACGCAGAGAGCTGTGTGAGGAGCCGTCAGAGTCTGCGCTCGGCGTGCAGCCCAGCCCTGCGCTGAGCAAGGCCCCCGCGTACACAGCTGCTCCTGCCAAGGGTGAGTGCAGGGCGGGCCGCCTGGCTGTGGGCCCTGCTTCCCCGGTCTCATGCAGAAAAGGTGTCCAGTGAGAGTTCAGGGCAGCTGCTGCGGCTGTAGCCTGAGACAGCCTCCCAGAGGACAAACAGCTTAGGCTTTGGCGGCAGAACCAGAACTCACACACTGGTGCTGATGCCATCAACCTGCTTCGAATGACTCATCCTAGCTCTAGCCCTCTGGGACTCAGTTTCCAAGTCTAGGAAACAAGGAGGGGGGCAGTTTCCAAGACAGCCCACGACCCCCACCGCCTAGCGTTCCTCTCACACGGGGTGTGGCCTGGGCCCAATGATTCCCTCCCAAGGAACAGAATACGCAGAGTCTGGTGAGAGCTGCCACCTTCCAAACAGCCGTGGTTTCCACCCGCCTCTCAGCCTCCAATGAAGCCAGCTACCATGCTGTGCACTGCCCTGCGGAGGGGCCCACATGGTAAGGACTTCAAACAGGTCCCCACCAACAGCCCACAAGGCACCGGGTCCCGACAGCAACCCATGAGGAGCATGGAAGCACACCCCCCAGCAATGCAGGCCTTGAGACGGCAGTGGCCAGGCCGGCGCCTTCAAGAAGCCTCAGGAGAGACCCTAACCAGGGACCCAGCTGAGCCACGTCAAGATTCCAGACCCACCAAAACTGTGAGGAAAAAGTGCACTGTTTAAGAAGCCTCAGGAGAGACCCTGACCAGGGACCCAGCTGAGCCACGTCAAGATTCCAGACCCACCAAAACTGTGAGGAAAAAGTGCACTGTTTAAGCTGCTAAATTTCGGGGTACACTGTAATGTAGGGTAACTGGTATGAAGAGAGTATCATCAGCCATCTTAGGACCGTGGCGGAGACCATCAGACACCCAGCAAGATGCCTAATGCCCCACGAGCAGGCACACCCCAGCCCCCACTCTTCCCCAACACCCCACAGGCAGGCACACCCCAGCCCCCACTCTCCCCTAAACTCTACAGGCAGGTGCACCCCAGCCCCCACTCTCCCCTAAACTCTACAGGCAGGTGCACCCCGGCCCCCACTCCCCGCTAACGCCCCACAGGCAGGTGCACCCCGGCCCCCACTCTCCCCTAACGCCCCACAGGCAGGCACACCCCAGCCCCCAGTCTCCCCTAACGTCCCACGGGCAGGTGCACCTCAGCCCCCAGTCTCCCCTAATGGCCCATGGCTGGCACACCCCAGCCCCCAGTCTCCCCTAACGCCCCACAGACCGGTGCACCCCAGCCGCCATTCTCCTCACGCAAGCGCGCAGCTCAGCCACCTCACAAAGACCAGACGGCACCACAAAGACAATGACCTCAGGCTGCTTCTACACATGCCCTCCCGACCTCAACAATGGTGAGACTCGGACGGAAGACTTAAAGCCACTGTTGGCCAGCAGGTGATGGCAACCAAGGCAGGGCAACAATCCCCAGCGAGGGGAAGCTGCAGGTGGGCCACCTCCACCTCCTCCCCGCAGGGGTACTTTCTACACCGTACCAAGGAAACAGCCCAGGAAGCAGCAATCTCAATGAGTGGAGGGCTCATATGTGGGGGAGAGGATGTTGGGGAGAAGAGAGCTGCTGAGACAGAGGCCCAAAACTCTGCCCAAAAATTCCCTTGGATCCCTGGGCACTCCAAGATAAGGAAGCACAAGGCGAGACTCAGACGCACCTGTCAGAGAATGGCTGGGAGGCCGAGTGCCGCAGAGAACTTGGAGACTGTGCAACCCTCAGAGGGCCCCGGAGACCCGGGCCCAGCAGGACGGGAGAGAAAGCCGTGACTTTCACCTAAGTCCCTGAAAGGCTACATACTTAAAGCAAGGACCATGCTGTGGAGGAAAGACCAATCCCTGGAGGAAAAGAGCTGAGAAAGACCCACCCTAACAAAGCCTCGAGCCAAGGCTGGCAGGAGGAGTGGGATGAACCAGAAATCTAACAGCCCGTCAGAGCGTAAGTCCGTCCTCATCAACAGAAGACAACCAAGAAGAGAACGGTACTAACAGAGACAACGAAAATCCAACCGAGGAGATAAAAATGGAAAAAAGTTAGAAATACAGGAAACGTAGAGAAAGACGGAAGAGAAAAACACAAGACGGGGACTAAAACCCAACCACGTTAGAATTACGTGAAGTGTATGTGGCAACACGCACATCATTATCGAGAGAACTAGGATACTGGATTATTTTCTGTACCAACATTTCAGTGCTTGTGATGCTTAACTTTACATGGCAACCTGACTGCGCCGTGGGGCGCCCCGCTATTTCATCACACCTGCTTCCAGTGCTTGTGTCAGGGGCTCTGGACCAGCATGTGAATCTGTAGACAAAGTCAGGCAGAGGACCCTGCCAAATGCAGGGGGCCTCGTTCAGCCAGCGGAAGGCCCCAGCAGAACAAAACGCCGGCCCTCCCTGAGGAGGGGGGAAGCCCTCCTGCCTGGCAATCTCTCAACTGGACTTGTTCTGTCTTCAGACTAAAACCAATCAGCTCTTCCTGGGTCTCCACCCTGAGGCCTTTGGCCAAGAACCACCATGAGCTCTCCTGGTCTCCAGCTCACAGCCTCGCCGACACACACACATCCTATGGGCTCTGCTTCTCTGGAGAACCCTGCCTGGTACAGCACTGAACATTCCCCACAGCAGCTTTGAGAAACTAGCCACGAACACTGTGCCTAATGAGCAACTTCCTACAGAGTGAGCTGCACACCCAACACTGCAACACAACACGCGTCTCTGGAATTTGCCATCATCCAGGACGGAGTGTGAGCTGACCTTAACCAAGTAATTCCTTCCCAAACCACACGTATTATAGCACTTGAAACAAACTGAAGGTCGCTAACACACAGCACCCTAAGAACACTAGAAAAGTCTGTCTCCTTGAGAACCAACCCGTTCACACCGGCCGCTACAGACTGCTAAGACATCATTTCTGCCAGCAAGAAAGGCGGTTTCACTTTCTCCAACAGTCTTTGAAAGGGAGCCTGTCATTCAGACTCATCACTGATCCGATGCAGCTTTCCCCCACAGCGCGTCCACACCAGGGAGGCCGCACCGCCTCTGAGCAACACGACGCACACACGCTGCCACGCCAGGGAGGCTGAGCTGACCCCGAGCCACACGACACACATGCCACCCTGCTGCCACGCTGACTCCGAGCCACACGACGACACACACGCCGCCCTCCTGCCACGCTGACTCCGAACCACACGACGCACACGACGCCCTCCTGCCACGCTGACTCCGAACCACACGACGCACACGCCGCCCTCCTGCCACGCTGACTCCGAGCCACACGACGATGCACACGCCGCCCTCCTGCCACGCTGACCCTGAGCCACACGATCACGCACACGTCACCCTCCTGCCACGCTGACTCCGAGCCACACAACGCACACGCCGCCCTCCTGCCACGCTGACTCCGACCCACACAACGCACACGCCGCCCTCCTGCCACGCTGACTCTGAGCCACACGACGCACACGCCACCCTCCTGCCACGCTGACCGAGCCACACGACGCACACGCCAGCCTCCTGCCACGCTGACCCTGAGCCACACGACGACACACATGCCGCCATCCTGCCACGCTGACTCCGAGCCACACGACACACACGCCGCCATCCTGCCACGCTGACTCCGAGCCACACGACGCACACGCCACCTTCCTGCCAACGCCAGCTGCAGTTCTTCCAACTGGGAGATGCAGTCAGAAAATAACCAAAAGAAAACCATTCCTCTCAAAATCAGAAACACTTCTAGGATTAAAGAAATGAATGAAAGCAGAAAACACTTGTTACTAACACATCTTCTCTGCCATCACCACTGGACACAAAAGCCACAGCACCAGCCACACCAGACGCTCACCTACGGCTCGGCCTGCCCTCCAGAGAGTGCCCCCAACTGTGTCCAGAACCAAGGCGCCTGCCTCCCCACCCCATGGCGCCTGCCTCCCCCACCCCGCAACAGGGCGACTGCCTCCCCACAGCACCTGCCCCAACAGCACCTGCCCCGCCCTCATCAATGGCGCCTGCCCCCCACAGCAACCCCTCCCCACCCCGTGGCCCTCCCCAGGCACCGCCCTCATGGTGCCTACCTCCATGCTGCCACCTTCGGCTTCAGGAATGTCAGCCCCAGTCGCTGCACAAGCTTCACCCCCAGCTTCCGCAGCAGGGTCTGGTTGCTCTCAGGGAGTCTGCAGCCATCGAGGCACCTGAGGACAGTGGCAGCTGCAAACAAGAACTGGACTCAGCGCAGGAAGGGCTGCAGGCATCTTCTGACTGCACCACCTGTGTCCCCGAAACCAACAGCCGGCTCCACAGGGGCCTTGAGGCAGGAGACATCACCAAGACCCCCATCATCCCAAATCATGAACCAAGAGCTGCTGGAGTTGAACCTACTCGACTTCCTTGCTGTGAAGCAACATCAGTGGAGGTCAGGAGAGCAAGTACTCAGAGGGCAGGGAGCCAATCTGAAGGGGGGCAGCACACACAAAGGCCCAACCGACCACAGGCACACTGCAGCCACGGAGACCCCACAGGCCACGGGCATCCTGCGGCCACAGAGACCACGCAGGCCACGGGCATGCTGTGGCCGGGGAGAACACACAGGCCACAGGGCACACTGCAGCAACCCCAGAAGCCATGGAGCACACTGCGGCTGGGGAGAACACACAGGCCACGGGGTTCCTGTGGCTTGCTCTGTTTTTCAGGGGGAATCACTCGGTGTCATGCAGTGATGACAATAGCAGGACAGGAGGCTGAGCCAAGGGGAGGCTCAAGGTAGCACTGGGCACAGCACGACAGGGAGAGCCTGCGAGCAGGAGACGCCCGGGTGCTGCGACGAGGGCAAGCTGAGGCCAGGAGGACAGCATTCCCGGGACAGACAAGGGCTGGGGTGGAAGTGCATGGCGGCTTCAGAGATGGGCTGGAAGTGAAATGGACAAGACTGCAACCAACTGACAGGGGACAGGAGAAAAGAAGAGAAGCTGAAGACAGAGCTGAGAGTTAGGTGAGGTGATGGAAGACAAGGAGATGGAGGAAGGGGCAGTGGGGCGGGGACAGAGCAGGGGGATGGGGGCTGGAGCTGCAGTGCCCTGCAGGAAGCTCTGCCTTGAGGCTGGGAAATGACAGAAAGTGAACGTTCACCAGTTTTATGTGGGTGCCGTGACCTCGGGCAGAGGTGCCGTTTAACTCATAATGCTTGCCTATAAAACCAGGTCAGCTGAAAGAGCATCTGAGTAACTTCTCAGAAGGCTCTGACAGTGGGCACAATGAGCGTGGGTGACAAGCACGACAGCCCAAGAGGGAGGTCTGTGTTCACGTCACCAAGGACGCTCCTCCCGCCGACAGGGCCTGGCAACGGCTGCTCGCGTTCTCGGGTGTGGTGAGGACATAAAGAGCCCCACCTTCCAGAGACATGTATGGAAGTACACACAGGTGAGATGGCACTGTGTGTCCCTCCTGTGCGGTGCAGGGATGAAACAGGCTGCACACGAAAACTCGCACACTCCTGAGAGAGACACGGGGCGTGCACGCCATTCTCTCTTCTTTATACATGTTTCAAATTTTCCATAATGAAAAACTTTCAAAAAAAGAAAGTTATTCAAATTTGATATTCGGATAGTTTCTTTTTTTTTTTTTTTTTTTTTTGAGACAGAGTCTTGCTCTGTCGCCAGGCTAGAGTGCTGTGGCGCGATCTCAGCTCACTGCAACCTCCAACTCCCTGGCTCAAGGGATTCTCCTGCCTCCGCCTCCCGAGTAGCTGGGATTACAGGCATGTGCCACCATGCCCAGCTAATTTTTGTATTTTTAGTAGAGATGGGGTTTCACTATGTTGGCCAGGCTGGTCTCGATCTCCTGACCTCGTGATCCACCCGCCTCAGCCTCCCAAAGCGCTGGGATTACAGGCGTGAGCCACAACGCCCAGTCCGGATAGCTTCTAAAACACACAAAGGCTCTAAGAAGTTTCTCTTTTTCCAGATGGTAAACCTCTGCGTGGAGAAAAACACTGCCCTTATTTTCAGAAATTGAGGCTCAATCTAAAATTAAGAGAATTGAGCCAGGCGTGGTGGCTCATACCTTTAAGCCCAGCACTTTGGGAGGCCAAGGCAGGGCAGATCACTTGAGCCCAGGAGTTCAAGACCAGCCTGGACAGCACAGCAAGACCCCACTGCTAAAAAAATTAGCCGGGCGTGGTAGAGCTCGCCTGTAGTCCCAGCCACTCAGGGGGCTGAGGTGGGAGGATGGCTTGAGCCCAGGAGGTCGAAGCTGCAGTGAGCTGTGTCATGTATTCCAGCCTGGGCGACACAGTAAGATGCAGTCTCAAAAAGAATAAATTAAGAGAATTAGGAAGAAGGCAAAAGAGGTGGTGGCTGTGGCTATCAGAGGAACATGGCTGCTCCTGGGCCCCAAGAAGCCAGGTCCAACCTCAGATCATGACACGGGCTTTGCCCAGACCTCCCTCACGAGACCCCTGGCAGCAATCCCTCTTTATCAAAGGACTAGGAAAGTGACAAAAAGTCCAGTTATTACGCCTGTAATCCCAGCACTTTGGGAGGCCGAGGCAGGCAGATCACTAGGTCAGCAGTTCAAGACTAGCCTGGCCAACATGGTGAAACCCCATCTCTATTAAAAATACAAAAATTAGGCCGGGCACGGTGGCTCACACCTGTAATCCCAGCACTTTGGGAAGCCGAGGCAGGTGGATCTCAAGGTCAGGAGATCGAGACCATCCTGGCTAACACGGTGAAACCCCATCTCTACTAAAAATACAAAAAATTAGCTGGGCATTGTGGCAGGCACCTGTAGTCCCAGCTACTCGGGAGGTTGATGCAGGAGAATGGCGTGAATCCAGGAGGCGGAGTTTGCAGTGAGCTGAGATAGTGCCACTGCACTCCAGCCTGGGCGACAGAGAGAAAATCCATCTCAAAAAAAAAAAAATACAAAAATTAGCTGGGCATGGTGGCAGGCACCTGTAGTCCCAGCTACTCGGGAGGCTGAGGCAGAAGAATTGCTTGAACCCAGGACGCGGAGGCTGCAGTGAGCCAAGATTGTGCCACTGCAATCCAGCCTGGGCAACAGAGGGAGACTCAGTCTCAAAAAAAAAAAAAAAAAAAAAAAAAAAAAAAAGTTCAGTTACTAAAACCCACAACAAAAAAAAGAACGATAGTGTCCAAACATACCAATGTACAGTTCCTATATCTATGAATAAAATGTTAAGGAAAGACACTTGATTGTATATGAGCAAACTCACATCACAAAGATATCGTCTCTTAAAAATAAACCTTACCATAGGGCAAACAGTCTTCACGTTTTCCATGTTTAAATATTTGTGCCTAAAAAAAAAAAAAAAGATTTTTAATGTTACAAATACAAATAGAAGTTTAAAACATACACACAAATTGTGAAAACAATTCATCACATCTTTCAGAATTTTTATTCTAAACACTCACCACCTAATAATAAAGAAAACAGTTTCTGTACATGATAAAGTAATTATAAGAGACTAGTGAAATCATCTCCCAAAAATTCATCTGAAAATAGGGATGCAATGATAAGTCCAGTCCCCTCATGGAGACTGCAGCCTCTCCACCCCTCCCTCATCAATGGCATCACAAAACGTGCCCAGGTTTAAGTTCAGGGCACTACTAGCCTGGAAAAAGAAGATATCTCAGTAGGTTTTTAAAAATTATCTGCGTATAAATAAAGTTACAAAGGATAAAAGTTACAGGCCAAACCACCTCACACAAAGGCCTCCATCTGCATTCATGCTTCACCAACAAATGAGAAGGGTGACCAGCTCAGCCCGTGTCTCACACACACACCTGGCAGCCCGGTCCCCACGATGCGCACACACGGACGTCATCACCTGGAGTCCATCAGACCAAACAGGAATATCAGATTTTCTCTCAAACACTGGTTCTAGCCCTCCTGAATTCTCAACCTGAGGTTTTACCTTCTGCTTTAAAGTCTGGAGGACAAATGCGATGATTCACATAAATATCCAAGCCTCATAATCGAAGAATCCTAGAACTGAGCCCTTCTAAGAAAACGCGAATGAATTTCCTTTCCTTCAGAAAACAGAATTTCACAGTCAAGGTGAGAACTGCATCTGTCTCAGACTATCTGCACCGCACACCACGCCACCCCTGTCCTGCTGTCGCCCACCACACGGAAAAATGAAGAAGCAGGTGCCGCCCATCAGGAGATGCTCAGACAAGGTGAAGAGGCTTTCACTAAATACTGGTGTCTTTTATTTGCATTATGAACCCTGTAAACTGCCTGATCTCTTACTTAAGTGTAGAATAGAAACATCTTCTTAAAAGGAGAGGGAACTTAGACTCTCTCCATGGAGCCCGCTGGGGGGCTCTCCTAAGCGCTGAGTGGAGAAGCAGCAAAGGCACACAGACCACCAGTCACACCTGTGGTGCAGATCCCACACCTACGATCAAAACAGGAAGGAGACAGCCAGACAGACCACCAGTCACGCCTGTGGAGCAGAGCAGGGTCTCTGCGCTCCTGTTCCTCTGTCTGTAAAATGGGGCAGTGGCAGCACCCACCTCCCTGAGCCACTCAGAATAACACATTCACCAAGGTGATCAGAGACTTAGCCCCTTTCTCTTTAGCGAAATGGATAGTAACACGTTCCCTACCAAGTGAATGGAGATGATC
Organism: Homo sapiens; assembly: GCF_000001405.40. Classification (NCBI taxonomy): domain Eukaryota; kingdom Metazoa; phylum Chordata; class Mammalia; order Primates; family Hominidae; genus Homo; species Homo sapiens. The sequence goes on along the minus strand of NC_000017.11, from coordinate 82,796,420 downwards.
CTTGTTTGCCCAAAACAAGTTCTCATTTAACTTTAAGAACTCTTCCCCATCTTTAGTTTGTGTGAAATATAAAATCGAAAGTTAAATTATTTCACACCAGTCCAGATGTATCTAATTTAATATGTGTTTTAACCCTAAGTCATCGGTTTACAGAGCCAACACTTGCTGAGCAGAAACCGTGGGGCACAGGCGAGCTCCCCGCAACGGGACGCGGGGTTCGGGGGCAGTCGCAGGGCCAAGCACACACTCAAATTCCCTGGGAGGTGGGCTGACGGCCTGAAGCCCACCAGTGTGCAACGAGAAGCCGGACCGCGCCTGGGGGATAAGAAGACAAGACACTTCACAGAGAAGCTGTCACTGCAGCCGGCTGGCCAGCTCAGTGGGGAACAGAGTTTGCCAGACGGACAATCAAGGGTCCCTCACCCACCACCTTGGTAGGCTTCCAACTGCCACAACCAACAGAGGCAGGCAGGAGTGATGCCAGTGACCCCCAATCCCAGGTCAGAAGCCTGGCGGCCTCTTTCAGGGCCTCTCCAGACACCTCCCCTTGAGACACTCCCTCCGGGAAGCCGGCTGCCATGCAGGAAGAGCCAGCTTCAGTCAAGGGCCCCTGCCGCACCCAGCCCTTCAAGGCACCTGCCACGTGGTCTTCTCGGCAGAGGCCCAGGCATCAAAGGGCAGTAACAAACGGCCCCCTGCACCCCACCCTGCGAGGCCACAGAATCGATCCACGCAAGAGTGCGGCTGTCACTGATGCCACCAGCTGTGGAGTACGTTGTTCCACAACAAATGAACCTGCGAGCGGCTGAAATCTCATCCTACAGGCAAAGAGCACCACCGTATCACCTGCAGCCATGGCCACATGACCAGATTCCAACAGCAGCTGGATGGAGAACCTGGGGATGAACAGTGAAGTGCTCAACAACGAAGACCGCTACAGAGGCTGCTGGAAAACCCCAGTGGGAAAGGCCAGAACCTAAACCAGAAGAGCAGCTGTGCAGCTGTGGGCGGACGCAGGACAAAGATCCGGGAAATGACCTCTCTCAGCAACAGGCTACCGTGTTCCCCGGTCTCTCTCAGCAACAGGCTATCGTGTCCCCCGGTCTCTCTCAGCAACGGGCTAACATGTCCCCTGGTCTCTCTCGGCAACAGGCTGACGTGTCCCCCAGTCTTACTTGGCAACGGGCTAACACGTCGTCTGGTTTCTCTCACTAAATAAAAAGAATCCAAGACACTGTGAAATTCCTAGAGTGCCCTCACACATGAACGTTGTTTAGTTACTCAATTCCTATGAAGTGTAGTACAACATTCTCTACAGCAGACTAAGATACAAGTGGTGATGAGTTCTCGGGAAAGCAAGCATCATCTCTTGTAACTGGCCTGGATGCCCCACACCTGGAAAGGCCCAGCCCAGCTTCCACCGTCCCCAGCTACACACAGGAGACAGCACCAAGGCCAGGGCCCGCCACCATCTGCAGTAAGGGAGAAACCAGAACCCCACACATTTACAGGGCGAAGGGTCTTTTTCTCCTCACACTTCTCTCTACCCTGGGGACAGTTTCCAGCTGAATTACACAGGCAGCCTCCTGGGCATTCAGCACACACAGAGAAAAGCCCCAAAAGTTATCCACTTTCCCAGGCATGGGTGCAGGAGGGCAAAAGAGACGACAGGGAAGGAACGAGTCAATGAAGACAGGGCTTTGTTTCCATTTATTTCACTGAAAAGTAAGGCCATCTTCACCAGAGAAAGTGTGCAGTGTGCAGTGGCCAGTGCTCAGCGTGGCGGTGGGATGGGGTACCTGTCAGCAGGAGGACGCGGCCAGAGAGAGCGCACTCTAGTCATCAATGGTCTTGAGTGCTCATAAGCTAGGCCATAAAATGGGGGGCACAGCCCACTTTCATGGAAGCATAATGGGAACCAAATTAAAACCACCTGCTGAAAAGCATACACTAGACAGAGGTGATGACACCAGGGATTAGAGGAAAACAGCCCTGCATGGTAAATGAGGAATGACTGCAGGTCTGTTTTTGTTGTTCTAGAAACCAGCACAGCACAAGCTGCAAACAAAAGGAGTTTCTCAGCAATCATCCTAACCCGCCCCACCTTTCGATGGCTACCCACCCAAGCTGGCTTCTCTGCAACGTGCGAGCCAGCTTCCCCCCCCTGGGGCATGTTCTCCAAGCCCAGTAAATCACAGGCTGTCGAGCTACTCGGGAGCAAGCTCACCCGCTGCCAAGCAGGAGATGCTGGTTTGAGGCTCCCTTCAGGCACTGCCAAATCTAGGCCAAGAAAAGCAACTCCACCCGAGGCCCTGGGAGAAGGGCCCCCACACCACACCAGTTCAGGCTTGGCTCTGGCTGGTAACACAGGCTTCTGAGAAGCTGTGAGTGCCGGCCGGCACTGAGGCAGATGGCTGAGACCACGCTAGCTCCAGGCCAGCGGGTCACCCTGTGGCCCCACATAACCATGCCGACTCTGCAGATGAGGAGAGCGAGTCTGTTCCCCTTTCTGCCATCCCGAGTCCTGCTCCGACACCAAGAAATGGTATCTTGGGAAGCAACCAATCGCATCCGTGCCCCCGCAGGCTCAGCACACGGAGGGTAGCCGTGCCCCCGCAGGCTCAGCACACGGAGGGCAGCCATGTTCAAAGCCACTCTTGGGCATGCCACACAGAGGGGCCACAGGACAGGCACGGAAGAGGATCTTTAACACCAAAACAACCCTTTCCAGGCTGGAATGCCTTGAGAGCACAGCCCCAGGTCCGTGCCTGTGCTGCAGCGAGCCCACCAGGGCCAGGCCTTTCCTGGAGGGCAGTGAAACCCATGCTGGGCTGCACCCTGCAGGACGTGCAAAGGCTTCACTGAGGAACTCTGGTACGCTCGAGGCTCCCCTCAGCAGCAGGGCAGGAAAAGAACCTTCCCACCACACCACTACTGGAGGCCAGAAAAACCACAACGTCCAGTGCATTTGCTGGCCTGCAAAAATCAAAGCGAGGGACATCTTAAAGAGCCCCACTACCACCCCTAGAAAGAGCAGCAGTTGCCCTAGACAGGACGGGAGAGCGCTCAGAAACAGAAGAGAGCTTGTCCTCAAGGCGGGGCCTAGGGGGCACTGGTGGGGACAGGCCAGACCACTGCCTCCCCCAGGAGCGAGCAAAATGCACTCCCCTCAGGACCACCACACATTCAGAGGAAAAAAGCCATTGACGGAAGTGAAAACTTTCATTGCTGGATTGGTAAATGACTGATTAGAATCAGAGCCCCAGAGTGAAAAAATATACTGTTTCTGACAAAATAAATTTCTGACAAATTATAAAGAATTTTAAGAAAACAAATATCAAAATGAAAACTAATTTCAGGCTGGGTGTAGTGGCTCACACCTAGAATCCGAGCGCTTTGGGAGGCCAAGGCAGGAGGGTTACTTGAGCCTAAGAGTCCCAGACCAGCCCGGACAACATGGCAAGACCTCATCTCTACTAAAAGTACAAAAATTAGCCAGGTGTGGTGGCGTCCACCTGTAATCCCAGCTACTCAGGAGGCTGAGGGGGGAGGATGACTTCAGCCCGGGAGGTGGAGGTTGCAGTGAGCTGAGATCATGCCACTGACGCCAAAAAAAAAGGTAATTTCACACAAAAATGCTTCAATGATCGAAATAATCACATCTAGCTTTTATCTTTCCAGAACGAAGTGTTATTTTTCACCAAACTTTGGACTGTAAGGTAAACACTAATTACCTTCACAGGTGGGGGCCATGCAAGGCCCAGCTCCACACCCCAGCACCGACCTGGCAGCCCCTGACCTGGGTCCATGTCCTCATCCATAAACCAAGGCAACACAGCTCTCAAAGAGAGTGTGGAAAACACAAAATGATTGTGGCTTCCTACGTCTGTCATTCACAGGCATCATCCTTCACCTAATTTATCAATCTGTTCATGACAGTGTATCGCACTAGAGTCCTACATCATAGAACATTCTGGTCAATGAGGAACCACATATTGATAGTGAGCCCATAAAAGGATTTTATATATACATATATATACACATATATGTGTGTGTGTGTGTGCACACATGTATACACGTGTGTATATACATATAATTTTTTTTTTTTTTTTGGAGACGGAGTCTCGCTCTGTCACCCAGGCTGGAATGCAGTGACACAATCTCGGCTCACTGCAACCTCTGCCTCCTGGGTTCGAGCGATTCTCCTGCCTCGGCTTCCCGAGTCGCTGGGACTACAGGCGCCCGCCACCACGCCCGGCTAATTTTTGTATTTTTAGTAGAGATGGGGTTTCACCATTTTAGCCAGGATGGTCTCGATCTCTTGACCTCGTGATCCACCCGCCTCGGCCTCCCAAAGTGCTGGGATTACAGGCGTGATCCACCGTGCCCAGCTGATGATATATTTTTACTGTACCTTTTCTATGCTTAGATGTGCAAACACCACTGTGTTACAGTTCCCTGCAGTATTCAGCACAGTCAGGTGCTGTACAGGTTTGCAGCCTGGGAGCAGCGGGCCACACCACCTGGCCTGGGAGTGCAGCAGGCCGCACCACCTGGCCTGGGAGCAGCAGGCCACACCATCTATGTTTAAGTGCACGCTACGGTGTTCACACGACGACACTGCCCAACGACGCAGTTCTCAGGACTACCCTCATTGTTAGGGGACGCATGACTGTTTCATGACTCACTCAGCATTTTAAAATGTTCTCAGCAGCCCACGTAGTGACCTCACAGCCATAAACAGCCAGCAGCATTACAGTATTCCAGCTTAAACAACTCCCCCATCACTGAGCCTTCTGGCTGCTATTCCGAGCTCATTCTGCACAGCCCATCTTTGCATGACAGGGACTTATGACTGTGCTCCCGTTCAGGTGTGTGTGACCACCTCTGGGGTGTGCCCCCTGCCCAAAGGCAACAGTTCCCACAGAAGAGAGGAGCAGCGAGCCCACGCACCTTCCAAGGCCCAGCAAAAGCTCGCAAAAGTGAACCACCACAGAGGTAAGATGCTAGAAAAGAGGTTAATGATCCATGGCCGGGCACAGTGGTTCACGCCTGTAATCCCAGCACTTTGGGAGGCCGAGGCAGGCAGATCACGAGGTCAGGAGATCGAGACCATCCTGGCTAACACGGTGAAACCCCATCTCTACTAAAATACAAAAAAATTAGCCAGGCGTGGTGGAGGGTGCCTGTAGTCCCAGCTACTCAGGAGGCTGAGCCAGGAGAATGGCGTGAACCCGGGAGGCGGAGCTTGCAGTGAGCCGAGATCGCGCCACTGCACTCCAGCCAGGGCAACAGAGCGAGACTCCGTCTAAAAAAAAAAAAAAAAAAAGATGCAAGAGACACAATTCCTGCCACAGAAAGCCTGAAAACAAACCAGACAAAATAGAATTGTATGCAGCTCCCAAGCCACCAAGCAGCCCACGGGCTCAGCGGCAAAGGGAGGGCAACGGCGGCAGGGAGACCACAAAGAGCAGTGGCTTTGCAGGGACCTGAAGGGGCATTGGCCTGGGAAGCAGGGGGCTCAGGCTCCAGCGTCTGAGGTCAGAGAGGGGTCTGAGCTTCTCTGCAGTGCAGGTGGGGGTGGCACAGCTCTGAGCCCAGCAGGAGGAGGATCCACCAACCAGGAGGCCAGTGGATGTGGTTATCCACTGTGGACACCATGTGGAAGAGAAAAAAGCAGACACATAGAGGCAAGGAAGGAAGAACGGGCAGAGACAAGGACAAGGCTGTGCTGATGCCACATCTCCCCCGGACGGCGCTGCTGACATATGCTGGGGGCGGCAGGGTGCACAGGGGTCCCACGGGCTGGCCACTGAGCAGCTCTGCCAGGGCAGAAACAAGCATGAGGACGGAGAGCATGGCTGAGAGCCACCTGCCACCTGGGGAGCCCATGGAGGCCGGCGAGCCAAGCAAAGACACCAGGACACACGGGGGGATGGGGAACCCCAGGCGTGGGCCACAGCCTGAGCCCTCCTGCTTCCGAGGCCAAGATGAGGCCACCCACTACCCAGGCCACAAGCTTCCGAGGCCACGCTTTACCCAGGCCACAGGCTTCCGAGGCCACCCTTTACGCAGGCCACAGGACAGCAGGTGTGCTGCCAGGATCAAGGGCACAGAGGCAGCATGGGACAGAGTCTGGCACTCTATGAATGGATGGCTCACACCCTCCACCAGCACCTTTACTGCAGCCGACAGCCACAGGAGAGGCGGGAGGGTAGTCGGGGAGCCCAGGGCCTCCAGAGGGAACACTTCACAGAAGGAAATGGCTCCCACCTGGACCAGGCGGCAGAGCGGGACAGACTCAGGATGACGTGAAGCACAGAGCCACGTGCTGGGACAAGGACCCCCAGGACAGGGTGGCGGCGCAGCCACATGAGAACAGATGAGCAATGAACCAGGAAGGAGACATGTCAGAGCCACGTCCACACAGGCAGGTGTGAGCGGACAGCGGGAGGGAACACGGCGTCTCGGGGATGAGCCCGGCTCCTGGGCCGTATGCACGGACAGCAGCACAGAAGCTCCCATTTGTTGCTGGGCTCCCGGGTAAACAGGCCAGGAGGGGAAAGTGATGGTACAACAGGTGTGACCTGGGACTTGCGGGTTCTGAAGTGTCACACGTGTACCCAACGGGTCCACAGAAGGAGGGCTCGAGAACCAAGGACAGAAATCAGGTAATAAAGGTCAAGGGTGAATCAGAGCTGAGATATCAACAGCCAGGACCAAAGCCTGAGGGACATCTGCCTTAGAGGGAAGGTGCCTCTAAGGTGACTGCGTGGGCAGTGAGGCATCACGGGTCTGTGAGCCAGGTGAGGGCGGGGCAGGGGAGAGGGCAGGGGCACCCCAACCTGCACAGGGGCCACAGGTCAGGACGACTGGGGCAGGGGCCACTGAGACCCAGCTCTAGCCCACTCAGCAGCAGCCCAGCCCAGCTCTCTGCCTGTCTCTTCCTCATCTAAGAACTGAGCGGGGTGAGGCTGGTGACCCGCCAAGCCCCCTCCCCGTCTAGCACATGACCCCGCGACGGGCTGCCTGTGAGCACACGTCTGTGAGCAGGTCGCGCCACCTCAGCAGGGATGGGCCAGGGCTGATGGGGACTCAAAGGCGTGCGGCTCACCATGCAGGTTTCTGTAAGACTCACGGCACTGTGCCCGCCCCACATAAAATGCTGAGTGATGGGAAATGAGTGTTAGGAGCTGGCTGCTCCAGGTCTTTCCTTAACGCCACGAGGAGACCGAACCAGCGTGGCCTGGGGTACCTCGTTTCACCCAAATGCTACAGGAGCATGATCTCTGGAAAGTACCCACATTCAAACTGCTCTTGTCCTATTTTCTCCATCCAAAACCTTGCCCCAAGAGAGCACTACAACTAAAAAGGACCACGTGGGTCATCTTCCTCTGGCCACACTGAACCCTAAATGAAACAGTAGGGTGCTGTTCCCCAAATCTGAAGAGAAATCAAAGCCTAAATGTGAAATGTTTTAGATAATCAGCTGTCTTCTTTCATCTTCAAAGACTGACTGTGCTAATTAGCCTCACACCAGCCTCTGCGGTGAGAGGTCTGCTGCTTCCCTCCCAGGTGGGGCGGGCGCTGGTGCTCACCCTGGCCTCAGGTCACAGGAGAGACGGAGTCAGCAAAGGGCCTGGGCACAGCTCACAGCAGCTCAAGCCCTGGTTCCCGGCCCACACACTCTTGGCCACAACCACTCCTACTTGGGGACCTGGCTGCTTTTATTAACTATAAAAAAGCAGAGTGGCTTCAGCACCTCTCTTCACAAGGGCCGAGCGGGAGCTGGGAGTGAGGCTGACAGTGCCAGCGTTCTTTGGCTTTCTTGGTTTTTAATGCTGTTGTGTGTGACTATTTTATCCTTTAACAAGAGTTGTGCTTTTGTCAATGATAAAAATAAAAAGAAACCGCACTGCAAAGGGGAGACTCGAGCCTAACAGCCGATAAGGGGAAGAGCATCCTATTACCACTTTCATAGTCAACAGCCCCGTCTCGCAGTCCGAGTCCCCCAGCCCCGCCGCCGCCTCCCAGCCATTGTGAGAACACACAGGGAGAAACCCACTCCACACAGTCGACAATCTTCCAATCAGAGCACTAGAAACCAAGAGAGCACAACTATCAATCAGCAAGCAGAGTCACACATGAAATGACAGCCATTTTCCTTTTTGTAAATTTTTTTTTAGATGGAGTCTTGCTCTGTTGCCCAGGCTGGAATGCAGTGGCGCCATGTCGGCTCACTGCAACCTCCACCTCCCGGGTTCAAGCGATTTTCCTGCCTCAGCCTCCCAAGTAGCTGGGATTACAGGCGCGCACCACCATGCCCAACTAATTTTTTGTATTTTTAGTAGAGACAGGGTTTCACCATGTTGGCCAGGCTGGTATCAAACTCCTGGCCTCAAGTGATCCACCTGCCTCGGCCTCCCAAAGCGCTGGGATTACCGGCATGAGCCACTGTGCCCAGCCCATTTTCCATTTTTAATGTGTTTTTCTCCTTCCTTGAATTTCCTCAATTTGCATTAATCTTAATGCTTAAATTGGGACTAAACCAAAGCGTGTTTTTAAAGCTGAAGTACAGGGGCCTTCCAGGGAAATTACATTGCCAAACACTTGCTTCCCTCCCACAGGAGTTAAAAACCCTCACTGCAAGGGAACTACGCTTCGAGGGAAATGAAGATCAAATCCTGGTTTCGATGGTACTTGTTGAGAGTTCACCTGTTTCGCCCACAGTAATGAACAGGTGGATGACAATGAAGCCAAGTGCATCAAAGGAAACAGATGAAACCCTAAGCAGAATCCACCTGCAAGTTTCATCATGTACAGCAGGCGCCCGGCCTCTGCCTGCAGCTCTGCCAAGCCCAAGGTGAAACCTCCCACCCGCTCAGCACCCAGCACGACTTCCTCCTGCTGAGGCAACCTGGATCAGACCAAACGGACCCTTCCAAGAGACAGAAGGAAACAACACACATGACTCTGGAAAGACTCGAGATGCTCCAGCAGCCGCCCAGGGCTTCAGACGCTCTGGAAGGGACGTGCTGGCCCCAGGAGCTGCCAGAAGCCCGGCCCCGCCAGGCGTTGCTTCACGGCAGTTTCATTCATTCCCTTCCCAGGGATTTCAGCCGGCTGCGTCAGACAATTGCTCACTCTTGCTGAGGGCAAATCTCTGAATAGTTCTGAGGTGCTGCTGCCAAACCGCCTGGGTGCTCTGCCCTAAACGGCAGGACAGCACGCCTCACTCTTTGCCAGCATATGCCGGGGGGTGGCACAGGGCTCGGCTCTCCTAAGCCTTTGAGAAGACCGTTTTACACCTCGGGAGGAAGGGGAAAAACGAATGTCTCTCCACCTCAACGTGGAACTTGGAGATGTCAAAATAAAAAGCACTTCCCCACTCCTGGCTGGTTTGACTTTGCTACAGGAATTCCCACCTGTCCCAGCAGCTAGGAGGGGAATGGGGCAGCGAGCCGTCCCGCCCACCCACCCTCTGGGTATTCCAAATGCAGGCTGTGCAACACGTGTCTCCCACTTGGGATGGAAGAACAGAAAACTTGGGAACAATCTAGAGAAAACCAACAAGATCATCAAAAAAAAAAAAAAAAAAAGTAAAGAACCGAACCCACAACAAAGAAACTGCAGAACTAGACACATGTGGCCACAAGACCCTCCCAAGCCGAGAAGGACTCGGAGCCCTGCACCCAGGGGACACCGTGGAGCCCTCCAAGGCAGCCTGAACGCAGTGGCCCACAGCCCCTCACCAGGAGGCTGCCTCTCCCACAGCCAGCCTGGCCAGAAGGTGGCACGCCTCACCTGCCTGCAAGTCCCTGGGCAGCCACAGCTGGCTCCAGCCCCAAGGCTGGGATATCCTGCTGACCCAACAGCATGGGGTGGGGACGGCAGAGGAGGGGAGGCTCCCAGGCCAGGCTGACGAGAGCTGCAGGAGACCCCTAGAAGCCCGTTAAGAGACCGGACAGAGATCAAATTTGCCTCCCCTCCCAAAGCAGCACCCACACTCGGGGCAGGGCTAACGGCCTCCCCTGCAGAGGCACCACACTCGGGGCAGAGCCATTGGAGACAACCAGCTCTGGTCACATCCTGTTAGACCTCCCATTTGCTCCCCTGACCTGAGATGTTTTTCCCCCACAGCACTGAGTTTTATTAGGGATTTCATTAAGGTTAAATTTCTAAGGATGAGGGAATCCTAGAGGGCAGAGAAGCCCTCGAAGCCACCTCAGATCCTGTGAGCCACAGGTTCTACGGTGGGATCGCCACCTGGTTCCAGGTGCAGATGATTATAAGGACACTGCTTTGGCCCCACGGGCTGGTAGGCTGGTTAATTCTTCCCCACCCAGAACACGATCATGAAGGCCGTGAAGCTGAAGAGCTGCTTACACAATATTCCAAGAAGCAGGTGTGCGGGACATATCCACATGGATCCTGACACACATGTAGGTGCCAACATTGTCATTTCACCAGTCCAACCTCAGGCCAGGTGGTCCCAGTCACAGCATGGACCCCCTCCCACTGCGATGGGTCGGGTCCAGTGGTCCCAGTCACACAGCATGGACCCCCCTCCCGCTGCGATGGGTCGGGTCCAGTGGTCCCAGTCACACAGCATGGACCCCCCTCCCGCTGCGATGGGCGGGATCCAGTGGTCCCAGTCACACAGCATGGACCCCCCTCCCGCTGCGATGGACGGGATCCAGTGGTCCCAGTCACACATCATGGACCCCCCTCCCGCTGCGATGGGTGGGATCCAGTGGTCCCAGTCACACAGCATGGACCCCCCTCCCGCTGCGATGGGTCGGGTCCAGTGGTCCCAGTCACACAGCATGGACCCCCCTCCCGCTGCGATGGGTCGGGTCCAGTGGTCCCAGTCACACAGCATGGACGCCCCTCCCGCTGCGATGGGTGGGATCCAGTGGTCCCAGTCACACAGCATGGACCCCCCTCCCGCTGCGATGGGTCGGGTCCAGTGGTCCCAGTCACACAGCATGGACCCCCCTCCCGCTGCGATGGGTCGGGTCCAGTGGTCCCAGTCACACAGCATGGACCCCCCTCCCGCTGCGATGGGTGGGATCCAGTGGTCCCAGTCACACAGCATGGACCCCCCTCCCGCTGCGATGGGTCGGGTCCAGTGGTCCCAGTCACACAGCATGGACCCCCCTCCCGCTGCGATGGGTGGGATCCAGTGGTCTCAGTCACACAGCATGGACCCCCTGTCGCTGCGATGGGTGGGATCCAGTGGTCCCAGTCACACAGCATGGACCCCCCTCCCGCTGCGATGGGTGGGGTCCAGTGGTCCCAGTCACACAGCATGGACCCCCCTCCCGCTGCGATGGGTGGGGTCCAGTGGTCTCAGTCACACAGCATGGACCCCCTGTCGCTGCGATGGGTGGGATCCAGTGGTCCCAGTCACACAGCATGGACCCCCCTCCCGCTGCGATGGGTGGGGTCCAGTGGTCTCAGTCACACAGCATGGACCCCCTGTCGCTGCGATGGGTCGGGTCCAGTGGTCTTAGTCACAGCACGTACCCCTTTCCCACTGCAATGGTTCGGGGAGCTGCGGCAGTTGCCACACCCCATGCCACCAGCCGGGTAAGGCTCATGGTCTTCCACACGCATGTCATACTTCTTGGCAGTAGCGGCCCATTCTTCTGGGGTCTTAGGGACCTAAGAGCGTGTCCTTGGTCATGTGGGAGGCTGTCTGTACACCCAGCATCACAAACATTAAGGTGAAGCTACCAGAATTCCCAGGACCCCCACCCTGGCCACTGCCATCTACCCCTTCTTCATGTTTCCTCAGTGAGACCCAAGGCAAAAAATGAAGAATCCAATTGCAACTAAATCCACCACCTTTACCAGAATTGCCTAAAACATAAAACGCACATTCCCTGAGGATCCATGGACCAATGGCACAGTGGGTACGTCCGAGACCTGAGTCCTCCCTGCCCTACCCCTCCACCCCCGTACCCTTCAAGGCCAGCCTCAGCCTGCCCTGACCTCCACGATAGCAATGAATCCTCTTTAGGCATTGAGGATGCTGCCCCAGCACGGCCGGAACGAGGGGCACCTGGGGACACAGACAGCACATCTGTACCTGCAATGCCCAAAAATGCCTGGCATGAGGAGGTCCTCTATTTCATCAGTACGACAGGTATGCCACCAGAAAAATCTTTTTAGAAAGACTCCAGAAAGATGAAAACATTCCAAATTTTGTTTAAAATTTTATTAAAAACTAGTGTTGTGTACCCAAGGGTACTGAAAGTATTAAGTTGGGTTTGTTTTTTCTGTTTTTTTTTTCTGGCAGAGTCTTGCTCTGTCACCTAGGCTGGGGTGCAGTGGCATGATCTCGGCTCACTCAACCTCCGCCTCCCAGGTTCAAGCAATTCTCCTGCCTCAGCCTCCGGAGTAGCTGGGATTACAGGCCCACGCCACTATGCCTGGCTATTTTTTGCATTTTTAGTAGAGATGGGGTTTCACCACGTTGACCAGGCTGGTCTCGAACTCCCGACCTCAAGTAATCTGCCTGCCTCGGCCTCCCAAAGTGCTGGGATTATAGGCATGAGCCACCGCGCCCGGCCTGAAAGCATTAAGTTTAAACAAAAACTTGCACATGAAAGTTCTTCACAGCGTAATTTGTAAGAGCAGAAAATACCCACACACTGGCATATGGAAAATACCCACACGCTGGCATATGGAAAATACCCACACGTTGGCTTATGATTCGGCCATAAAGGGAACGAGGCACTGACAACACCACAGCGCAGATGAACCTTGGACACATCGGGCTCAGTGAAGGCCAGACGCAAAAGGCTGTGTCGTGTACGACTCTGGTGAGGTGAGATGTCCGCAACCAGCAAGTCCACAGGGACAGCACATGGATCCACGGCTGCAGGGGCTGGGGAAGGTGAGGGACGGACTGCTCGGTGCAATCAAGGTTTCTCTCACGATGATGACAGTGTCCTGAAGTTAGATAATGGTGATGACCGCACAGAAAACTACAGAATTGTTTACCTTAGAAGGATAAATTACTTGTGGTATGTGAATTATATCTTGATTTTTGAAAACTGCTGAATCTGTCACATTTATGTGGAGGTTGAGGGGACGCCTGAAGAAAACAGACATCACCTGGGCAGAGCACAGGCTCCAGGAAACACGTCTGCAGTTTTCTCTCACACGTCTGAAACCTTTTCCTCATTTCAAAGGCTGCCCTCCTGAAGACCACGGCAGCATGACCGGGAAGCAGCAGACATTGAGGAGGACACTTCCCAATTCCCCCTCAAGAAACGTATGCCCCCACCCCAGGCTATCACTCCCACAGCCCCCCTCCACCCAGCTGACAGCCTCCCGCTCCCTGGCAGAACCTGCCACGGCCAGGACAAAACCGCGGGCAGGAAGATGATACCACAGACAGGAAGACGACGCCGCGGACAGGAGGGCACAGCGGACAGGAGGCCACCATGGACAGGAGGGCACCGCGGACAGGAGGCCGCCATGGACAGGAAGACGACACCGCAGACAGGAAGACAACGCCATGGACAGGAAGACAACACTGAGGACATGAGGACGCCTCTGCGGACAGGAGGACGCCACCGCAGACAGGACGACGCCACCGCAGACAGGACGACGCCACAGACAGGAAGACAACGCCGCGGATAGGAAGACAATGCCGCGGATAGGAAGACGATGCTGCGGACAGGAGGACGACGCCACGGACAGGAGGACGCCGTGGCGAGGTGGCACTCATCATCTCCCCTAAAACGCGCTCCAAAGTGTCCTTCCAGGCGCGGCGGCTCAAGCCTGTAATCCCAGCACTTTGGGATCATCACAAAGGCAGGAGGATCACTTGAGGCCAGGAGTTTAAGACCACCCTGACCTACATAGCAAGACCCTGTCTCTATAAAATATATTTTTTAAACAAGAACAAAGTGCCCCGCTCCTCAGAGGGACCACAGGCTCCACAGCGTGAGACAAGGATGAGAAGTGCTCTCAAAGCCTCACCCGCTGTAATTAAAGAGAGAAGAAGGCGCTGAACCCACCACGCCAAAGGCCACAGCCGGCTGCCGGCTCCCCCTCCAGAAGGCTGACCAGGGAGCTGCAGCCTCCAGGACGCTGACCCAAAAGAGGCTTTGCCCTCTTCTGAGACTTGACCTTTCCTCCTCGTTAGCACAAGAAAAGGTAACACAAGAGACAATCAGAGCGAAAGGGCAGGGAAAGGGCTGGCAAAGGGCTGCAGCCAGGGCACTAACCAGGCACCTGCAGGCAGAGGCCAGGGTCTGTGTCCCAACGAAGCAGTCAGGAACATCCAACCCGAGCCCAGTGCAAAGGAACAGAATCAAATTTCAACTCACCCACCTTGTTTTATTAGAGCTCGTTCAGTCTCTGCACTTAAACAGGAACTAAGCAGCCCAGATGCAGAGAAACCTACCCTGGGGAGCCCCGGCTGCGTGGCACCACTGCCCTCTGCTGGCAACAGGTGGGGCTCCAAGCCCATCCACCAGCACCAGCGCAGAAACCAGCCCTGCCTGAGGCAGGACCCAAAGCAGAGGGAAAAGGAAACTGCCCAAGACCCTGGCCCGGTTAAATCAATCCCACGGGGTTCCAATTACGTCAAGATGGAATCACAGGTAACATCATTCCGTGGTCCCCATGTAAGGCGCCATTTCCCTGCGATCTCCACAGCCCCTGCGGGCAGCACTTACCAGGGCCTGCAGCGTCCCATCCATGGTGATGACCCCCTGCATGGTCTGGAAGGAGGAACGGGCCAGATTGCACAGGCTCCAGTCCAGGAACTCAGCCATCTTGCTTTGCTTGACATCAGGACGTGTGATAAATCTGCCAAAAGGATACAGCTCAACCAAGGCCTCAGCACTGAGACCTCGCCCACGCCTCACCAGCCCACCCCACACACACCCACCTCCCCAGGCCCTCCCACCTCACGCACCCTTACACCAAGATGCCAGCTCTGTACTGAGTCCTGTCCTCCTCCAGCTAGTTCCTCCTCTCTCCAACCCTAGAAACCAAGTCGCTGCCCTGACCAGGGCCCTCAGCAGCCGGTTCCCCACCACAACCTCTCAGGTCGCAGGCCTACTGCCCATCCCCCCCCGCCTGCCCCCTCCACCCCCCCAGTTTTACCTGTCCCCATCACCGCCAGGGAGCCCCTGCCCACTTCTCAGCCCCTCCCTCCTCCCTGGACCCAACTCTGCATCCCTTGACCTCAGGACACCGTGCCCACGTGCAAGGCCTGGCCCCGGCAGCTGGGCCCCAGCCCCTGGGACCTCCCTCCCCCACACCTGCCATGCGTCTTGTGCACAGGCCTGTTTCCACAGCCAGCTGCTCGTGTAGCCCCATGAAAGTCTTCCCTGTTGGACTCGGCCTCGTGTTCCAGGCAGTGCTCACACTCCCCACCCCTCTTGCAGCCCGGCCTCAGCGCAGGACACCTTGAGCACACAGAGCTCCCAAACCAAAAGCCCAAATCTGGCCGGGCGCAGTGGCTCATGCCTGTAATCCCAGCACTTTGGAGGACGAGGAGGGCGGATCACGAGGTCAGGAGTTCGAGACCAGTCTGGCCAACATAGTGAAACCCTGTCGCTATTAAAAATACACAAAAAATTAGCCGGGTGTGGTGCTGTGCGCCTGTAATCCCAGCTACTCAGGAGGCTAAGGCCAGAGAATCGCGTGAACCCGGGAGGCGGAGGTTGCAGTGAGCCAAGATTGTGCCACTGCACTCCAGCCTGAGAGACAGAACAAGACT
The DNA here is from genome assembly GCF_000001405.40 of Homo sapiens. Lineage (NCBI taxonomy): Eukaryota > Metazoa > Chordata > Mammalia > Primates > Hominidae > Homo > Homo sapiens. Next base: position 82,780,669 of record NC_000017.11, on the reverse strand, counting down.
CTGTCTCAAAAAAAAAAAAAAAAAGCCCAAGTCTTCCTTTTTTTTGAGATGGAGTCTTGTGCTGTCACCCAGGCTGGAATGCAGTGGTGTGATCTTGACTCACTGCAACCTCTGCCTCCCAGGTTCAAGCAATTCTCCTGCCTCAGCCTCTCGAGTAGCTGGGACTACAAGCGCACGCCACCATGCCCAGCTAATTAGCCCAGATCCTCCTGATTTCTCCACCAGGAGTTCATAGGCCAGGCCCCCAGCTTGCCTCCATGATCGAGACTGGCACTGCCACACGGAGAACAGACAAGGCCCTTCCCTCCCACAGCTGACACTCTGGAGAGAAACGACAAACAGCTGGGGACTTCCACAGTGCAAAGAAAAGTTACGAAGGAAACGGGAGGGCATGGCCTCGTTAGAGAGAGGACGGAAGCCACGGAGCTCAACGAGGGGGGCTGCAAAACCTGGGAGGAAAGTGCTGCTGCCCAGGGAAGCAGGAGAGCCAGGGCCCAGGGCAGAAGGGAGCCAAGGGAACTCGCGAACTGCAAAGGCAACATGGTCGAAGCAGAGCAGCCGAGTGGGAGAGGTGCTGGGGACAGGACCAGTACTGGCCAAGCCTGCCCACCTCCTCTTTAGGCCATGCCGGCAGGTCTGACTGGCATCCTAGCCACACCTTTATGGGGTGGGGGGAAGGAGACGGCAGTGATGCCAGGAGGGAGGCACCAGGCGCTCCCTCAACAGCCACAAGGCCACCTCCCGGAAGGGACACTTGGGAGGGCCAGGAGGCGGAAGAGTCCACGTGGGGGAGTGCCCCACGCGACGCCCACGAGACAGCTACGTGGAGACCCCAGGCAAGGTGAGACGTGGAAGCTGGAGCTGCCAGGCTATGACGCCCAACCTCCCTCCGGCCCCCACGTCATCTCCACTGCAACTTCAACTCCGGCCATCCCACCTTCCCGGCCCTTGTTCCAGCACATCCATCTAGTTGGCCTGCGCGAGAGCCGGCTCCATGCTTCCGTGGGGACAAGCCCTCTCAGGGCACTTAACACACAGGAGACAGCCACGCACGTGCCATCCTACTCGGTCATGGCCCTCACAAAACAGAAGCGCTGCCCAGCTGACAGGACGGCTGGCACCTGCCAACTGCTCGTAACAGCAAGGACCTCTCCCCTCCGCCACTGTCCCTGTGGAGCATGCTTAGGGAGGGGCTCAGCATGAACAATGGGGAAAGAAGTCCCTATTTCCAGAAAGTAAAGAATCATTTGGCTGGGCACAGTGGCTCACCCCTGTAATCCCAGCAATTTGGGAGGCGGAGGTGGGTGAATAGCTTGAGTTCAGGAGTTCAAGACCAGCCTGGTAAACATGGTAAGACCCCCATCTTGGCCAGGCGCAGTGGCTCAAGCCCGTAATCCCAGCACTTTGGGAGGCCAAGGCAGGTGAATCACGACGTCAGAAGTTCGAGAACAGCCTGTCTTGCACCCCATCTCTACTAAAAATATTAAAAAATTAGCTGGGCATGGTGGCGCATTCCTGTAATCCCAGCTACTCGGGAGGCTGAGGCATGAGAATCACTTGAACTCAGGAGGCGGAGGTTGCAGTGAGCCGAGATCTCACCATTGCACTCCAGCCTAGCAACAGAGCAAGACCCCGTAAAAATAAATAAATAAATAAATAAATAAATAAACCCCATCTCTAGAAAATAATACAAAAATTAGCCAGGCATGGCCGGGCGCAGTGGCTCATGCCTGTAATCCCAACACTTTGGGAGGTCAAGACGGGTGGATCACCTGAGGTCAGGAGTTTGAGACCACCCTGGCCACTATGGTGAAACCCCGTCTCTACTAAAAATACAAAAATTAGCCAGGGGTGCTGGCGCACACCTGTAATCCTAGCTACTCAGGAGGCTGAGGCAGGATAATCACTTGAACCAGGGAGGCAGAGGTTCAGTGGAGCTGAGATCACGCCATTGCACTCCAGTAGAGCCAAAATCACGCCACTGCACTCCAGCCTGGGCAACAAGAGCAAAGCTCCGTCTCAAAAAAAAAAAAAGAAAAAGAAATTGGCTGGGTGTCGTGGCATGCGCCTGCAGTCCCAGCTACTGGGGAGGCTAAGGTGGGAGGATTGCTTGAGCCTAGGAGATGGAGGTTGCAGTAAACTGTGATCACGCCACTGCACTCGCGCCTGGGCAACAGAGTGAGACCCTGTCTCGAAAAGAAAAGGAAAGAAAAAAGAAACTCATGTGTCCTCCCCAGGAGAGTTAACTTTAGCGGATCTGCAAAAGGGGCCCAGGGCAGTTAACTTCATCGCAGAAGGAAGCAGCATTAAGGTGGTGACAAACCGTGTTCCCTTTAAAACGCACAGAGTTCCCACAGAGCATTAGAAATGAATGGAAAAGCGGAATACTGTGGGCGGCAAGCCACCCAGGTGCCGAGGCAAGAGACCAAGGACACGAGCTGTTCCAATATAATAAAATATAAAACAAGAATAGTTATACCAGATACAGATCTTAGATATGATTATATATATCATTAATCATTAGTTGGTAGCAATTATTCTTTATTCCAATATTATAATAATCCTCGCTCTATAATCATAACCTAGGAAAAGCCAGGCCATACAGAGATAGGAGCTGAGGGGACATAGTGAGGTGTGACCAGAAGACAAGAGTGCGAGCCTTCTGTTATGCCCAGACAGGGCCACCAGAGGGCTCCTTGGTCTAGCGGTAACGCCAGCGTCTGGGAAGACGCCTGTTGACAAGCGGACCGTGGTCTAGCGGTAGCGTTAGTGTCAAGGAAAAACACCCGCTACTTAGCGGACCGGGAAAGAGAGTCTCCCTTTCCCCGGGGGAGTTTAGAGAAGACTCTACTCCTCCACCTCCTGTGGAGGGCCTGACATCAGTCAGGCTCGCCCGCAGTTATCCGGAGGCCTAACCGTCTCCCTGTGATGCTGTGCTTCAGTGGTCACGCTCCTAGTCTGCCTTCACGTTCCATCCTGTACACCTGGCTCTGCCGTTTAGTTAGCAGTAGCAAATTAGTGAAAAGTCTCTGATAAGCAGAAATAATAATGTAAGCTGTTTATCTCCTTCTCCTCTCTCTCTCTCTGCCTCGGCTGCCAGGCAGGGAAGGGCCCCCCGTCCAGTGGACACGTGACCCACGAGACCTTACCTACCGTTGGAGATGGCTCACATTCCTTACACTGCCCCTTTGTCTTGTATCCAATAATATCAGTGCAGCCTGGCATTCGGGGCCGCTACCGGTCTCTGCAACTTGGTGGTAGTTGTCCCCCGGGCCCAGCTGTCTTTTATCTCTTTGTCTTGTGTCTTTATTTCTACACTCTCTCATCTCCACACACAGGGAGAAACCCACCGACCTTGTGGTGCTGGTCCCTACAGACACAAAATGGCACTAAAGCAACTGGTTACCTACTGGGAAGGGCGGGGTTCTACTGTAGACCAAAAGAAACCCCAAATGAATCAATAATTCTGTCTTAATAAACGGTAGAGAAAAATATAAATGACTACTTGTTAAATCTCTTAATAAGACTGCAGGCTTAAAAGTAAAAATAACTAAATAAAGGAGAAAAAAACGGTTTGACATTAAAATTAAAACTTTGGTCCAAAAAAAAAGGAAAAGGCCAACAACCACCTGGGGCAATACCCATCGCCCTTCACCGGAGGAAACTCACACTCGTGGGGAAGAAAAGGCCCCAAGGAGCCCACAGACACGCAGAGTCAGGTCACGAAGCGGAGTATGTAACACCTAAGGTGAGGGCAATCAGCGTGATGCCAATTAAATACCTGCAATCAGCGACACCATGTTTAATCCAATTTGGGGGTGGGGTGTTCCTGGGGCTGCCTCGGCCACCAAAGCACTGCTCAGAGAGCAGCTGAGAGCCACCAGGTGTGCAGACCCCAACACCACTCTCGTGTCCTGGAACCCAGAAGTCCATCTCTAAGGGCCCATCCTCACGAAACAATCCTGACACGAGAACGGGTCTGTAACCAAACCCAGGCGTCCGTGACTGCTCACAAGAGGCAGGAAGTGACAGAGCTGAGTGCAGTATCGAAACACAGCAGAACACGACGGAGCCATTCATCAGCAGTTACATGAAATCAGGTGAAAAAGCACAGTGCTGACTCTGACTTGTTAAGATCATGCTGTGCACATTAAAAGTCATAACGGTGCAAAGAAGATAAACACGGTACACGCACTGTGTATAAGAATTACCTATATATCTTTTTCCAACTTCTATGTTTCAAGATTTTCAACTTTTTTTTGAGACAGGGTCTTGCTCTGTTGTGCAGGCTGGAATGCAGTGGCGCAATCACAGCTCACTGAAACCTCAACCTTCTGGGCTCAAGCAATCCTCCCACCCAGCCTTCGGAATAGCTGGGACCACAGGTGCGTGCCACCACGCCACGCCAAGATTTCCAACTTTTCTGCATACAGCGTACCTCTTTTTTTTTTGAGATGGAGTCTTGCTCTGTTGCCCAGGCTGGAGTGCAATGGTGCGATCTCTGCTCACTGCAACCTCTGCCTCCTGGGCTCAAGCGATTGTCCTGCCTCAGCTTCCCAAGTATCTGGAATTAGAGGCACGCACCACCATGCCCAGCTAATTTTTTTGTATTTTTAGTGGAGACAGGGTTTCACCATGTTGGCCAGGCTGGTCTTGAACTCCTGACCTCAGGTGATCCACCCGCCTCAGCCTCCCAAAGTGCTGGGATTACAGGCATGAGCCACCGTGCCTGGCGAAAGGCATATCTATTAAAGGGGTTTTTTTTTAATTTTTTTATTATTATACTTTAAGTTTTAGGGTACATGTGCACATTGTGCAAGTTAGTTACATACGTATACATGTGCCATGCTGGTGTGCTGCACCCACTAACTCGTCATCTAGCATTAGGTATATCTCCCAATGCTATCCCTCCCCCCTCCCCCCACCCCACAACAGTCCCCAGAGTGTGATGTTCCCCTTCCTGTGGGTTTCTAAGGCAGCACTCAATCTGCATGTTCTAGCAACACTGTAACACCAAGCACCACCTACAGCGCTGTGGATGTTGGCAAGCTCAGTTAATCAAGGGAGACGGGTGCAGCTGTAGAGCCGCCAGTGATACAGGGAGAAGCATTCAATCCTGAGAGCAAAGTGGGCTAGAGCAGGCTGCTCCTCCCTGGAGAGCAGAAAACGAACCTGTACTGCAGACAAATGCTGGCACAGGACCCCTCGCAGCCCTGGCCTTACCTGAACAATCCTCACCAAAAAGGGGTCTGAGAAGTACAGGAAACTCAGAACCTGCGGTGAGTCTGGGAGGTGTCGAGGGAACCGGCCAAGCACCTGTAAGAGCTCTTCCACTGACGGCATCCGCCATTCTCAAACACTCTTGAGAATCAGTGTGCGAGAGTGTGCGAGACCAAGGGGGAGAAAGGCTCCACGGCACCGACGCCCCCAGGCACCACCTCTCCTGGATCCCAGGCTCAGGTGTTCTGCACGGAAACTGGCTCGGCCGAAAAGCACCTGCTCATCCCGGCACTAGGTGGCGCTGCGGTGTCTCGCCGGGAGTCCGCCCGGGATCCCGAGCCAGCGCGCTCTTTTCCCGGAGGACCCCACGGAGGGAGAAGTACTCAGATGGTGCCTCCTGGCCCACAGGCACCGCACTCCACAGAGCCAAGCTCGGCAAAAATCTACGCAACCCTCAGTACTGCTGCTAAGAAAAGTAAGAATAAAAGCAGATACTATTTCCCATTGAACGAAGTTGGCAAACATTCTTAAGGTTTGACCCAACTGGAAAAGACGGGGAAAGAACTTCCAACTTGTTCAGCCTCTCCAGTAATTGCATTCAGACCCTGAAAACGTGCGTTCCACTTGTAGAAACTCATCCCTAGAAATCAGTCAGAACGGTACACAATTTTACGTGGACTGTTTGCAATATTGAGTTTTAATACCAAATTGGGAGGGCAGCAGTCTAAATGTCCCACCACAAACGACAGGTAGACACACTCGGGTGGGGGGCAGCCCCCGCCCGGCCGCCGCTCCGTCTGGGAGGTGGGGGGTGCCTCTGCCCGGCCGCCAAGTCTGGGAAGTGAGGAGCCCCTCTGCCCGGCTGCCACCCCGTCTGGGAGGTGTACCCAACAGCTCATTGAGAACGGGCCATGATGACGATGGCGGTTTTGTCGAATAGAAAAGGGGGAAATGTGGGGAAAAGAAAGAGACATCAGTTTGTTACTGTGTCTGTGTAGAAAGAAGTAGACATAGGAGACTCGATTTTGTTCTGTACTAAGAAAAATTCTTCTGCCTTGGGATGCTGTTAATCTATAACCTTACCCCCAACTCCGTGCTCTCTGAAACATGTGCTGTGTCCACTCAGGGGTAAATGGATTAAGGGCGGTGCAAGATGTGCTTTGTTAAACAGATGCTTGAAGGCAGCATGCTCCTTAAGAGTCATCACCACTCCCTGATCTCAAGTACCCAGGGACAAAAACACTGCGGAAGGCCGCAGGGTCCTCTGCCTAGGAAAACCAGAGACCTTTGTTCACATGTTTATCTGCGACCTTCCCTCCACTATTGTCCTATGACCCTGCCAAATCCCCCTCTCTGAGAAACACCCAAGAATGATCAATAAATACTAAAAAAATTAAAAAAAAAAAAAAAAGACACACTCGGGCCAGGCGCGGTGGCTCACACCTGTAATCTCAGCACTTTGGGAGGCCGAGGTGGGCGGATCATGAGGTCAGGAGATGGAGACCATCCTGGCTAACACAGTGAAACCCCATCTCTACTGAAAATACAAAAAAAAATTAGCTGAGCATGGTGGCGGGCACCTGTAGTCCCAGCTACTCGGGAGGCTGAGGCAGGAGAATGGTGTGAAACCGGGAGGCAGAGCTTGCAGTGAGCCGAGATCGTGCCACTGCACTCCAGCCTGGGAGACAAAGTGAGACTCCATCTCAATTAAAAAAAAAAAAGAAAGAAAAAGAAAAGACACTCTCGCACCAGGTCATCTCGTTTTGGAAGAAGACAATGGCGCACCAGGCCCATCTCCTGGTCCGTGGTGCAAAGAATTGAGTGCAGCAACTGAGCCATGGACAGAGTTGGTGCCGCCCCGCGGGGAGACCATGGACAGAGTTGGCGCCACCCGGTAGGGAGACAGGGGCCATCACACCCCCATGGGATGAAAGCATTCAAAGGTTTTATTTTGTACTTCATGCTCTATTATCTAAATATATACAGATTACTTTAATAATTAGACGATCATCTTTTTATGTCCTTGACAAGACAGGAAGCAGCCTCTGCCCTCTCGGGAGGGGCCTCACCTGCTCCAGGGGACTCAGGCGTTCCTTCCTCAGCTCCAGGCTGTCACAAACCCCTCATCCAATGCCTCCAACTGCCCCACAAAGGAAGCTTCTCTCCTCCCACTTCTCTGGGAAAGAAGCTGTGCAAGTTGCAGCTACACACCCGAGTGAAGGTGACGCTGCATGAGGCACTGACCGTATTCCCAACCACAACCACCGAAAGGTTTTAGGACCAGCTTTCGACTTTCACTATTGCAGAGGGGGAAAATGTCAACTGTTCTGACTTAGTAAACTACATACATACTTAAAATCACATGTCATGTAAAATACTGATTAGAAATATTGCTTTCTTCCTTCTTGCATCTCATGAAACAGGTTCGCTCAGTCTATACACACATCCTTGGTATCTTTCCAACACCGCAGGCCTGCTGCGCTCAGCAGAGAAAACCACCTTCCCCTGTCTGGGGCACACGGGGGGTGCAGTTAATACAGGACGTTGGGGGATTTTCATCCCCAGTCACAGAGGCCCAACACCACCCATCATCTCCATGGGAGACGGCCCGAGATGTTTCTCATAACTGCCACCCCATCCCTGTGCAGGGGCTGCACCCCAGGGATGACAGCCACGCCTCTTCCAGACCTGCACTCCTGTCGATGGGCCTGTCAGGTGACCCCCACCAGCACCCCAAACCACCACTGAGGGTGGTCATTTCAGGGTCAGAGGTCTTCTGTGCCCAAACACTGCTGCACACTCCCTCAGAGAAAGCCACAGAGTCCAAAGACTTCCCGGGGTCCTTCGTCTGAGGACTGAAGACGCACATGAAACACGTACCCAAACAAACCCCTCTCAGAACCCACCAGCCACACACCAAGAAATGTGCCATGGAAACTTACCTGGACACAAGGACAGCAGCTGCATCTCGGGCCTTGTCACTGACAATCAAGTAGGACTGCAAGAAAGGGTGAAGCACAGACACGGTCACTCCTGCACACGCCAGCCTTGGGGACACCACACAGTCACCAGTCCCACCCTCACCAGCTCCCCGAGGGCCCAGGTTCACAAACCTTACCAGCACAGGCCTAAGTCCAAAGCTGCAAAAAAAAACCTCTCTTCAATCTGAGCCAAGGGCTACAGCTGCCAACTGCTACACTCACCCAGGAAGTGCCTGAGCTACACAGAGCATTTGGTCACACCCCCTTGAAACACACATTTGCAAGAACAGAGCAGGAGAATGTAAACAAAGGAGTTACCCAATTGTAACAAAGAATCAAGAGTATTCATTGAGCACCTAATATGCCTTCCAGCACAAGGGAACCATCAGTATTGGAGTATTCAGACTAGATAAGAGGCCCTGTTCAAACTGAAGAGCACCTAGATTTACTACAAATACCTAGTTATTTTTAATTTTTAGTGTTTAATTTTTGGGGTACATAGTAGGTGTATATATTTTTTGTTTTTGTTTTTGTTTTTTTTTTTTGAGACGGAGTCTTGCTCTGTCGCCCAGGCTGGAGGGCCGTGGCGCGATCTCGGCTCACTGCAAGCTCCGCCTCCCAGGTTCACGCCATTCTCCTGCCTCAGCCTCCCCAGTAGCTGGTCTTAGGGTTTTTTTGCTGTTGTTTTGAGACCGGGTCTCGCTCTGTCACCCAGGCTGGAGTACAGTGGTGTGAGCAAAGCTCACTGTAGGCTGGGCACTGCGGCTCACGCCTGTAATCCCAGCACTTTGAGAGGCTGGGGCAGGCGGATCACCTGAGGTCAGGAGTTTGAGACCAGCCTGGTCAATATGGTAAAACCCCGTCTCTACTAATGACACAAAAATTGGCCAGGCATGATGGCACATGCCTGTAATCCCAGCTACTCAGGAGGCTGAGGTGGGAGGATTGCTTGAGCCTCAAAGGCAGAGGCTGCAGTGAGTTGAGATTAGACCACTATACTCCAGAATGGGTGACAGGGCAAGACTCCATCTCAAAAAAAAAAAAACTCACTGCAGCACCAACCTCCCCAGCTCAGATGACCCTCCCACCTCAGCCTCCAGAATAGCTGGGACCAAAGGTGTGTACCACCACACCTGGCTAATTTTCTTTTATTTTTTGGTAGAGACTGAGTCACATTATATTGTCTAGGCTGCTCTCAAACTCCTGGGCTCAAGCTATCCTCCCACCCTGGCCTCCCAAAGTGCTGGAATTACAGGCATGAAACCTCCACGCCCAGCTAGATTTATTTTTCGGAGGGCTGCCTTAAAATGTTTCCAATGCTTGTCTCGGTTTTTTTTGTTTGTTTGTTTGTTTTTTCCCATAACGATACACTTAGAAGATCTTTTTTTCTGGGGCAGGCTTTTTTTTTTTTTTTTTTTTTTGAGACGGAGTCTTGCTCTGCTGCCCAGGCTAGAGTGCAGTGGTGCAATCTTGGCTCACTGCAACCTCTGCTTCCCGGGTTCAAGCAATTCTCTGCCTCAGCCTCCCAAGTAGCTGTTCATTTGTAAGAGAACAGTTGAATAAATATGAAAGGATCACAGGCACTAGCCACCATTCCCGGCTAATTTTTGTATTTTTAGTAGAGATGGGGTTTCACCATCTTGTCCAGGCTGGTCTTAAACTCCTGACCTCGTGATCCACCTGCCTCGGCCTCCCAAAGTGCTGGGATTACAGGTGTGAGCCACCGTGCCCGGCCTCCGGGGCAGGCTTTCTAACGGCAATCACAGAGTGCCAAGTCTTGACAAACCATGCTCCCTTGACCTGGCAGTCCCTCTCCACAGACAAGTAAACAAGGGTGGGTAAACCATACTACTTTTTTTTTTTTTTTTTGAGACGGAGTTTCACTCTTGTTGCCCAGGGTGGAGTGCAATGGCGTGATATCGGCTCACCACAACCTCCGCCTCCCAGGTTCAAGCGATTCTTCTGCCTCAGCCTCCTGAGTAGCTGGGACTACAGGCACGTGCCACCACGCCCAGCTAATGTTGTATTTTTAGTAGAGACAAGGTTTCTCCATGTTGGTCAGGCTGGTCTCGAATTCCTGACCTCAGGTGATATGCCCACCTTGGCCTCCCAGAGTGCTGGGATTACAGGCGTGAGCCACCGCACCCAGCCCATCACCACACTACCTCTAACGTAACAAAACAAGAACAAACAAAACATCCATCTATCAGAGAGAATTTTAAATTAGATTACAATGGAGTACCTTTTCCCTTAACGATTATGAGGGGGACACTTTCTGACATCGTAAGACACTAAGAACGTGTTGCTGAGGGTAAAAAGGACTCAGAACAGCAGGTCATGGGGCAATGCTGAGCCCTGATGAAGAGCACAGACTCCAGATAAACCGCCTGGATTCAAACATGGATCCACCATTTATGAGCAAAGTAAACTAAGTTATTAATTTTTATGCCTGTTGCCTTCTCGGTTAAACGAGGGTAAGAATTGTCAACAGCCTCATGAAGGAGAATTCAATGATTATTAATCACAGTTAATTAATCACTGATGATCTATCAATCATCAACGTATAGGTTAAATTTTTTTTTTTTTTTTTTTGAGATGGACTCTCGCTCTGTCACCCAGGCTGGAGTGCAGTGGCGTAATCTCAGTTCACTACAATCTCCACCTCCCAGGTTCAAGGGATTCTTCTGCCTCAGCCTCTTGAGTAGCTGGGATTACAGGTATGTGTCACCAGGCCCAGCTAATTTTTGTATTTTTAGTAGACACAGGGTTTCACCATGTTGGCCAGGCTGGTCTCGAAGTCCTAACCTCACGTGATCTGCCCGCCCCGGCCTCCCAAAGTGCTGGGATTACAGGAGTGACCCACCATGCCCAGCCCAATGTATAGGTTAAATTATTAATCCATAAGTGATTAAAGATTAATCTATGAGTGTTTGAACGGTGCCAGGCACACAGCAGGCACTCAGTGAATGCTGACCAGGGCTGTCGCAGTCAGCGTGGCAGGAAGACCGAGACAACTGAGATGGCTCAGAGCCTGACAGCCTCCTAGTGCTCGCTTGCGTAGGCTGGACTCGGTGACTTGCTGCTAACCACAGGATCTGGCAGAGGAATGGGACGTCACTTCCATGATCAGGTAACATATTATCATGACTTCCATCTCATTAGCAGAGTTTCTCCCTTGCAGGCTTTGATGGAATAAGTCACTAAGTTGGAGGGGCCCAGGTGGCAAAGAACTGAGGGTGGCCTCAATCCAACGGCCTTGGGGCAAAGCCTGCCCATGTCGAGTTTTAACTGCAGCTGTGGGCAAGCTTGACACAAAGGACCCAGCTCAGCCATGCCAGACTCCCGACCCACAGAAACTACAAGAGGATAAATGTGTGTCAAACACTCAAGTTTGGGGTAATTAGTTATGATCCAATAGATAACTAATACAATAAGCTGTGTTTATATGCATAATATTTACATCAGGAAAAGTTCGGAGAAAATAAACAACTTATCTCTTGGCACTAGAATTTCATAAATTTAAATTTAGTATTTTTCTTGCTTATCTTTATTTTCTAGTTCTCCTACAAATGAGCATCTATTATTTATATAACGTTAAGAACTAAATGTAAAATGGGTCCTTATTCTCTCTCACCATGCCACTAAACCCTTCCTTATCTGCCATGATTACCCTCAACAGAGTATTTGCATCATCTACAAAGAAATGAGATTTGCTAACTCAACCTGACCCCTACATGAATTATCACAATTTCAAAATAAGTTATCCTATGGGATTTTACCCCACTGAAAAAAACAGCAGTTGAATACATATCAGAAGCTTACCGAGTAAACCACTAACATCAAGACAGCATGAACATGAAAGTGAGTACTAATTAGCAGCTAATTATCTGCATGATATTTACCTCTGCTATTTGGAGAATACGGTCCATTATGGACATTCGTGCTTGCCCAGGCTGGGTGAGGAGGTTCCCGTCAAGGCGAGAAAAATCAAAAGGGATCAGGCAGGTCACGGAGAGCCAGAGCAAAAGCATGTAGCGGGTTTCCCAAGCCTAAAAAATTAAACCACGGGAAGAATGAGTCTTGCTTGAAAATCACAGGCCACTGGCCACAATCTACTCAAAGTCACTGCCCTCCATGCCCACCCAATGCCTATGAAAGCCATTCAAATGCCATCACCCTCAGGGCCAGAAATGCAAGCCGTTCACCAACTCCTCGCCACATCCCCCCCGGAATCCCCACCACACACACCTACCGCCGTAACTTAGCTCAGCAGACAAGAGAGACATCAAAATGAACAAAGAAAAATCATAATACATCAGTATAGCAGCTTCTCTTCGCTGGCACCTCTCCACATACAAACTGGCCTTTTGAAAAAGTGAAAAACAGATAAAAAGTAAAAACACCTAAGAATAAAGAAAAAAGGCCAGGTGTGGTGGTTCACACCTGTAATCCCAACACTTTGGGAGGCCGAGACGAGCGGATCACCTGAGGTCAGGAGTTCCTTTTTTTTTTTTTGAGATGGAGTCTCGCTCTGTTGCCCAGGCTGGAGTGCAGTGGCGCAACCTCGCTCACTGCAAGCTCCACCTTCCGGGTTCACGCCATTCTCCTGCCTCAGCCTTCTGAGTAGCTGGGACTACAGGCGTTTGCCACCATGCTAGGCTAATTTTTGTATTTTTTGTAGACACAGGGTTGCACCGTGTTAGCCAGGATGGTCTCGATCTCCTGACCTCGTGATCCGCCCACCTTGGCCTCCCAAACTGCTGGGATTACAGGCACGAGCCACCGTGCCTGGCCGAGGTCAAGAGTCCTAAACCAGCCTGACCAACATGGAGAAACCCTGTTTCTACTAAAAATACAAAATTACCCTGGCGTGATGACACATGCCTGTAATCCCAGCTACTCAGGAGGCTGACACAGGAGAATCGCTTGAACCTGGGAGACAGAGGTTGCAGTGAGCCAAGATTGTGCCATTGCTCTCCAACCTGGGCAAGAAGAGTGAAACTCTGTCTTTTTAAAAAAAAAAGAATAAAGAAAACAATTATCAACTTCTAATAAAAAAGGAGTACCCTTATTTTCAGTAATTAGTAAAAAACATCCCAATTTGTCCCTGCAATCATTCCACTGGGGGGCGCTAGAAGTACTAGGGAAAGAAGGGCACGGAGTGCAGGGCAGCAGGGAAATGCCCCACAGCGCTCATCAGTCACATCCACGCCGAGACAAGCCACCGCACTGCACGGTTATAAACCGTGTGCTCCTCCAAATACATACCACGCAGAAGACAGCGAGCATAGCAGGCCCCGCTGCCGTCTGAGGCAAGGCCCCTGACGAGGCCGGCCCTGGGCTGGTATCCAGGGACCTGGACACCAGCAGGGTTCCCACCAAGCCCTGCCTGATGAGGTCCCTCGCTGGCTCAATCTGCACAAACCGTGTGCTTTACGCTGGCACCTGCTTTCCTGCTGGGGGTCTGGAATTTCGTTTCGTGCCAGGCAGAGGTGTCCATGTGGCCAGACCCCAGTGAAAGCTCTGGGCACCAAGTCTCAAACGTGCTTCTCTGATAGACACCTCACAGGTGTGGTCACATCTCACTGCTGGGGGAATGACACAGGCCCTGTGGGACCCAACTGGAGGACCCCGGGAGCTCCCGCCTGGTTCTCCCCAGACCCCACCCATGTGCCTTTTCCCTTTGCTGATTTTGCTGTGTATTATTTTGCCATAACAAGTGACAGCCAAAAGGAGGACTCTATGCTGAGTGCTGTGAGTCCCGCTCAGGAAGTATCAAACCTGGGGGTGGTCTTGGGAACCCAACACAGTTATACTTACACAGTTAAAAAAACATAGAAACAATGACGGATTTATTGTTAAACTACACCTAGGCATAATTTTTTTTATAAAGGGGCTATTTTAAACGAAAATAATTTAAAGCAACTTGTACAAGAAGTAAAGGAAAAGTGAAAAGAAAAGAAAGAAAAGAGGAGTGACACAAAACAAAGGGAGATAAAATGAAAGAAACAGGAAGGGGAAGGTGCAGCAGGGTGGGGCAAGCAGGGAGGAAGGACAGGCACGGAGGGCTGGAGACGAGGGGGGAGGCAGAGACACTCACTTCATGGTCCTTGGGATTCTGAATTGTGACCAAATCTAAAACAGGCTCTACATCGGCAACTTCATGAGGAAATAAACGAAGAAATGTTTTATAGCCTCGAACCTATCAAATAAAGAGATGCTGAATTATAACATTTAAAAATACAGAGAGCAGCAAAATTGCCTTTCTACCCTTTCATCAAAAATCACCAGCTACGCGACCCACTGATCAAAGAGAATTCTGTGACATTACAGTGACACAATTTAGTAAGACCGTAGTCACCCCAAGAAAGCTACCCATGGCCAAGAGCGATGGCTCACACCCGTAATCCCAGCACTTTGGGAGGCCGAGGCAAAAGAATAGCTTGAGACCAAGAGTTGGAGACTAGCCTGGGCAACATAAAAAATTAAAAATTAGACAGGATGGTGGCACATGCCTGTAGTCTGAGAGGATGAGGCAGGAGGGAGAATCATTTGAGACCAAGAGTTCGAGGCTGCAGTGAGCTGACTGCATCACTGCACTCTAGCCTGAGTGACAGAGCAAGACCCCATCTCTCAAAAAAAAAGATTTCCTTCCTAAATTGGTAGTGTTATTCATTACCATATTTACGGAATCAGTCATTAAATATGTTCATTTATATGACTGTCCTCTGACATTTATGAGGAATAAGTGCCTACAAACCGCAAGGGCCCAAATTCATTAACACTTCCCTGAAGCTCAGTGATACCACGCCTTCCGGAGAAATCCTAACCTCAAACAGAGGAGCTACAGAGGCCTGCGTGTCCTTGGCAGCTCACCCGCAGTGTCCTCTCGCTGGCCAAGGACTTTCCCGCCAGACAACAGAAATGCGCCTCGCCACTACGAACCCCAAGCCCCACCCTGAGACGGCTGTGAGTACTTCCATAGTCAAAACTGCCAACAGTGAGCCTCTGGGCCAGCACACAGACACCCGCAAGCTTGTAAGAAAAGCAGACTATGAGCACAGACACCCGCAAGCTTGTAAGAAAAGCAGACTATGAGCAGACACCCGCAAGCTTGTAAGAAAAGCAGACTATGAGCACAGACACCCGCAAGCTTGTAAGAAAAGCAGACTATGAGCACAGACACCCGCAAGCTTGTAAGAAAAGCAGACTATGAGCACAGACACCCGCAAGCTTGTAAGAAAAGCAGACTATGAGCACAGACACCCGCAAGCTTGTAAGAAAAGCAGACTATGAGCAGACACCCGCAAGCTTGTAAGAAAAGCAGACTATGAGCACAGACACCCGCAAGCTTGTAAGAAAAGCAGACTATGAGCAGACACCCGCAAGCTTGTAAGAAAAGCAGACTATGAGCAGACACCCGCAAGCTTGTAAGAAAAGCAGACTATGAGCACAGACACCCGCAAGCTTGTAAGAAAAGCAGACTATGAGCACAGACACCCGCAAGCTTGTAAGAAAAGCAGACTATGAGCACAGACACCCGCAAGCTTGTAAGAAAAGCAGACTATGAGCACAGACACCCGCAAGCTTGTAAGAAAAGCAGACTATGAGCACAGACACCCGCAAGCTTGTAAGAAAAGCAGACTATGAGCACAGACACCCGCAAGCTTGTAAGAAAAGCAGACTATGAGCACAGACACCCGCAAGCTTGTAAGAAAAGCAGACTATGAGACCCCCGCCTAGACCTACTTGCTCAAAATCTATAGCACAGCAAAATTCCCAGGAAATTCATCTGCACATTAAAGTGTGAGAAGCACTTCCATTTCCACAGAGTCTCGCTCTGTCACTCAGGCTGGAGTGCAACAGCATGATCTCGGCTCACTGCAACCTCTGCCTCTCAGGTTCAAGCCATTCTCCCGCCTCAGCCTCCCAAGCAGCTGGGATTACAGTCATGTGCCACCAAGCCCAGCTAATTTTTGTATTTTTAGTAGAGACGGGGTTTCACCATGTTGGCCAGGCTCATCTCGAACTCCTGACCACAGGTGATCCACCTGCCTCAGCCTCCCAAAGTGCTGGGATTACAGGCATGAGCCACCGCACCCGGCCTGCTTTCTCCTTGTAAGAAGTTTTTCTGATTTAGTCTCATCTCCACCCCATTCCCTTCCTAGCTACACAGTGCTTCAATCTATTCAAATGCAAGATGCTGAATATCCTGACACTGTTTCAGCCAAAGAGCCCACATCACTAAATTCTGATCCCCAACATACAGTAAAAAGGGACAGAATTAAACCCACAACTTGTGTCTAAGAACTATCTTTCTTGAGAAATAACATTTTGGAGGGTAACCTCTGGACCAAGTATATTACAAAAGTATCTGTCAACTCTGAAGTGCTATGGAAATGTTACCTTGGTGATGATGTAAAGAAATTTAAAAGCCAGATGTACAAGGGAAGCTGGAGATGTCTGATCTTGCACTATGTCCAACAACAAGTTCATCATCCATTCTAGGGAAAAACATAGGAAACATTTACTGTAAAAGTGAACATCAACATGACATTGAGGCCGGCCAGGTGTGGTGGCTCATGCCTGTTTTCCCAGCACTTTGGGAGACCAAGGTGGGAGGATCATTTGAAGCCAGAATTTCAAGGCGGCAATGAGCTATGATCCTACTATTGCACTCCAGCCTGGGCAACAGAGCAAAACCCGTCTCTTTTTTTTCTTTTTTTTTGAGACAGAGTCTTGCTCTGTCCCCCAGGCTGGAGTGCAGTGGCGTGATCTCAGCTCACTGCAACCTCCACCTCCCGGGTTCAGGCTATTCTCCTCCCTCAGATTCCCAAGTAGCTGGAATTACAGGCACGCGTCACCACGCCTGGCTAATTTTTGTATTTTTAGTAGAGACGGGGTTTCACCATGTTGGCCAGGCTGGTCTCGAACTCCTGACCTCAGGTGATCCACCCACCTCGGCCTCCCAAAGTGATGGGATTACAGGTGTGAGCCCACCGCACCTGGCCCAAAACCCTGTCTCTTAAAAAACAAAAACAAACAAAAAGACATAGCTAGGTTAAACGTAAGCAAAAGGAAAAAGATATTCCAACCAATCACAAATCATAAAAGAGCTGGAGTGGCTCTGTTAATATCAGACAAAGTAAATGTCAGAACAAGCATTACCATCAGAGATAAACAGAATGTTTCATGATAATAAAAGGATCAATTCATCATGAAGACTTAACAATTCTGTAAGTATACACACCAACCTACAGAGCTTCAAAATAAGCACAGAAGAAGCTGAGAGAAATGAAAGGAGACACGGTTGAAAACTTCGACACTCCTGTTTCAGGAACTGATAGAACAAGTAAGAGAAAATCGCTGAAACCTAAACAGCACTATCACCCACCTTACTTACGTGACATTTAGAGAACAATCTACCCAACAACAGAACAGACATTTTTCTCAAGTGCACGCGGAATGTTCAACAAAACAGACCATACGCTGGGCTGCAAGTCTTCATACATGGAAAACAACTGCAACTGGCATCCGGGAAACGCAGAGAAGGACACAACGAGATACACTCCCTGAAATCAGAGAGACTGGCAACGCTGAGTGCTGAAGAGAACCCAGAGCAGCTGGAATCCTCATACCTTGTTGGTAGAAATGGTCAACAGTACAATCTTCATGGCATCAGTATGGCAGGTGATGAGTCACACACTTTTTTTTTTTTTGGAGACAGAGTCTCACTCTGTGACCCAGGCTGGAGTGCAGTGGTGTCATCTCAGCTTACTGCAACCTCTGCCTCCCACATTCAAGTAATTCTCGTGCCTCAGCCTCCTGAGTAGCTGGGACTACAGGCACCTGCCACCACACCCGGCTAATTTTTTGTATTTTAGTAGAGATGGGGTTTTACCATGTTGCCCAGGCTGGTCTTGAGCTCCTGAGCTCAGGCAATCCACCTGCCTCAGTCTCCCAAAGTGCTAGAATTACAGGTAGGAGCCACCGCGCCTGGCCAAGTCATACACTTTCTACAAGTAAGACACTTTCTGCTACTCAGCAATTCCACACATGCGTATTTTCCCAAGAGAAAATAAAACCTCTGTCTACCTAAAAACTTGTACATAAACATTTTCACAGTAGCATTACTTTTTTTTTTTTTTTTTTTGAGACGGAGTCTCGCTCTATCACCCAGGCTGGAGTGCAGTGGCAAGATCTCGGCTCACTGCAACCTCCACCTCCCGGGTTCAAGCAATTTTCCTGCCTCAGCCTCCCAAGTAGCTGGGACTACATGCGCACACCGCCACACTGGGCTAATTTTTTGTATTTTTAGTAGAGATGGGGTTTCACCGTGTTAGCCAGGATAGTCTCAATCTCCTGACCTCATGATCTGCCCACCTCAGCCTCCCAAAAAGTAGCATTATTAATAACAGCCAAAAACCGGAAACAACTCAAATGTCCATCAACAGATAAAAGAAGAAACAACCCCAGCACTTTGGAAGGCTGAGGCGGGCGGATCACGAGGTCAGGAGATCGAGACCATCCTGGTTAACAAGGTGAAACCCCGTCTCTACTAAAAATAAAAAAAAAATTAGCTGGGTGTGTTGGCGGGCACCCGTAGTCCCAGCTACTCGGGAGGCTGAGGCAGGAGAATGGCGTGAACCCGGGTGGCAGAGCTTGCAGTGAGCCGAGATCGCACCACTGCACTCCACCGCACTCCAGCCTGGGCAACAGACCAAGACTCCATCTCAAAAAAAAAAAAGAAGAAACAAATTGTGATTTATCAGCACGAGAGAAAACGTACAAACTACTGATACACACACCAACAATGGTAAGTCCCGGAGATGTTATTTTAACAACGGAAGACAAAAAGAGCACATACTGAATGATTCTAGAACAGGCAAAACTAATGAACAGTACCATTAACCAACAGTGGTTCCCTAGGGCTGGGGTGAGGGGACTGACAGCAAAAGGACATCAAGTAACTCCTTGGGATGACAGAAATGTTCCATATCTTGATAGCGCGGGGTGTATACATTTACCGAAACTCAAACATCTTACTAAAATGGGTGCATTTTATAGTAGGTAAATTTTAAACTCAATAAAATTAAAACTCAATAAAATGTTCTAAGAATAAAAATTTATAATCGTGGATAAAGAGTAGCATTATTTACAAACCATATAATATTTACCTGCTAAGAAAACCCAGAAGAAACAACTGGCCGGGCACGGTGGCTCACGCCTGTAATCCCAGCACTTTGGGAGGCCGAGGCAGGTGGATCACCTGAGGTCAGGAGTTCAAGACAAGCCTGGCCATCATGGTGAAACCCTGTCTCTACTCAGAATACAAAAATTGGCCAGGCTAATTTTACAGGTGGCGCCTGTAATCCCAGCTACTCAGGAGGCTGAGGCAGGAGAATCGCTTGAACCCAGGAGAAGGAGGTTGCAGTGAGCCAAGATCACGCCATTACACTCCAGCCTGGGTGACAGAGCAAGACTTTGTCTCCAAAAAAAAAAAAAGACTGAAAAACTATTGAAGTAAACATTTCATCACACAGTGAACCTCATAGACATGATGCTAAGTGAAAAAAGCCAGTGCCAAAAGACCTCCTACTGCATGATTCCATCACACAAAATGCTGAATACACACAAACCCAGAGCCAGATGAGTGGTTACTGCGGAAGCAGAGAATGGGAAGGAATTGTTGATGGGAGTTGGGTTGCTTCAGATGATGAAAATGCCTAGATTGTGGTAGTGATAGTTACACAACTCTGTAATACACTAATACACTAACACTAAAATGTATATTTAGAAGAGTGAACTCTATAGTATGTAATTATATCCCTATAAAGATGTTAAGAAATGTATGTTTACACATACATATTCCATTACAGTGTTGCCATTTACAAAAACAGTATACAAAACATATCTTCACTAGACATCAGCAATAACTAGTTAGAACACATAACAAATAGTTTCACAAGAGCAATAAAAGACAAAACATACCTAGAAATAAACCTAAAAAAAAGTCTCCAGGAATCATCTAAAGAAAATCACCAACCTTCACTGAGGAACACAAAAGATGTGAATAATTAGAGACATAATACCATGATCTTAGACATGAAAATTAAATCTTAGAAAGACTTCTCCCCTACATGAATTTGTGAATTTAATAGAATTCCAAAGGGTGGAGAGTGATAAAATAATTCCGGAGTTCATCCGCATTAATGAACGGGCTACAAAACCATCAAGAAAATAAGAGGAAAGGATGCCAGGCAAAATATAAACTAACATCAAACAAAATGACCCAGGCCAGGCGTGGTGGCTCACGCCTCTAATTCCAGCACTTTGGGAGGCCAAGGCGGGCAGACTGCTTGAGGTCAGGAGTTCGAGACTATCCTGGCCAACATGATGAAAACCGTTCTCTACTAAAAATACAAAAATTAGCCAGGCGTGGTGGCACATGCTACTCGGGAGGCTGAGGCAGGAGAATCTCTTGAACCTGGGAGGCGGAGGTTGCAGTAAGCCAAGAACACGCCACTGCACTCCAGCCTGGGTGACAGAGCGAGACTCCATCTCAAAAAAAAAAAAAAAACAAACAAACGAAATGACCCAGAAAAAAGAGCATACAGATAGGTCAATGGAACAGGATAAAAAATCTAAAAGCAAAGGCTAATATATTTGAATATTTAATATAGATTTAAAATGGCATTTCAAGTAGGGGAGAGGCCACTAAATCATCCAATAAATGAGGCTTACATAACTGATTAGGAAAAATAAACTTTCTAACCGTACTACCAAAGGCCAAACACAAAGAAACTGATAGTTTGACAAGCTAAATATTTCTAAAACTTCAGTAGAGACTGGGTGCAGTGGCTCACACCTGTCATCCCAGCACTGTGGGAGGCCAAGGCAGGATTGCTTGGGGCCAGAAGTTCGAGACCAGCCTGAGGAACACAGCGTGACCCTGACCCTGCAAAAACAAAATTTTTTTTTTTTTGAGACAGTCTGGCTCTGTAGCCCACGCTGGAGTGCAGTGGCACGATCTCGTTCACTGCTACCTCCGCGTCCTGGGTCCCAGTTCAAGCAATTCTCCTGCCTCGGCCTCTCAAGTAGCTGGGATTACAGGCATGCTTCACCATGCCCAGCTAATTTTTGTATTTTTAGTAGAGACAGGGTTTCACCATGTTGGTCAGGCTGGTCTTGAACTCCTGACCTTGTAATCCACCCGCCTCGGCCTCCCAAAGTGCTAGGATCAGAGGCATGAGCTACTGCGCCTGGCCAAAAAAAAAAGTTTTTTAATTAACTAGGCATGGCAGCTTGTGCCTGTTGTCCCAGCTCTGCAGGAGGCTGAAGTGAGAAGATCACTTAATCCCAGGAGCTCAAGGCTGCAGTGAGCTATGACTGCGCCACTACACTCCAGCCTGGGTGACAGAGCGAGATCCCATCTCTTTAAAAAAACAAACACGAAAAAACTTCAGTAGATAAAATACACCAGACACAATATTAAAAGGCAAAAGCAGGCCGGGCACAATGGCTCACACCTGTAATCCCAGCACTTTGGGAGACCAAGGTGGGCAGATCACGTGGGGGTCAGGAGTTTGAGACCAGCCTGGCCAACATGGTGAAACCCTGTCTCTACTAAAAATGCAAAAAATTAGCCAGGCGTGGTAGCACACGCCTGTAATCCCAGCTACGCTGGAGGCTGAGGCAGGAGAATCGCTTGAACCCTGGAGGCAGAAGTTGCAGTGAGCCAAGATTGGGCCACTATACTCCAGCCTGGGCAACAGAGAGACTACATCTCAAAAAAAAAAAAAAAAAAGAAAAAAAAAAAAGCAAAAGGGTGGAAAAATGTGCAACAAATGACAAAGGACCAGCATCCCACGACTACATTTTCCTTTTTCTAAAAAGGAATTCCAGAAAATAATGAACTCAGCTGGGCACGCTGGCTCACACCTGAAATCCCAGCACTTTAGGAGGCCAAGGTGGGTGAACCGCTTGAACCCAGAGGTATGAGACCAGCCTGGGCAACACGGCAAGACCCCTTCTCTACAAAAAAAAAAATTTATTTATTTATTTATTTTTTTTTTTTTTTTTTTCCGAGACGTTTTCGTTCTTGTTGCCCAGGCTGGAGTACAATGGCACGATCTTGGCTCACTGCAACCTCTGCCTCCTGGGTTCGGGCAATTCTCCTGCTTCAGCCCCAAGTAGCTGGGATTACAGGCGTGCACCACACGCGGCTAATTTTTGCATTTTTAGTAGATACGGGGTTTCACTATGTTGGTCAGGCTGGTCTCAAACTCCTGACCTCAGGTGATCCACCCGCCCCGGCCTCCCAAAGTGCTGGGATTACAGGCATAAGCCACCACACCCGGCGAAAAACAGTTTTTGCAAAGAAAGAAAATAACTCTAAAAATCATTCGCAGTACTCTAAGCAGCTCACAACAAGTGTTAATATTCCATGATCCACTCTGGAAAGAGGTCTGGCAAGAATAAAGGCATTTAACTACAGGTCCAACGTTGTTACTTGAAGAGATATAAAAACACCACCCGCTACCTTGTGAGCAGTGACCACATCTGTTTCCTGGGAACCAGCGCTCACACACAGGAACTCCAGGAACCCAAGACCTCCTATAAGATATGGCCTGGGGAGCCCACTGCCTGCCACGCCATCCAGCATGGCTAGCCCCTCCACCAGATGTCAGAGTCATGTTCCCTGCAGCTGACCCTCTCCCAAGGACCTCTATCTTTGGTCTCCTTCACAAGGCCTATAAATTTTTCTAGGACAGAAGGACAAGTCTGATCCCAATGAATTCTTGAATCCCGAATTTAGAGGGTTTTTTTTGGTTTTTTTTTTTTTTTGAGATGAAGTCTCACTCTGTCACCCAGGCTGGAGTGCAGTGACGTGATCTCAGCTCACTGCAAGCTCCGCCTCCCGGGTTCACGCCATTCTCCTGCCTCAGCCTCCCAAGTAACTGGGACTACAGGCAACTGCCAGCATGCCCAGCTAACGTTTTGTATTATTAGTAGAGACAGGGTTTCATCGTGTTAGCCATGCTGGTCTCGAACTCCCGACCTCAAGTGATCCACCCGCCTCCACCTCCCAAAGTGCTGGGATTACAGGCATGAGCCACCACCCCCAGCCAAAATCTGTTATTTGAAGAAAAAAAAACAGAACAAGATGCACAGCACAAACTACTCTTTAAGAGGCACGTGTGCGCACATGAAAGGCTGACCCTTAGTGTCTCTCACACAGATCTCAACACCACGGGGGGCGAGGAAACCCCGGCAAAGAGCAGCTCAAAAACTGAATGGTGAAACTGGGCTATGAAGCCAGGGTGCCCCCACCCAGGGTGCTCCCTCTCAACGTGGTGACTATTGCCACCTTCCTCTTTCCCAGGTGAACTGCCAGAAGCATGTGTCACATTTGTAGGTAGAAAAAGAAAAATTTTAATCAGTGTGAAATACATCAAAAATAAAGAAAACAATAAGAAACCACACCCCTTACACTAAAGTAAGAAAACCGAGCCTCAGTGTCCCCATCTGTAAACTGGAGATGACAACAGATGCCCTCCTTAGCTGCTGTGAGGATTAAATGATGACCCATGTAAAACACCTGACCCTGTATGACTATTACCAGAAAAACATCATGTGCCCAAATGTAAACTAAAATAATAAACTAATGTAAACTAAAAACACTTGAGGAGGCCAGGCGCGGTGGCTCACGCCTGTAATCCCAGCACTTTGGGAGGCCGAGGCAGGCGGATCACGAGGTCAGGAGATCAAGACCATCCTGGCCAACATAGTGAAACCCCGTCTCTACTAAAAATACAAAAATTAGCTGGGCATGGTGGCGCATGCCTGTAATCCCAGCTACTCGGGAGGCAGAGGCAGGAGAATCCCTTGAACCAGGGAGCTGGAGGATGCAGTGAGCTGAGATCGCGCCACAGCACTCTAGCCTGGAGACAGAGCGAGACTCCGTCTCAAAAAAAAGAAAAAAAAACAAAAAAAACACATGAGGAGCAGATGTTGTTTCCTTAGCAGAAAGGAATTAAGTAGCTCAGACACATCTCCCCCCAGCCTAGAGTGACATCTGGAACTCAAGCCACTATCACAGGTCGGCTAAAACCAACCAGCCAGGCAAGCAAGACAGGGACACTTCTTGGCATTTGATCCTGGCAAAGCACATGCATGTGCCAGCACCACACACCAAGGCCTCCGTGGTCATCTGTAACTGAATGATCAAAATCAGCAGCTTCTATTCTTACCAAGGTGCGGGTCCAACAGATGAGGCTGCTCCTGGTATTTGTCCATTATTACTAAAAACAAATATAACATGAAAATTAATTATCACTAGGCCAAACATACCCATGAGCCTCAGAAACCCCATTTTCCCTTGCTAGCTTCCACAGGGCAGCTCCACCTCTTCCCCAGCTCTCAAGAGCACACCTCCCCTCTCACTAAAGGAGGCCACACAGGCCACCTGGAGGGAATGCCCCACCTCCCTCTAGCCTTTTGAGGGCCACTGTGGCCCAGCCTCGTGCAGTTTACTTGCTTGGCACACTGTTCCTCTTTTCCCACTGCCTCGATACTCTTCCTAACAGAGTCTCCTCCTCGCCTCTTCCTTCCTTCACTCTCTCCTGCCTCTGCCAGCCGTTAAGGGCCAAGCTCAACTCTGTCCTTGTGAGACACACATCCCTGGCACTCCTCTCACACTCCCCTGCCAAACATGCCTGTAAACTAAAAACAAAATTCTAAGCCCCCTAGCCATCTAACAGACCCCTCCTCTTGGCCAAGGGCATTCCAAACTTAACCTGAAAAACTAGTTCAGGCCTCATGATATTAAGGGATTGTGGGGAGTGGTCCACATAGGCCTCATTATACCCTCCTCTCGTTGGAATTCAGGCACAGCTGATCAGTATTAGCATTAAAACCGATCTTAAGTAGCAATAAGACACCAAATTCCAGCCTGACTCTAGTACAGCATCACATGACAGACAGCAGGCCCTGAAAGAAATCAAAATATTTTTCCCTAAAATATATTTGACATATTTTGAAATGGTTCTGCTAAGTTGTCTCTTGCTGGGAAAAGCTACATTCTGTAGAGAATCCCTTCCTTTTCTAGGTCTTTTCCCTGATCCAAGAGAAAATTAACTAAGTCTGGTACCTTTTTAGTCTGATGAAAAGCATTTACAATCTATTCTCTCTGAAACCAGCTAACTGGAACCTTCATCTGCATAAGAAAAACCTTGGTCTCCACAATTTATCTTAACCTAGACAATCCCTTCTATGGATTCCAGGTCTTCAGATAAACTCTTTCAACCAATCACCAATCGTGAAATATTTGAATCCACCAATGCCCTGGACGCCCTCCCACCCAAGATGTCCCGCCTTCCCTGACGAGACCAATGTACATCTTACAGGTATTGATTGATGTCTCACGTCTCCCTAAAACGTGTAAAACTAAGCTGTAGCCCGACTTCCTTGGGGACATGTGACCTCCTGAGGCTGCCTCACGGGCACACCCTTAACCTTCTAAACTGATTGAGACTCGTCTCAGATACTTTTTGGTTGACATATCCAGGCACTGCTCCCTTCCACACAGCTGCCAGCTCTTCACAACCTCCCAGACCCTGAACCACCGCTTTCTCCTCCTCTCAGCAGCTGAAACTGCTTCTGTCCAATCCGGCAGCTCCCACCTCCACATCTGAACACACCCACTGCTTCCCAGCAAAACTGCCTTTGCAAAAGTGATCTGTGAGGAAATTATGGCAATGGGGCAGATCTGATCCAGGCAACCCCCTCATGCCTTTAGTCTTCAAGCTGCCAAGCTACCTCTGGGAGACATTTAATTTATAGTTTAAATGCTAAGAGCCCTTCCCCAAAACTCAACTGCCTTTGTAAAGTTAATGAGAGGCCACCAGGCTAGGAGGAGGAGAGGAGCCTGAATTCCGCTAAGGCGTAACCTAATTGCCAGCCATTATTCTTGAGATCACAAGACATGCGAGTTCCCCAGTTACTCCTGCAGACCATGTCACTATTGCAGAACCTGAGACTGGCCTTTAAAGATATCTTTTCAGATTGTTTCCATGTCTGACACCTACACTAGGATCCACGGACCCATGATAGCTCCACCTGGACCCGCCCACTGCTCCTGGGGCCCCACGCAGACGCGATTCAGCACATCACGGAGGATCATTTCCGACTCCCCTATGATTGTATACCCCTAACCAATCAGCCACCCCCACCCTTTCCCCCAGATTACCTCTAAAAAACCCTGGCCCTCAAATTCTCAGGGAGACTGATCTGAGTAATAATAAAACTCCAGCCGGGCGTGGTGGCTCACTTTGGGAGGCTGAGGCGGGTGGATCACGAGGTCAGGAGATCGAGACCATCCTGGCTAACACGATGAAACCCGTCACTACTAATAATACGAAAAATTAGGTGGGCGTGGTGGCGCGCACCTGTAGTCCCAGCTACTCGGGAGGCTGAGGCAGGAGAATCACTTGAACCTGGGAGGTGGAGGTTGTGGAGGTTGCAGTGAGCTGAGATCTCATCACTGCACTCCACCCTGGGGGACAAAGTGAGACTCCGCCTCAAAAAAAAAAAAAAAAACCTCTAGTCTAGTCTCCCTTTCAACCGGCTCTGCGTGAACTAAATCTTCTCCATGGCAACTCCCCTGCCCTGACAAATCAACTCTATCTGGGCAGCCCGCAGAAAGAACCCACTGGGGCCGAGCGCAGTGGCTCACACCTGTAATCTCAACACTTTGGGAGGCTGAGTCGGGCGACCACTTGAGGTCAGGAGTTTGAGACCAGCCTGACCAACATGGTGAAACCCCCTCTACTAAAAATACAAAATTAGCCGGGCGTGGTGGCGCGCGCCTGTAGCCCCAGCTACTCGGGAGGCTAAGACAGGAGAATAGCTTGAACCTGAGAGGTTGAGGTTGCAGTGAGCCAAGATCGCACCACTGCACTGCACTCCAGCCTGGGCAACAGAGCAAGACTTCGTATCAAAAAAAAAAAAAAAAAAAAAAGGAAGAAGCCATTGGGCTGTTACACCAGGAACAAAAAATCTGGCTTCACTGGTCCCTGGATGAGGGTCCCTCACCCTCAGAACAGTTCTGCACGAGAGGCATCGTTATCCGCCCCAGCTTACACCCGAAGAAACAGGCAATCAAGTATCAGGTCCAAGCGACAGGGCCAGAATTCACAGGCAGGAGGATCTGACGCCGAACCCGCACTCCTCCCACAAGGCCCCCCACCCTGCCTGACTCCTAAAATCAAAGCGCTGTCATTCTAAAATGAGGAAGGCCAAATAATGCAAAAGTTCTTCTTACTCAAAGGGTCTACAAAGATGATTTTACTGAATTACAAAACCCCATGTAACTACTTAGCTATGAGCTCCTAAGGACTTGTTTGGAAATAACCCATTATAGACAGCGGTAAAGGTGGGTCTGAACTCGGAGAATTTAGACTCATCGAATGGCCTCCACAGGGGTACCTACACCCCACCCCGCCTGCAGAGGCACGGACCCGGCCAGCCCGCTCTGTCCACGGCGTCCACGGAACGGACAGGCTGCTGCCCTCCCCACCCGAGGCGCGCTTTGTTTGCAGCAGGTTTGTTCCCTGCGTCCCCCTCTCTCATTCCCTATCTCCCTGTCCACACAACATTCACAGAAACCGCGCTCGGTGGAGGCAAGCCTGGGAGTCCACACTGCAGGGCTGACCAGCTGTCCGGAGGGGTCTGGCCCGAGTCTCCCCAGCCCAGGGACCTCCTCCAGTGACGGAGACGGGGGACGGAGGGCTTCTGCACCCCGCCTCCCGGGGAGGCCGCAGAGGCTTCACCCCGTGCGAGAGCAGGCGCTCCGCGGGCCACGGTCCCCCCAAGGGAGGCGCGCGTCTGCCCCGTGCACCTAACGCCGCGCCGGGGTGGCCCTCTCCCGCCTAGGAAGGCCGCGCCCCACCACGGCCCGCGGGACCGCGCACCGGCAGCCCTCGCAGAGCGGCCGGCGCCGCCGGGCTGCGGTCCCCGCCCGGTAAAGTGCACTCAGCGCGCCGAACCCGGGCCGGGGGAGGAAGCGGGCACGCGGCGCCGCCCACGCACCGCGGAACCGCTCCAGGGCCACCTCGCGCTCCGCGCCGCCGCCGTGCACCTCCCGCAGGCGGCCCAGCAGCGCCCGGGTCTCCGCGCTCTCGCCGAACGCTTCCAGCGCCGCGCCAAAGGCCAGTGTCTCGTCCTCCGCCTCCTCCTCGGGGCCGCCCGCGGCCGGTTCGTCGCTCAGGGCCATCTCGGCAGCCTGGGGACCGCGCCCCCGCCTCACGTGTTCGCAGATCCCACTCCGCTAGAGCGCGAAAGCCAGGGATGAAGGATGAGGGATGAAAAGGAGGCGCCCGCTAAGGCGGCAACCGACGCTGGCCCCGCCCCGCGACCTCCGACCCCACTCGCCGGCCTCGCTACGGAACGCGTCGGCCGCCAAAATACCGCGCGCGGGACGGCGCGTGCACTTGAGGACGCGAGCGGGCACGGGTCCCAAAGGCTCTGGAAGAGCGCGCCGTGGACCCCACAGGGCGCGAGCGGAGCCGGGACCGCTCAGCGGGGCCTGAGCACGCGGTGGGCGGGGCAGGACAGGAGGTGGGGCCTGAGACGCGGTGGGCCGGGCTGCGGGGTGAGGCCGCCGCCGGAGGACAGCGGGGCGGAGCCTGAGCAGGCGGTGTGCGGGGGGGCGGGGCTTCGGGATGGGGCCGGGGGCCGCCAGGGCGGGGCTTGAGCACGCGATAGGGGGCGGGGCTGCGCGCAACGGGGGCGGGGCCCGGGCACGCGTGGGTGGGAGGGGCAGGGCTTGCGGTGGGGCCGGAGACAGCGGGGCGGAGCCACAACACGCCGGGGGGCGGGGCGGGGGCGGGGCGGGGGCGGGTGGGACCGGGGGACCGCGGAGCGGGGCGGAGCCTCAGCATGCGTGGACGGGGAGGGGCGGGGCCTGAGCACGCAGTCGGGGGCGCGAGGCGAGCCCCGGGACCCACCCCTCAGAGCCAACCGCCCTGACACTTATTCGCGCCACGCTGGGACCCGCGCGGATCACACGGGCCCCGCGCCGAGTGGTGGCGCGCCCCAGAGCGGGAGCGGGAGCGGGGCCCGGAGGCCGCGGTGGGCGCTGCGCCGACTTTGGCCTTGGCTACCGGGTCCGCGTGCGTTTCCCCTGAATCGCCGCAAAAACGTCCGTGCACAGCTCGCCGTGCGTCTGGCCCTGAAAGCAGCCCCACGAGCGGAGGAACGAGGCGCAGGACGCCAGCCGAGACCCGCTGCGGGCTTTATTGGTCCCCAGGATCTGGGAGGGGTCGGGGGAAGGGGGACAGGGACAGGGGGGACGGGGACGGGGGACGGGGACGGGGGGACGGCGATGGGAGACGGGGATGGAGGATGGGGACGGGGGAACGGAGACGGGGACGGGGCAGGGGGGACGGGGACGGAGATGGGGGACGGGGATGGGGGGTCGGGGACAGGGGGATTGGTATGTGGACAGGGGGACAGGGGGACGGGGGACAGGGATGGAGGGACGGGGACGGGGGGACGGGGACAGGAGGATGGGGGGACGGGGGGATGGAGACGGAGGGACGGGGAGACGGGAACAGGGGGACAGGGACGGGGGCACAGGGACGGGGGACGGGGGGACAGGGACGGGGAGACGGAGACGGGGACGGGGACAGGGGAAGGGAGGGCAGGGGCCGCTACTTGAGCAGCCTTCGCATGGTGCCCAAGGAAGGGCTCCTGTACTCCCGCCCGAAGTGGTTCCAGTGGTTCAGGTAGTTAAACAGCTGGTAGAGCAGCAGCCGCTGGTCGAAGCCCGGAGCCTTGGGGATCTTCCGGTGGTAGGCGGTGAAGAAGGATCTGGGGAACCCCCCAAACATCAAGGCGATTGCCAGTTCAAACTCGGAATGGCCATAGAAGGAAGCCGGGTCGTAAATAATGGGCCCCACGTCGTCCTCAGCCACGTTTCCCGACCAGAGATCCCCGTGGAGCAACGCGGGGACAATCTCTAGGCCACAAAACAGATCCGGGATCTTCACCTACGAGAGCAACGGCTGCAGTTATCGCTGGCCTCTGGGAGCCCCGGTCTCATCACCTCGTTCTTGGAAATAAGGCAAAGCCCACTCGCGATCTGCTTCGGTGTCCAGCCCCAGCACTGCCTGCCAAGCCCAGAAATAGGGGCCACCTGACTTCAGGGGAGTCTAGCTTTGTCTAACTTAGGATTTCCTCCTAATTTAGGTCTAGAATCCCCACACAGTGGAGAACCTCTGAGGTTATAGTTTTAATCGACCCACAGAATAGGAACCAGTGTTGCGCTACCTTAGCAAACTCTGGCCACTTTTATTTCGCTACACATATATGTCTGCAGGTTTTGTTTGGTTTTGTTGTTTTTTTCTTTGAGAGGGAATCTTGCTCTGTCACCCAGGCTGGAGTGCAGTGGCGCCATCTCGGCTCACTGCAACCTCCGCCTCCCGGATTCAAGTGATTCTCCTGCCTCAGCCTACTGAGTAGCTGGGATTACAGGCACCCGCCACTACACCCGGCTAATTTTTGTATTTTTAGTAGAGATGGGGTTTCACCATATTGGCCAGTCTGGTCTTGAAATCCTGACCTCAGGTAAAATCTATCCACCTCGGCCTCCCAAAGTGCTAGGATTACAGGCTTGAGCCACCGTGCCCAGCCTAGTTTCTTCATTAATGAGTTCAAGTCTCTTTGATGTATACTCACTCTGGATTGACATGCACATTCTTTTTTAACATTTTGAGAGTTATATTTTGATTTTTTTTCTTTTTGATACAGGATCTCACTCTGTCGTCCAGGCTGGAGTGCAATGGTGCAATCTCCCCTCACTGCAGCCTCCGCCTCCCGGGTTCAAGTGATTCTCCTGCCTCAGCCTCCTGAGTAGCTGGGATTACAGGCATGCACCACCATGCACGGTTAATTTTTGCATTTTTAGTACAGACAGGGTTTCACCATGTTGGCCAGGCTGGTCTCAAACTCCTGACCTCAAGTGATCTGCCCACCTAGGCCTCCCAAATGCTGCGATTACAGGCGTGAACCACTGTGCCCGGCCGAGAGTTATGTTTTGAAATCAGTCATTCTGGATCATCTGGTACCCACATCTTCCCATGGGAGAGGAACACGATGGAGTGGACAAGTGTTACTGATAGTAAGAACAGTAATCATGGTAAACACCACCATTTACAAGCACCTGTGTTTCACATGAGGAAAGTCTGAGGCTAAATACCTGGTGACCTAGCAGTGGAGAGGGGCACGAGGAGCCAAGTGTGTCTTCACTCCTCACTCCTTTCGGACTCCCTTTTGGGGGAACCCCCGCCCCTGCCCCCCTTCCTCCCTGATGTGTGCTCCAGGACTCAGTGTTCCCTGCTCCAGCTCCGTTTTACAGATGAACCCGCACAAATGCGGCGGGATCATGAGAGGACCAGCTCTTTCCCAGAGAAGTCACTGCCGTGCCCACCTGTAGCCGGGACCAGAGTTCTCGTGCCTCTCGGTCAGCATAGTCCTTCTCAATGAGGTCCAGCTGCGCCTGGAGCCGGTGCCGGGCGAAAAAGGTCGGCCAGTCATCCTGCCACTCATTCACCTGGACAACAAGGGAAAAGAGGCCACTGTTGCAATTCGGAGCCAAGTGCTGCCTAAACCCTAGAGGGACCATTCAAAACCCAGCAAAGATACCTAGTAAGCCAACAAAGGAGGTAAGACAGAAACATAAAATACTCAACCCAGAGGAAGGCAGGTAAAGAGAGAACAAAGGGCAGATGAAACAAAAAACAAATTGCAAGATGACAGACTCAAAACTATATGACTAAGCACATTAAATACGAATGTCAAAAATAAATACTCTTGGTAAATGACAGATTGGCAGGTTGGAAAAATAAAGCAAATCCAACAATAAGTTATGTGCAAAAAGACATTATCTACTAAAAAAAAAAAAAGCTTGAAAGGATAGAAAAGATATACCATGCTAACACTAGTCAAAAGAAAGCTGGAGGCCAGGCACAGTGGCTCACGCCTGCAATTCCCAGCACTTTGGGAGGCTGAGGTGGGCAGATCCCTTGAGCCCAGGAGTTAAAGACCAGTCTAGGCAACATAAGGAAACTCCATCTCTACTAAAAATACAAAATTAGCCGGGCATGGTGGCGTGGGCCTGTAGTCCCAGCTACTTGGGAGGCTGACGTAGGAGAATCGCTTGAACCCACAGGCAAAGGGTGCAGTGAGCCGAGATCGCGCCATTGCACTCCAGCCTGGGCAACAAGAGTGAAACTCTATCTCAAAAAAAAAAAGAAAAAAAAAAAGAAAGCTAGAGTGGCTACATTAATACAAGACAAAGTAGATTTCAAAGCAAAGAAAATCAAATATAGTCATTTCACAAAGGGAGTCGACTAATGAACATAATAATCCTAAATGCCTACACCTCTAATAACACAGCTTCAAAATACGTAAAAGAACTGCAGGAAAAATAGATAAATCCCATATCCTGCTATTGACTCAATGGTGCCCACCCCCGTTCCTACGTTGAAGCCCTAACCCCTAATATACCTGTATTTGGAGGAAGGGCCTCTAGGAGGTAATTAGGGTTAAATAAAATCGTAAGGGTGAATTATTAATCCAATAGGATTAGTGGCCTATAAGAAGAGGAATAGAGTAGGATTTCTCTCTCCATGCAAACAGATCTCAATAAATTGAGAAGAATTTAAGCATGCAAAGTATAATCAAATTCAATTAGAAATCAATAGGAAGGCCAGGCCTGGTGGCTCACGCCCATAATCCCAACACTTTGGGAGGCCGAGGTGGGTGGATCACGAGGTCAAGAGATCAAAACCATCCTGACCAACATGGTGAAACCCCATTTCTACTAAAAATACAAAAAGTAGCTGGGCGTGATGGTGCATGCCTGTAGTCCCAGCTACTCGGGAGGCTGAGGCAGGAGAATCTCTTGAAACCAAGAGGCAGAGGTTGCAGTGAGCTGAGATTGTGCCATTGCACTCCAGCCTGGTGACAGAGCAAGACTCCGTCTCAGAAAAGCAAAACAAAACAAAATCAATAGGAAAAATTCTGGGAAATCCTCAAATATTTTAAAACTAAACACAGTTCTAAAATCTGTTTAAGAAAGATGTCTAAAGGGAAATTAGAAAGTGTTTTCAATTGAATGAAAGCAAAAACACAACTTATAATTTGTGAGATGCCACTAAAGCAGTACTTGGGGAAAATGTGTAGCACTAAACATCTGTGTTAGCAAAGATCTCACAGTAATGACCTCAGCTGCTACATTAACCAACCAGAAAAAGAGCACATTAAACCTAAAGTAAGCAAGAGGCCAGGCGCGGTGGCTCACACCTGTAATCCCAGCACTTTGGGAGGCCGAGGCAGGCAGATCACAAGATCAGGAGTTCGAGACCATCCTGGCCAAGATGGTGAAACTCTATCTCTACTAAAAATACAAAAATTAGCCAGGCGTGGTGGCAGGTGCCTGTAGTCCCAGCTGCTTGGGAGACTGAGACAGGAGAATCGCTTGAACCCAGGAGGCAGGGGTTGCAGTGAGCCAAGATCTTACCACTGCACTCTAGCCTGCTCAACAGAGTGAAACTCCATCTCAACAACAATAAAAAGGATAATAAGGAAATTTTTTTTTTGAGACCAAGTTTTGTTCTTGTTGCCCAGGTGGAGTGCAATGGCACGATCTCAGCTCACTGCAACCTCCCTGCCTCCCGGGTTCAAGCAATTCTCCTGCCTCAGCCTTTCGAGTAGCTGGAATTACAGGTGCCCGCCACCATGCCTGGCTAATGTTTTGGTATTTTTAGTAGAGATGGGGTTTCACCATGTTGGCCAGGCTGGTCTCGAACTCCTGACCTCAAGTGATCTGCCCACCTCGGCCTCCGAAAGTGCTGGGATTACAGGCGCGAGCCACCATGCCCAGCCTCTGAAGGACGCTTCCAAGAAAATACACAAACAACAAACTAGGAGACACTATTCGCAAATCATATATCTGGTAAAACACTCATATCCTAAATACGCAAAGAAATCTCAAAACTCAATAATAAAAAAAAAACCCTATTCACAAATTGGACAAAATAAGTGAACACATGGTTCACCAAAGAAGATATTTTGTCAGCAAACAGGCACACGAATAGATGCTCCACATCTTCAGTCATTATGGAAATGCAAAATAGAACCTCAGTGAGATAATATTTCACGCCCACTAGGATGGCTGTAATTTAAAACAAAAAATCTCAAGTGTTGACAAGGATGTGGAGGAACTGGAACTCCCATATGCTGCTGGTGGGAATGCAACATGGTGCAACCACTTTGGAAAAGAGTTTGGTAGTTTTTTTTTTTTTTTTTTTGAGACGGAGTCTTGCTCTGTCGCCCAGGCTGGAGTGCAGTGGCGAGATCTCGGCTCACTGCAAGCTCCACCTCCCGAGTTCACGCCATTCTCCTGCCTCAGCCTCCCAAGTAGCTGGGACTACAGGCGCCCGCCACCATGCCCTGTTAATTTTTTGTATTTTTTAGTAGAGACGGGGTTTCACTGTGTTAGCCATGATGGTCTCGACCTCCTGACCTTGTGATCCACCCGCCTCAGCCTCCCAAAGTGCTGGGATTACAAGTGTGAGCCACCCCACCCGGCCAGTAGTTTCTTAAAGAGCTAAATATGGACCTACCATATGACACAGTCATCCCCCTCCTAGGTATTTACCCGAGATAAGTGGAAGCATTTGTCCAGACCAAGATTTGTACACAAAGGTTCACAGCGGCTTTATTTGTATGAGCAAAAACTGGAAATGATCCAGAAATCCATCCACATGTGAATGGATAAACAGGCTGTGTTAGATCCGTACAGGGGAATGGGCTTTTGACACATGCAACATGGATGTGTATCACGGATGAATATCAAAGGATTTTAGACTTGGATAAATATCAGCATGATTATGCTGAGTGAGAGTGTGGGGAAAAGCAAGAGAGATCAGATTGTTACTGTGTCTGTGTAGAAAGAAGTAGACATAGGAGACTCCATTTTGTTCTGTACTAAGACAAATTCTTCTGCCTTGAGATTCTGTTAATCTATGACCTTACCCCCAACCCCCTGCTCTCTGAAACGTGTGCTGTGTCAAACTCAGGGTTAAATGGATTAAGGGCGGTGCAAGATGTGCTTTGTTAAACAAATGCTTGAAGGCAGCATACTCGTTAAGAGTCATCACCACTCCCTAATCTCAAGTACCCAGGGACACAAACACTGTGGAAGGCTGCAGGGACCTCTGCCTAGGAAAGCCAGGTATTGTCCAAGGTTTCTCCCCATGTGACAGTCTGAAATATGGCCTCGTAGGAAGGGAAAGACCTGACCGTCCCCCAGCCCGACACCCATAAAGGGTCTGTACTGAGGAGGATTAGTATAAGAGGAAGGCATGCCTCTTGCAGTTGAGACAAGAGGAAGGCATCTGTCTCCTGCCCGTCCCTGGGCAATGGAATGTCTCGGTATAAAACCCAATTGTACCTTCCATCTACTGAGATAGGGAAAAACCGCCTTGGGCTGGAGGTGGGACATGCGGGCAGCAATACTGCTTTGTAAAGCATTGAGATGTTTATGTGTATGCATATCTAAAAGCACAGCACTTGATTCTTTACCTTGTCTATGATGCAAAGACCTTTGTTCACATGTTTGTCTGCTGACCCTCTCCCCACTATTGTCTTGTGACCCTGACACATCCCCCTCTCGGAGAAACACCCACGAATGATCAATAAATACTAAGGGAACTCAGAGGCTGGCGGGATCCTCCATATGCTGAACGCTAGTTCCCTGGGTCCCCTTATTTCTCTCTATACTTTGTCTCTGTGTCTTTTTCTTTTCCAAGTCTCTCGTTCTACCTAACGAGAAACACCCACAGGTGTGGAGGGGCAACCCACCCCTTCATGAGAGAAGCAGACAGAAGACATACCACATGATTCTATTTATATTAAATTCCACAAGATGCAAACTAATCTACAGTGACAACACCAATGAATGGTTGCCCAGGGGCAGGGAAGGGCACGAGGAACCTTTTGGGGGTAATCAGTATACTCACCTTGACTGTGGTAAAGGTTCACAGGTACAAACATCAAAATGTACCAAATTATACATTTTAAATGGGTGCAATTTATGTCAAATTACACCTCTGTAGAGAAAAATACGAAGCTGATTTTATACAAAGGGTTATTTTGTAAAACTCCTTCGGGGAGGACCGCCCTGGTCAGTGGCCCCCACCAAGAATCTCCCTGCACATGGGTGCTGTGGTGACTCGGCCCCTGGGCTCACCCTCTGGTGCTGTGTGCACCTCAAGAGCAGGATGGAAAGGCCCCTCCCCATAGCCTGGCTGTCAGATCCCCAGCTCAGAGGTGCACCGTGCAGCCTCCCGTTATTTCCCATTTGCCTGCCCAAGCTCCCAGCGTCTGAGCTCTGTACTCTTTCCAGAAGACAACCAGGTTTAGTGCTGGAAGCAGGCGACCAGCCTGGGCTAGCCCAGTCCTGCCACCTGAACAGAGGGGCTGTGATCCTCCAAGCTACCCGGGGAAGGTGCCACCTGGGTACACAGCTGGTCCCAATGACCAGGCCTCCCCTGACAGAGGGGCTGCGTCATGGTCAGGGCCTGTGGTCTGAAGCCAGACTGAGGGTCGAAGCCCAGCTGCCCCGCTGACAAGCTCCATGGACCCAGGCATGAACTCTGCATGTCACTTTCCTCATCTATAAAACGGATCAGTGACATTATCTGCCTGGTTACCTGCTAGGGCAAGTGGGTGAGTTGAGTTCAGTGAAGTGCTTAGAAGGGTGCCTGTATGTGGCAGTGTACAGAGCATGGGGCAAGCACCACAGCCGACCCAGCTGGCAGCCCCAGGGGGCCTTAGTGCCCAGGTGTCTGAGGAGCCCGCCGCTCAGCACTGCCCCCCATTGGCTGCAGCACACATTCCCCCAGGACCCATTGAGCCCTCCCAAGGAGTGGGAAGCCTCCGGAACCTGGTGCTGTCCGAGGCACAACAAGCAGGAAGCAGGGCAGGTGTCCTCCCTGGCGCCTCACCCTTCCTAGCCAGGCTGCACCTGATCTGAGGTGGGTTCCTTGATCCTGGAGTCCGAGGGGCATTGAGGGGCTCCCTGTGCTCCAAACAGACTAGCCCCCTTCTCGTCTGCTTCACACACAGGGGCTCTGGGTAAGATTTCACTTCATTTCTTTGAAACACCACTCTGCTGGGCCAGCCAAGTCCTGTAGAGCCCGCCACTTGCAGCCCTTGACCTCAGCATCCACAGCAGGACCACAGGACCACAAGCTGCACCCAGCCGTGCTCACCTGGACAGGTGAAGAGGGTGCTGCTCACTGGCTCCGGACAGGTGTGTGACCCCAGGGGAGCCAGCTGTGGCTGAGATCTCGGGGGTCTCGGTAAATCTGGTAAGCTCCATGTGCAGTTCTAGCGAGCCCAGATGTGAGGACTGCCTGTTGGCTGGGAACCCTAAATCTGCTTGGGCTTCATGAGGATCTTGCCCCAGGTGACCTCCAGCTGGGAGAATCACCCTCTACCCACACCAGGGAGAGCTTGGTCATTGTTCGCAGGGACCCAACTAGTCAGGACGGGCGTCGACAAGGAGACAGATTTGAAAGTATTCTCTCTTCAAGAAGCAGTGACTTTGAACTAGCTCTTATATAATGGGTGCTGTGTTCCTAACAAAACCAAAATATGGTCCAATATTGGCTTCTTCAAGAGAAGCACAGGGCAGTTGGGCTGTCCAAAGTCTTCTTTGGAACTTCACAGATTTCAAAGATGATGGTTCAAGAGGCTCCAGTATTATTCAGCCATAAAAAGGAATATGTAAAGAAACGTGTGGCCTAGCCATAGAATGGAATATTATTCAGCCATAAAAGAATAACATTCTAACACCTGCTACAACATGGAAGAGCTGTGAAACATGATGCTGAATGAAAGATACAAAAGATCACATATTATGTGTTTCCACTCATATGACATATCCAGAAAATTCAAAGAGACAGAAGGTACATTAGAGGTTGCCAGGGACCAGGAAAGGGGGAAATGGGGAGTGACTGCTAATGGGTTCTGCTTTAGGATAATGAAAATGTTCTGGCCAGGCATGGTGGCTCACACCTGTAATCCCAGCACTTTGGGAGGCCGAGGTGGGTGGATCACCTGAGGTTGGGAGTTCAAGACCAGCCTGACCAACGTGGAGAAACCCCATCTCTACTAAAAATACAACATTAAGTCCAGGCGCGGTGGCTCGTGCCTGTAATCCCAGCACTTTGGAAGGCCGAGGAGGGCAGATCACCTGAGGTCAGGAGTTCGAGACCAGCCTGGTCAACATGAAACCCCGTCTCTACTAAAAATACAAAAATTAGCCGGGTGTGGTGGTGCATGCCTGTAATCCCAGCTACTTGAGAGGCTGAGACAGGAGAACCGCTTGAACCCAGGAGGCCGATGTTGCGGTGGGTCGAGATCGTGCCATTGCACTCCAGCCTGGGCAACAAGGGCAAAATGCCGTCTCAAAAAAATAAAAAAGAAAAGAAAAGAAAGAAAATGTTCTGGAGTTAAACAGCAGTGATGGTTGCACACCATCACGAATGTACTAAAAACCAATTAATTCTAATCCTTTAAAATGGTGGATCTTATGTGAATTATATTTCAATTGTATCTAAATAAATAATAATTTGTAAAGGCCTCAGGAGAGGAGCTGAGTAATCAGCACTTAATCCCTGACTTTGCACACTACCCATCACCCACTGTCTCCAGTCCCTCAGACTCATCAGGAGCCTTGTGCAACACAACCTTTGCACTTGAGGCTCGCTCTGCTTGGAATGCTGATCTGCCTGCCCCAGCATGTCCCATGACCCTGCCCAGCTCAGCTCAGTGACCCTCAGCGTCTGCTCTCCCCATTCCAGGTATCACAGCTTCTACTCTGCTTTCAGAAATCAAGTAGTCAATCTTGCTGGTGCTTGGGAGATTAGCATTCTGTCACATATAAAGAGTGGGTGACCAGCATTAGGGCATCAGGGAACACCCTCACCCAGGCACTCACCTGCGGGATGAAGCCGCAGCACGTCACCGTGTGGAAGCCGAACTTGTCCACATACTGAGGCTCAGCACCCTCACCTCTTCGGCCTGTTGACAGAGATCCTTGGCCTGAAGGAGCTGTTTGTCTTTCTCTTAAATGCCAGACCTCAGCAGAGCATCAGTACAAGCCTGGGCTACGCATGCTAGAATATAGGTGGTCTGAGGATGTACTACATACAGTAGCAATTAGTCAATATATGGATCTGCCAGGACACTCCTACCTCAAGCACACTAGACAGCAGGGCTGGGTATAAAAGGGGTTATTATTACCTCAAGCACACCAGACAGGAGGGCTGGGTATAAAAGGGATCATGTGCCAATTCTACTAGCTTATCAGCTACATCAAAATTCTTATTTAATAATCTCATTTTCATAATGTAGTGTAAAGACAGACGGTATACAACTCAACCTATTATTGAAATGCCACCAAGAAGTACCATGAGCACCCATCTAGGGTAGACAATGTGGCTGGATCAAGGGTACCCAAAAGCAATCTGAACATACCCACTGTGTTCTCCTCCTCCTTCAACTTCTCCCTGAGCTTCTGGTTGTAAAGATGCAAATCTGCCATCTGCTCTCCAAGTTTTGATGCTTGACTGAGGAAAGAAGAAATGCAGCTAATTAAAATAACAAATAATAAATAACACCACCCAGTTTGTTCCATTTTGAGAAAGGTTTAAATACATTGAAAACTATTCTCCATTCTTCAAACAGTAAAAAGTGAACACCAGGCAATGACTCTTTCTTTTGCTTTTTCTTTCTTTTCTGGGGCCAGGCCTTGCTCTGTCATCCAGGCTGGAGTGCAGTGGCACAATCATGGCTCACTGCAGCTTTGACTTCTAGGGCTCAAGCAATCCTTCCACCTCAGCCTCACAACTAGCTGGGACCACATGCCTGTGCCACCATTCCTGGCTTTTTTTTTTTTTTTTTTTTTTTTTGTAGAGATGGGGTCTCCTCCTGCCTCGGCTTTCCAAAATACTGGGATTACAGGTGTGAACCACCACGCCCAGCACTGGCAAAGACTCTTTCCAGAAAATAACATCATGTAATCACAAACAGGAATTAACCAAGTGAGCTTCAACAGAAGTCTTAGGAGGTACCAGGAATTAAGGGAGGAATGCTGAGAAAGTAATGATAAGTGAAAATGCAGGGCCAAGCATAGTGGCACAGTGGCTCAGGCCTATAGTACCAGGACTTTGGGAAGCCAAGGCAGGCAGATCATGAGGCCAGGAGTTCAAGACCAGCCTGGTCAATATGGTGAAACCCCATCTCTACTAAAAATACAAAAAATTAGCCAGGCATGGTGGTACACCTGTAGTCCCAGCTACTCTGCAGGCTGAGGCAGAAGAATCATTTGAGCCCAAGAGGCAGAGCTTGCAGTGAGCCTAGACTGCACCACTGCACTCCAGCCTGGGCGACAGAGTAAGACTCTGTCTCAAAAAACAAAAAAAAAAGGAAAGAAAAAGCAAAAGAAAAAGATGGACTGGGTGTGGTGGCTCACACCTGTAATCCCAACACTTTGGGAGGCCAAGGCAGGCGGATCACTGAGGTCAGGAGTTTGAGACCAGTCTGGCTAACATGCTACTAAAAATACAAAAATTAGGCCGGGCGCGGTGGCTCACGCCTATAATCCCAGCACTTTGGGAGGTCAAGGCGGGTAGATCACGAGGTCAGCAGATC
Organism: Homo sapiens; assembly: GCF_000001405.40. Lineage (NCBI taxonomy): Eukaryota > Metazoa > Chordata > Mammalia > Primates > Hominidae > Homo > Homo sapiens. Next base: position 82,739,678 of record NC_000017.11, on the reverse strand, counting down.
GAGACCATCCTGGCTAACATGGTGAAACCCCGTCTCTACTAAAAATACAAAAAATTAGCCGGGCATGGTGGCGGGCGCCTGTAGTCCCTTCTACTCGGGAGGCTGAGGCAGGAGAATGGCGTCAACCCAGGAGGCAGAGTTTGCAATGAGCCAAGATCGCGCCACTGCACTCCAGCCTGGGTGACAGAGCGACACTCCGTCTCAAAAAAAAAAAAAAAAAAAATAGCTGCGTGAGGTGGTGGGGTGCCTGTAATCCCAGCCACTCGCGAGGCTGAGACAAGAGAATTGCTTGAACCCAGGAGGCGGAGTTTGCAGTGAGCCAAGATTGCATCACTGCACTCCAGCCTGGGAAACAGAGCAAGACTCTGTCTTGGAAAAATAAAATAAAAATAAAGTACAAAGCAAATGATGGGTTCAAATATACTTATTTTGGGCAGGTGTGGTGGCTCAGGCCTGTTATCCCAGCACTTTGGGAAGCCGAGGTGGGTGGATCACTTGAAGTCAGAAGTTTGAGACCAACTCAGCCAACATGGTGAAACCCCATCTCTACTAAAAATACAAAAATTAGTCAGGTGTGGTGGTGGACACCTGTAGTCCCAGCTACTCAGGAGGCTGAGGTGGGAGAATCATTTGAACCCTGGGGGCAGAAGTTGCAGTGAGCCGAGATTGCACCACTGCACTGCACTCTAGCCTGGGCAACAGAGCGAGACTGTGTTTCAAAAAAAAAAAAAATATATATATATATATATATATGTGTATATATATATATTTTATGCAGCCTCATTACAGCCAAACTTATCTAGGAAAACCAGTCACATACCAGAAAGCAGTAACTTTTTATCTCCATTAAGAATGGCAGGGTGGAACTCTTGGCCCTGCCTCTGATAACCGGGCAGTTGTGTGGACGGCTCAGCCACAGGCTTCTCCCTGTTTCTGTCTCCCTCCCCATCTCTATCCCTTTCTCTGTCTCTCTCTGTTTGTCTCTGAGTCTCTCTCTGCCTGTACACATGTGCGCATATGGGTCTCACACACACTCACCTGCTCAAGCTCTTCATCTTCAAATGCTCCATCACAAAGGCGGCCCCACCTCCCGGCAGGTCGATGACCTTCATGGGCCTCGGCACCCGCACCAGGCCCGTGCTCCTGAGGGCCTCCAGGCTGGCCACCTCCCCCTCAAACATCTGCCGGGCCTGCATCCAGAACACAGCCTTGTCAGCCTTGTTGACTCAGCCAGGGCCTCTGCCCACTGGGCCCTTGACAGAAGCTACCACGTGGGAGTCACAAGGACCTTCATTCACTGATAGCTGGCTCTGGCTGGGAGCTGGCGTCCACCACAGAGGGCAGGGTGCAGAGGGGCCCCCCGTCGGAGACGAGAGGCTGCAAGGCTGAGGCTGAGCCTGGGCCGTGAGGGGTGTGGGGTCTGCAGGCTGCTGTGACAGGAGGATGCACAGGCCACGTGTGGGTGCCCGGGAGCACTGAGGGCGTGGGGAGGTGTGAGTGAACCAAGGTCCAGAGCTGGACCCCCGGGCTACCCACCTTCCTTGCTGCCTCTTAGGGTGGGGCAGCCACAGCAGAGGCCTCACTGGAGCTAACTTGGGCACACACGTCAGGCAGGGAAGAAGAGGGCTGGGCCCATCAGGCGGGGCCTCAGGTCCAGGGCAGGGGCTGGGAAGGTAAAAGGCACGGCACACCCGGCCGGCCCCCAACGCCTCCCGTGGGACCTGGGCCTTCCTGTTTCTGAAATATTCCCACAAACATTCCAGTTTTCAGTTAGGTGAACACTCACCTCACGTACAGTACACATTGGTTGAAAACATGCATTGACGAACGTGGTCCATGAATACCTTGGCCTATAGAATTGCATGTTTGTTTTGAGACAGGGTCTCACTCTGTCACCCAGGCTGGAGGGCAGTGGCATGATCTCGGCTCACGGCAGCCTCCGCCTCCTGGGTTCAAACGATTCTCCTGCTTCGGCCTCCTGAGTAGCTGGGATTACAGGTGTGGGCCACCCCACCCCGCTGTGTTTTTCTGTATTTTTACTAGAGATGGAGTTCCACCGCCGTGCGTGGTGGCTCGCACCTGTAATCCCAGCACTTTGGGAGGCCGGGGTGGGCGGATCACAAGGTCAGGAGATTGAGACCATCCTGGCTAACACGGTGAAACCTCGTCTCTACTAAAAATACAAAAAATTAGCCAGGCAAGGTGGCGGGCACCTGTAGTCCCAGCTACTCGGGAGGCTGAGGCAGGAGAATGGAGTGAACCGGGAGGCGCAGCTTGCAGTGAGCCGAGATCCAGCCTGGGCGACAGAGCAAGAGTCCGTCTCAAAAAAAAAGAGATGGAATTTCACCATGATGGCCAGGCTGGTCTCAAACTCCTGGCCTCAAGTGATCCACCTTTCCTCAGTCGCCCAAAGTGTAGGACTGCATGTTTAAAAAAATCAAACCTCATGAATGAGACCAAAGCATCTGCTGGTGCACACGAACAGAACGCCCTTTCCTTCAAAGTACCCCAGGGAAAGCCCAGGCACAGCCTCCCCAGCCTGGCAGCCCTGGCCAGCCTGCACCGAGGGTGGGTGTGAGTGTCCACAGGTGGGAGGGCGGCCGGCACACCCCAGCCCTGCTCCAGGGCGAGCCCCCCATGCACCAGGCCAGGAACTCCCGGCCTTGGGGCTGCTAAGCCCCAGGGGCCCCAGCATCACCTGCTCTTATGCATGGACTGAGCAGCTACTATGTGCCGGCCCCTCGTGGGGGTGGGAGGGAAGGAGGGGTCTCACCCTGCAGAGCTTTCAGGACCAGCTGAGGAAGTTTCCCAGAGCCCGTGGGAAGCCTGAACCAAAAACTGCTTCCCTGTGAGTAGGACTCCCCACTTTGAGGGATTTGGTTCTGAGCCGGCAGAGCAGGTGATGCCGGAGGATCCGATCGCACGCCCAGGCTGCATGGCTCTGGTGTTCCTCCTGCCAGCACTCCCCACCAGGACCCCTGCTGCCCCTCAGAGAGCTCCCCCACCAGAGTGTGCAGGGCCTTCTGAGCCCACTCGGGCCGGGAGGGCACCCAGGCCTGCCTTTCTCCACCTGCCGGCTCTCAAGGCTGAAGCTAACCTTCTCCACTTCCTCCGTTAACATTTTCCATACTTTTTTTTTTTTGAGACGGAGTTTCCCTCTTGTTGCCCAGGCTGGAGTGCAATGGCGCGATCTTGGCTCACTGCAACCTCCATCTCCTGGGTTCAAGCAATTCTCCTGCCTCAGCCTCCCGAGTAGCTGGGATTACAGGCCAGTGGCACCACATCCGGCTAATTATTGCATTTTTTGGTAGAGACGGGGTTTCACCATGTTGGCCAGGATGGTCTCGAACTCCTGACCTCAGGGATCCACTCACCTCGGCCTCCCAAAGTGATGGGATTACAGGTGTGAACCACCGCGCCCGGCCTTCCATACATTCTTAAACAGAACTATTTTCAGCAGGAGATAGAAATCAGGTCTAAACACAGACAAGGCCTGTGGGAAGGAGAACGCTGGCCTGGCCCGTGGGGTCCCTGCCAGGGGCCCAGCCATGTCTCTGCTTCTTTCCCACTGCCAGGAGGACGGTGGGCTGAGAGGGGCGGCCCAGAGCTGAGCCAAGGACCCCAAGCCTCACATCCCCCGACGCTTGCTGGATAGGAAAGTTAAAACCACCCCTAGAAGCCTGTGCGCTGCGCATGGAGGCCAAAGGAAGGTCACGGATCGTGCAGACACAAACCTTCACAGAACGCTTGAGCCGGGCTCACCCAGCAGGTGCCACCTCCCAAGGGCCAAAGCTGACCCCTCCCCAGGCCCAGCCCCAGGAAATGCGCCTGCCCCCGACCCCTCCGCCTTCCCAGGCCCCGCAGAGACCCGCAGAGCCCCCGCCTGCGCACGGGCCAGCACCTGCGTCCTGCGGTTGACTTTGACGAACACTGGGCCTGCGTCCGTGTCGTAGGCTCGGCCCTCGCTGATGCAGCCGGCGCCGGGGCCGCCGAAGGCCCGCAGGGTCGCGGTGCGCAGCTCGGCGCGCAGCAGCTGCTCCATGGAGTGCGGGGCGCGGGACTCTGCTCGCTCGGAAGCCCCTGTCGGCTGAGGCGCTGCGGGGCGGGGCGGGGCGGGAGCGCGCGGCGCGTGACCCCGGGCGGCGGGAGGGGCGGCCTCAGGCGGGCTCGCCGCGCGCTCCCCGCGTTCGTCCGGCTTCGCGCTTCCTGCGCCCGGGATTCGGGGGAAGCAGCCGGGAGTCCGCGCAGCTCTTCGCGGGCGCGCTGGGGCTTGAGCTCCCTGCAGGGACCCGGTATCCCTGCCCCGCAGCGGACGCAGGTCCGGCCCTCGGCCCGGGCGCTGGTCACAGGCCTGGCCGGCTTCCCACACTGCAGACCAGGCCGGGCCCAGCGGCCCCCGTGATGACGTGGGGCTTGCGCACTGGGACGCCAGGTGCCGATCGGAGAGAGAGGCTGACGTGGGGGCTCCGATGGCACGCGCTGACCCGGCCCAGGGTGGGGCTGCTGATTCCAGGATGTCCTGGGAAAGGGACTTGAGACACAGGAATGCCCACGCGCGCCCATGCATGCATACACGTGGGTACACACGCGTGCACACGAGCAGGTGCGCACCTGAGCCCAGTCCGTGCTGAAGTCATTTGACGTGAGGTTTTTTTATTGTTTGTTTTTTGTGTTTTTAAGAGATGGAGTCTCTGTCTCCCAGGCTGCAGTGCAGTGGCGCGATCTCGGCTCACTGCAAGCTCCGCCTCCCGGGTTCAAGCCATTCTCCTGCCTCAGCCTCCCGAGTAGCTGGGACTACAGGCGCCCGCCACCACGCCCGGCTAATATTTTTGTATGTTTTAGTGGAGACAGGGTTTCACCCTGTGAGCCAGGATGGTCTCAATCTCCTAACCTCGTGATCCACCCGCTCGGCCTCCCAAAGTGCTGGGATTACAGGCGTCAAGCCACCGGCCCGGCCTGCCCAGCTACATTTTGTAGTTTTAGTAGACATGGGGTTTCCCCATGTTGGCCAGGTGACCTGCGTGCCTCAGCCTCCCAAAGTGCTGGGATTACAGCCGTGAACCACCACGCCCGGCCATGCATGAGGTTTTAATCAATAAATCTGTTTTTTTTAGGGCCCCAACAATTGTCTTTTCCCACAGAGATGCAGGGGTCCTGCCGCGGGGAGGGAGCCTTTGGGAGCTGCCTATCCCCGCGGTCCTGCCCACTTGCTCAGCTGGGCTGGGGTCATCGGGAGGCTCCTTAACTCCTACATCTGGCACCTCGGCCAGGATCACTGGAACCTGGGCTTAGCGGTCACTGTCAAGCAGGACATGTCCATGTGGCCTCCTGGTGTGGCCTGAGCTTCCCTGAACATGGAGGCCAGGTTCCAAGAGTGAGCACTGGGAGAGCCAGAGCTCCCAGAGAGCTGGCAGAAGCAAAGGCCTTTTCTGACCTGGCCTCAGAAGCCACACACCATCATTTCCACCTCCTTCCATCGGTCTCCAAAGCCGCAATCAAGGCAAGGGGATCCGCAGCCACCTCTTTTTTTTTTTTGAAACAGGGTCTTGCTCTGTCACCCAGGCTGAAGTGCAATCTCGGCTCACTGCAACCTCCACCTCCCGGGTTCAAGCGATTCTCCTACCTCAGCTTCCTGAGTAGCTGGGATTACAGGCACGCGTCACCACGCCCCGCTAATTTTTGTATTTTTAGTAGAGACGGGGTTTCACCATGTTGGCCAGGATGGTCTCAAACTCCTGGCCTCAGGTGATCCGCCTGCCTCAGCCTCCCAATGTGCTGGGATTACACATGGCACCCGGCCAAGCAGCCACCTCTTGACAGGAGTGGCAGGGCTGCCGCAGAACAGCAGGTAGGACAGGAGGATGACTGTGGTGTCTGCAGAAAGGGCATGTGCCAGTCCCTGGCTTTTTCTCATCTGAAGCCCACCCTGCTATCGCATCTTGACAGAAGGTTCCTGACAGGCCAGTGTGAGCTCTCGTACGTCTGTAAATTTCTTTCTTCCTAGTTGACAGTTTGGCTGGGTATCAAATTCCAGCTTGGAGATCAGACCATGTTCTTTAGGAACCAAGAAGCTGCCAGCTCCAGTTTTGATGTTGAGAAGCTTATGGCCATTTCAGTTCTTATTCTTTGTGTGGAAACTGTTCTATCTCTGCAGGCTTTTAGGGTCTTCTCTGTGACACCAGTGAAAAATTCCCCAGGGAGGTGTCAGGGTGAGTCTCCTGTCATCCCCTGAACAGGACTGGTGGGTCCTCCAATCCTGGGACAGCTTTTAGCCCTTCATGGCGTTCTCCCTCTGTATTCTTGGTTCTCTTTTTTGGAATTCCAACACTGTGGTCTAGAGTCAGTCCTCTCTGTTACTGCCTCAAAGCCCCTTGTAATTTTTCTTCATACAACTCATGAGTCTACAGTCAGATATTAGGCGTCACACAGAGAACCATACGAGTGCTCAGGTCTCTCAGTGAGAAGAGGTGCCTGAATGAAGAAACAGATATGCAGGCACCAGGCTAGGAAGTCCTCTATGTGGGGGGTTAAGAGCTGTTGAAGATTCAAGGGCAGGGCAGTTAAGTGATCCCAAGTTTCTTAGAGAATTAGTAGAGTAAATTGTATGGTGTGCAAATAATACTGTTTTTAAAACGACCTGTATCGGCTGGTTGCAGTGGCTCATGCCTGTAATCCCAGCTCTTTGGGAGGCCGAGGTGGGTAGATCACAAGGTCAGGAGTTCAAGACCAGCCTGATCAACTTGGTGAAACCCTATCTCTACGAAAAATACAAAAAAATTTTAGTCGGGCATGGTGGCACACACCTGTAATCCCAGCTACTTGGGACGCTGAGGCAGGAGAATTGCTTGAGCCTGGGAGTGGAGGTCGTACTGAGCCGAGATCACGCCACTGCATTCCAGCCTGGGTGACAGAACAAGACTCCGTCACAAACAAAACAGAACCTGCCCTCTGTCCGGTTTCCCGTTCTGGGAGTGGTACCACCCATCTTTTTCCCCATCTGCCTGGATGTCTTAGTACAGGGCCTGGTCTGCGGTGCTGGTCAGGTGTCGGGGCCACCCATGCTTGTGATCCTACCATCAGCCCAGAGGAGAGGCGTGGACGGAGTAAAGGTGGGATGTGGACCTCAAGCTGGAGGAATCAAGGAGGACCCAAGAAAGGGGCCTGGCACAGACATGGGCAGGGTGTGGGGAGACCACAGGACAGAGCTGAGCCTGGCTACAGAGCTGGCGCCACCCAGGCCTGGGGTGTGGGCTTGATGAAGGAAGTCTGAGAATGATATCCTAACCTCACCCACCCTCCCCATCTCCTCTCGGCTCCCCTGGGCCACCCCAAGCAGAGGCCAGCTGGTTAATGGAGTGGTTCAGGCAGAGGCGTGGATGGGTGGAGGTGGGATGTGCAGACGTGGCACAGGCTTCAGTGAAATACGTGGACAAGCCGGTGGCACTGCTCCCTCTCTCTCACCACCCTGTCCTGGCCCCTCCATGGCTCCTGGGCCTTTGCCCTTCTCACAGTCCTGCTTACCCACTCACAGGAAAGCCCCCGCCAGCCCTCTCCCTGCTGCCTGGAATTCCCCCTCCAATATACCCCTTACAGTGCACCCCTACATCATCTTTCCAAGATACAGGTCTTCCCCACCCCGAGATGGAGTCTTGCCCTGTCTCCAAGTTGGAGTGCAGTGACACGATCTCGGCTCACTGCAACCTCCGCCTCCCGAGTTCAAGCAATTCTCCTGCCTCAGCCTCCCGAGTAGCTGAGATTGCAGGCGCACGTTACCACGCCCAGTTAATTTTCATATTTATGGTAGAGACAGGGTTTTGCCATGTTTGCCAGGCTGGTCTCGAACTCCTGACCTCAGGTGATCCGCCCACCTCGGCCTCCCAGAGTGCTGGGATGACAGGCGTGAGCCACTGCGCCTGGCCGCTTTAGGCGCACTTTCATTAAAAGGATGAAAAGTAAAACGCTTTGGGACAGAAGGCTTGTCTTCAGGTATCTAAAGATTCACTTCTGTGGAAAAGCTGACGCTCTGACTGTGTTAGATTAGGTGTTTTGATATAATCCCACTTACAGTAAGAAATAAAAAGTGGAGCCACATTGCCCCCAAGATCCCAAAGATGAGAACTGAGAGTCCTGGATGGGAGCTCAGGGCAACTACCATTTCCCTGGACTTCCTCCCCGGAGGTCCTAGCGATGTTCACGGCTGCCCAAAGAGAACAAACCTCTTCCAGCTGTTCCCTTGACCGAGGAGTCTCGGAGCTGTGTCCAGAGCCCAGTCCCTCTGTGCTTTCAGATGTCAACACAGCAGCCTGCAAGGACATAGCACACAGCTGTCCCTTAAAACCATGTCTCCAGGCCGGGCGTGGTGGCTCACGCCTGTAATCCCAGCACTTTGGGAGGCTGAGGTGGGTGGATCACGAGATCAGGAGTTCAAGACCAGACTGCCCAAGATGGTAAAACCCCATCTCTACTAAAAATACAAAACAAAATTAGCTGGGCACGGTGGCAGGTGCCTGTAATCCCAGTTGGGAGGCTGAGGCAGGAGAATCGCTTGAACTCGGAGGGTGGAGGTTGCAGTGAGCCAAGATGTCACCACTGCACTCCCAGATGTCCTGGGCGATAGAGTGAGACTCCACCTCAAAAACAAAAAACAAAAAACTATGCCTCCAAATCAGAACCTATCCCCTCCCCCATCTCTTCCAGCTGAGCCAGCCCAGAAAACAGCACAGCTTTGGATGAGAAGTTCATCCTCTGATGACATGCATATGGTCTCTCATGGACAGAATAATCCAGAAGAATCAACTCTGAGTAGATGCAAGGGCATCTATTGTGCCTGAAGCCTATAGGATTTTGATAGCCCTTTATGAAAAAGTGTGTATATATAAAAATATATAACATGCATATATTATAATAATACAAAATTAGATATTTTAGAATAAGCATTGCATCAACTTACAAATTTAAAATGCTGACACGGGGCCAGATGCGGCGGCTCACACCTGTAATCCCAGAACTTTGGGAGGCCGAGGTGGGCGGATCACTTGAGGTCAGGAGTTCGAGACCAGCCTGATCAACATGGTGAAACCCCATTTCTACTAAAAATATAAAAATTAGCCAGGTATGGTGGCAGGTGCCTGTAATCTCAGCTACTGGGGAGTCTGAGGCAGGAGAATCCCTTGAACCTGGGAGGCGGAGACTGCAGTGAGCCGAGATCATGTCACTGCACTCCAGCCTGGGTGACAGAGTGAGACTGTCTAAGAAAAATTAAAATTAAATAAAAAAGAAAATAAAAAATAAAAAGCTGACACATACCGCAGCATTGCAAAATCTGAAAACTACCCACTACTGTTTACCATTTCGACACCCCCGAGACACCCCTCCTGATGGTTCCATTTGGCTGCACTCTCAGCGACGGCCTCTCACAAGGTGCAGCCCGGCAATGTCATCGAGGAAGAGAAGGCCACCGCCTCTGGAGGACCGAACCATCCTTCCCGTCAACCACTTGGGGAGGCTCTCGTCACTGGTGATGTTGTGCTGATGCAGAATGACGTCCAGGGTCCCGGGCACCTGATGCTGTGCTGAGCAGAACAATGATGTCCAGGGTCCCAGGCACCTGATGCTGTGCTGAGTGGAACGATGATGTCCGGGCCCCGGGCACCTGATGTGCTGACACAGAACGATGATGTCCCGGGTCCCGGGCACCTGATGCTGTGCTGAGTGGAACGATGTCAGGGCCTTGAGCCAAGCGGCACACGCGCCGTCGGGATGGACCTACCCGGCAGGGAGGTGAGCGGCACAGGTGCTGTCGGGATGGACCTACCCGGTGGGGAGGTGAGCGGCACAGGTGCTGTCGGGATGGACCTACCTGGTGGGGAGCCAAGCGGCACACGCACCGTCTGGCAGGGAGGTGAGGGGCACAGGTGCTGTCGGGATGGACCTACCCGGCGGGTAGTCGAGCAGCACAGGTGCTGTCGGGATGGACCTACCCAGTGGGGGGAGTCGAGCGGCACAGGTGCTGTCGGGATGGACCCACCCAGTGGGGGGAGTCGAGCAGCACAGGTGCTGTCGGGATGGACCTACCCAGTGGGGGGAGCTGAGGGGCACATGCGCCGTCAGGATGGACCTACCCGGCAGGGAGTCGAGCAGCACACGTGCCATCGGGATGGCGCCGCTTTGGGACGTCCCTTTTCTTGGGAACACTTACCTTCTTCCCAGGGTCAAAGTAACAAGCTGCAGTCCTGGCCAACGGGAGCAGGTCCTGTCAGGTTGGAAACTGACCACACTCACGGTCCTTCCTCACTCCACACAAAAACCAGCATTCTAAAGGAACTCGGTTCTGTTCTGCCTTCTGCTGAGGGGCCCTGACTTACAACAGAAACAAGCAAACAAGACAAGTAATCAATCCATCCCCTCCGGCCCAGCTCATGACACCCTGGGTGACCCCTCAAACACGGGTGTTTGCCAAGTTCACCAAGTGGCTTCTTCCCCCAAAGGTAATTCTACAGCTACTTTCATTCTCCCTTTAATGTCTTCCACAGGGTGAGGAAGAATGGCAGCTAGGCTGCACCTCTGGTCAAATATCACAGACAGTTCTTAGGCTAGTCCTGCTCTTTGAAGCTCTGAGCTATCCTTCTACCCTAACAAAAAGGCAAGGTTAAAAAGAGTTTTTTTTAAGAAACAATAGTTGGGTCAGGGATGGTGGGTCAGGCCTGTAATCCCAGCACTTTGGGAGGCCAAGGCAGGCAGATTCCTTGAGGCCAGGAGTTCAAGACCAGCCTGGCCAAGATGGCAAAATCCCATCTCTACTAGAAATACAAAAATTAGCCAGGTGTGGTGGCACACACCTGTAATCCCAGCTACATCGGGAGGCTGAGACAGGAGAATCCTTGAACCCAGGAGGCAGAGGTTGCAGTGAGCTGAGATCGCACCACTATACTCCAGCCTGGGTGACAGAGCAAGACTCCATCTCAAAAAGAAAAAGAAAAAAGAAACAGCTGGGAGGCTGAGGCGGGTTGATTGCCTGAAGTCAGGAGTTGGAGACCAGCCTGGGCAACATGGTGAAACCCCGTCTCTACTAAAAATACAAAAATTAGCCACTGTGGTGACACACCGACTACTCCAGCTACTCAGGAGGCTGCGACATGAGAATTGCTTGAGCCCAGAAGGCGGAGGGCAGAGGTTGCAGGGAGCTGAGATCGCACCATTGCACCACTCCAGCTTGGAAACAGTGAGACTCTGTCTTAAAAAAAAAAAAGAAAGAAAGAAAGAACAGTTGGGTCAGGCATGGTGGCTCAGGCCTGTAATCCCAGCACTCGGGAGGCTAAGGTGGGAGGATTGCTTGAGCTCAGGAGTTTGAGACCAGCCTGGGCAACATGGCAAAACCTCATCTCTACTAAAAATACAAAAATTAGCCGGGTGTGGTGGTGCACGCCTGTAGTTCCAGCTACTCAAGAGGCTGAGATGGGAGGACTGCTAGAACCTGGGAGTTTGAGGCTGCAGTGAGCTATGATCATGCCACCGCACTGCAGCTTAGGCAACAGAACAAGACCGTCTCTAAAAACAACAACAAAAACACTAGTTGTACCTGTTTGTCACAAAATATTACAAGTTTTTCAGCAAACAACTAAGATATTGAATTACAATAAATGAGGGAAATATACAATCTTGTACGTTATCGAAACCACTGGAAGTTTATTCAAATTTTTGTGCAAAGGATTTATTAGCATCAATGCCATTCATGAAATATGTCTCTTTACTACAACAGTGAAGGAAGGAAAAATATGAGTTCAGCATGTATTTTAATGTTGCAAAGGAATGACAACTCAGCAAGCTGTAGAAAATGGCAGAGGAGACGGGGTAATAACAGAAGCAATGAAGACTCCTGGATGTACCCAAGGACACCCTATGGCCAGCAGCTTGGTTTCTCCCAGAATCAGTTTACAGACTTGCTCAGCCTGCGGGAGGGCCCAGGGATCATGCAGGAAGAAAACGGAATACGCTTGATTCTGGAATTGGTCATTTTAAGACGCTTTTAGTAAGATGGTTTCATGTCTACACCCAAGTCTTGCCAACCAAGAAGCATCAACGTGAACAGCTCAGAGACATTCCTGCACAGGAGAGCAGGGAGGAGGCAGTGGAAAGGTACCTATGAGCAGCAGTGCCCGGGGGCGCTGGCCACCTCCCTGCGCACCGGATACCCTCCCCCGCACCCACAGGGGTTCACTTACAGTTTCCCCACCTTGCAGCAGCAGTGAGGCTCAGAGTCACCCACACTCCATACATCCCTCTGCTCATACCCTGCCTGTAGTGTGGCTCCGTCTACCTACAAAGCCCCACAAAGTGGACAACGCTGGGATGACAAAACCTTTCCTCTTAGATATTATATACTTTGCAAGGCTTGGAAATAAGCTACTGCATTGGTCTTAAGCTAGTCCAGCATGTGAAGAAACAAGAATTTGCCCAGAAGAGGACTGTGGAGAAACCTCTGAGGCCTCCTTCCAGAGTAAGGCCCGCTCACTTGACCAGATTCCTCATGATGTTCAGGGAGGATCCTCTGTACCCCGATCCAAAATGATTCCAGTGGTTCAAGTAGTGAAAGAGCTGATACAACTGAAGGCGCTTCTCGAATCCTGGGGCCTTGGGGATTTTGCCGTGGTAGGCGGAGTAAAAGGAGCTGCTAAAGCCCCCAAACATGCCAGCTATTGCCAGCTCATATTCCGAGTGGCCGTAGAAAGAAGCTGGGTCAAAAATCACCGGCCCAGAGGAATCCTCTGCTACGTTTCCACCCCAGAGGTCCCCGTGGAGTAAGGCTGGGATGATCTCCAGGTCACGGAACAGGTCAGGGATCTTTAACTGCAGGGAGGAAAATGGAGCCTCAGCAAATTGATCAACGCGTGCATGAGGGGCGCCGCTCCAGGTCCCCACCGCCCCCAGCCCAGGCAGCAGCGGATAGCACACCACCAGGCACCCGCTTCCCACCCAGAATCAGACTCAGAGGTGGCCTCACCTGCCTTGGTGCCTCCCCTACCTCAGGCAAGTGGGGTGTGTGGCAGGTGCTGGGCATGCAGTGGGGCCCCACTCACCTGCAGAGCAGACCAAAGCTGGAGGGCCTCCCTGTCCCCAGACTCCTTCTCCACCATGTCCATCTGGGGCTGAATGCGCTGCCGGGCATAGAACACGACCCAGTCCTCCTGCCAGTCATTCACCTGCACAGTAACAGCAAAAGCACAGTTCACTGGAAAATGCCAGAACCAAGGGAGAGCTCAGCTACCCACAAGCATCTCAAAGTGGAGAGGGCTGCAGGAGCGGCACGTGGGAGGGGTGGCAGTCACAGGAGCCTGAGGGGGGAACCACATCCCAGGAGGAACCGGAGTCTCATGGACATGCTGAGACCTCAGATCCTATCCCAAGAGCAGTGGGAAGCATGGGGATGCTTCAGGACCCACTCTGTAGCCTTCCAAGAATGAAGGCTTCTAGAACATTTTTTTTTCTTTTTCTTTTTTCTGAGATAGAGTTTCGCTCTCATTGCCCAGGCTGGAGTGCAGTGGCGCCATCTCGGCTCACTGCAACCTCTGCCTCCCGGGTTCAAGCAATTCTCCTGCCTCAGCCTCCCAAGTAGCTGGGATTACAAGCATGCACCACCACGCCCGGCTAATTTTTTTGTATTTTTAGTAGAGACGGGGTTTCGCCATGTTGGTCAGGCTGGTCTCAAACTCCTGACCTCAGGTGATCTGCCCGCTTCAGCCTCTCAAAGTGCTGGGATTACGGGCGGGCGTGGGCCACTGCACCTGGCCCTGCTCCCACTTTCTTTACGTTGTTTTGTAGCAGCTGACAATAGTTCATCAGATGATGCACCAGGACTTCACCCAGTGCTCCTCTGGATTTTCCTTGTCATAGTACCAAGAGTGGCACAGCAAATACCCTTGTGTCTGTGCCATTTTGCATACGTGTAAATATGCCTGTAGAATAAATCCTAAAGGATAATTACTGGGTCAGAGCATAAGTCCATTTAAAATTTTGAAAGGGGGGCCAGGTGTGGTGGCTCATGCTTGTACTAAAAATACAAAAATTAGCCGGACGTGGTGGTGGGCGCCTGTAATCCCAGTCACACAGGAGGCTGAGGCAGGAGAACTGATTGAACCCGGAAGCTGGAGGTTGCAGTGAGCCAAGATCGCACCACTGCACTCTAGCCTGGGTGACAGCGAGACTCCATTTCAAAAAAATAAATTAAATAAATTAAAAAATTTGAAAGGGGGCTGGGAGTGGTGAGCAATATCTGTAATCCCAGCATTTTGCGTGGCTGAGGTGGGAGGATCACTTGAGCCCAGGAGTTTGAGACCAGCCTGGGCAACATAGTGAGACCCCTGTCTCTACAAAAAAAATTAAAAAATTAGCCAAGTGTGGTGGTGTATGCCTGTAGTCCCAGCTACATGGGAGGCTGGGGCAGGAGGATGGCTTGAGCCCAGAAAGTTTGAGGCTGCAGTGAGCTATGATCATGCCACTGCTCTCCAGCCTGGGCAACAGAGAGAGACTCTATCTTTTAAAATTAAAATTAAAACTAAATTTTAAATTTTTGGCCAGGCACGGTGGCTCATGCCTGTAATCCCAGCACCTTGGGAGGTTGAGGCAAGCAGATCACAAGGCCAGGAGATTGAGACTGTCCTGGCTAACACGGTGGAACCCCATCTCTACTAAAAATACAAAAAAAAATTAGCCGGGCATGGTGACAGGCACCTGTAGTCCCAGCTACTCAGGAGGCTGAGGCAGAAGAATGGCGTGAACCTGGGAGGCGGAACTTGCAGTGAGCCAAGATCGCACCACTGCACTCCAGCCTGGGTGACAGAGCGAGACTCCATCTCAAAAAAAAAATTTTTTTTTTGATAGGCATTGCCACGTTGCTGCCCATAAAGATCGTTGTCCCAAGTCACACTCACATCACAGGGTGCCATGGGGCCTGCTCCCTCGTGCTCTGGTTGGCACACATGCAGCACACTTTTGGCCTTTACAGGTTCCATATGTAACAGAAGATATCTGACTGTACTACCTTTTAGTTTACTTTTTACTTTTTTTTTTTCTTTTTTGAGATGAAGTTTCACTCTTGTCACCCAGGCTGGAGTGCAATGGCGTGATTTCAGCTCACTGCAATCTCTGTCTCCCGGGTTCAAGCGATTCTCCTGCCTCAGCCCCCAGAGTAGCTGGGATTACAGGTGCGCACCACCATGCCCGGCTAATTTTTGTATTTTTAGTAGAGACAGGATTTCACCATGTTGGTCAGGCTGGTCTCAAACTCTACCTCACGTGATCTGCCCGCCTCGGCCTCCCAAAGTGCTGAGATTACAGGCGTGAGCCACCGTGCCCGGTCCAGAACATTTTCTTTCTTTTTCATCTTTGTGAAACAAGGTCTTGCTCCATTACCCAAGCTGGAGTGCAGTGGTGCAATCACAGCTCACTGCAGCCTTCAATTCCCAGGCTTAAGCAATCCTCCCACCTCAGCCTTCCAAGTGGCTGGAACTACAGGCACGCACCACCACACCCTGCTAATTTTTTGTATTTTTACTAGAGAGAGGGTTTCACCATGTTGGCCAGGCTGGTCTCGAACTGCTGGGCTCAAGCAATCCTCCCACCTCGGCCTCCCAAAGTGCTGGAATTACAGGCATGAACCACCAGGGCTTTTTTATTTAAAAAAAAAAATTTTTTTTTTGCTGCTAAAGCAACTGGCTAACATTTCCTCTTAATTTACAATCACACTGGAGTACTGAGGCCAGAGCTGGCTGACCTGCCCCAACCCCATGGCTCACTTCTGACATCTGTCCAGACAGCCCCTCCCCAGACAGTGATGACAGGAAAAGTCACATGGAGCCCCATTGAGAAGGACCCCGAGAAAGGACATCCAGGTCACAGGTGCTTACCACCCAGGAGGGAAGCAAGACAGACACACACGACTGGAGTAGCACACGACGCCAACATCATGCATCAGGCACACAGTCATGCGCACACACGCCTGCACACATACATGTGCGCGCACACGCGTACACACATGCACACACGTGTGCACACATACACATATGCACACATGCGTGCACATACACATGCACACATATGCACACACATGCACACACATACACATATGCGCACAGACGTGCGTGCACACAAATACACATATGCACACACACACATGCACACACACACTGTGAGTACAGCCACGAGACGAAGGGGCGGAGCTGGCGAAAACCCCCCACCCCCCGCCAGCAGGCAGGACCAGAGGGCACCACTCCCCGCCCCTAAGCAGGTTTCTGAACAAACTTCAACATTTCAAAGTCTTTCTACTGCCCCCGCGCCCGCCAGGAAACCCTGGCAAGTTTTCTGGGTTCATCTGTACCCTCCTCTCGAGGACAGGACAGGAGCCCTGTCCACTGCACATGTGCTGGGCGTCAAGCAGAACTCCCCAGGTGGAAATGCGGAGGGAAGCCACCATAAAATCACACAACCAAAAGTGACAAACCCTTGTCATTCCACCCTCTTTGAGAGTTTAG
Source organism: Homo sapiens (assembly GCF_000001405.40). Lineage (NCBI taxonomy): Eukaryota > Metazoa > Chordata > Mammalia > Primates > Hominidae > Homo > Homo sapiens. The sequence goes on along the minus strand of NC_000017.11, from coordinate 82,723,152 downwards.
TATACCTAAAACATTTGTTAAATTCCCTCATTTTTACCCACCTTGAAATCCAGCTCCTAACTTGCTGGTCCTCCTCAGTTTCTTCATGCTTACCTAGCATATTAGGTGGGTCAATCTTACGTCAACCTCTCAAACATCAGCAAAGAAAAAATGGTGCAAATACTTTTACTGAAGCTCACAAAAAAAGGAGGGGGGTGTGTCCCCCCAACCCGTGTGTCTGAACAGCTGACCTGATTGTGAAATAGAAGCAAACGCCGTGCACTCACCTGGGGGAGGTATCCACAGCACGTCACCACGTCAAATCCAAACCGGGCCACAAAGGGCCGTTCCTCCTGCCCACCTCCTCTCCCTTGCAAGCAAAAGTAAAAGAAAGGAAATTAGTTCCAAGGGATCCCAGCGCCCACTCTCGAAACTGAGTCACCTTCAGACACGACCTCAGCGAGCTCCTACCAGCTTATGCCCCTGCCAGAGACAAACAGGGCCTGGGTCTCCACCAGCTCACACAACACCCCTAACAGAGCCTGCTCCAGCAGATGTCAGCATCAAAAACACTAGGAGCCTGTGGCCTCCAGCAGACGTCAGCATCAAAGACACTAGCTGCTCCCGAGCAGGGGCACCAGAGGACACACACAGGACAGGCAGCCTGCGGGCACCTCTCAGGGGACCTGTCTCACATCCCAACACGCGGGGGTGTGGGGGAAGACCACACTGTGTCAGGAAACAAAGGGGAGGATGTTCTTAAAGAGGAAAGGCACTTTGGGAGGCTGAGGTGGGCGGATCACCGGAGGTCAGCAGTTCGAGACCAGCCTGCCCAACGTGGTGAAACCCTGTCTCTACTGAACATATAAAAATTAGCTAGGCATGGTGGCAGGCGCCTATAATCCCAGCTACTCGGGAGGTTGAGGCAGGAGAATCACTTGAACCCGGGAGGCGGAGGTTGCAGTGAGCCGAGATCGCTCCATTGCACTCCAGCCTGGGCAACGAGAGTGAAACTCCGTCTCAAAAAAAACCATAAAAATGGCCGGGCACAGTGGTTCATGCCTGTAATCCCAGCACTTTGGGAGGCCAAGGCAGGTGGATCACCTGAGGTCGGGAATTTGAGACCAGCCTGACCAACATGGAGAAACCCCATCTCTACTACAAATACAAAATTAGCTGGGCATGGTGGCGCATGCCTGTAATCCCAGCTACTCAGAAGGCTGAGGCAGGAGAATCACTTGAACCCAGGAGGCGGAGGTTGCGGTGAGCTGAGATCGCGCCACTGCACTCCAGCCTGGGCAACAAGAGCAAAACTCCATTTCAAAAAAAACAAAACAAAACAAAACATAAAAAACATAAAAAGTAAAAAACAGGCCAGGCCCAGTAGCTCATGCCTGTAATCCCAGCACTTTGGGAGGCCGAGGCAGGTGGATCACGAGGTCAGGAAGTCGAGACCATCCCGGCTAACACGGTGAAACCCTGTCTCTACTAAAAATACAAAAAATTAGCCAGGCGTGGTGGCAGGCGCCTGTAGTCCCAGCTACTTAGGAGGCTGAGGCAGGAGAATGGCGTGGACCCGGGAGGCGGAGCTTGCAGTGAGCAGAGATCATGCCACTGCACTCCAGCCTGGGGAACAAAGCAAGACTCCTTCTCAAAAAAATAAAATAAAAATAAATAAATAAAGAGGAAAAAGAATCTGCCCCCAATCCATCAGAAAGGATGGCTCTCAGTGGCAAACCTGGTGCCATGTGTGTCAGATAAACTATTGTGCTTTGAAATAATCTCAGGCAGGGTGCAGTGGCTCACGCCTGTAATCCCAGCACTTTGGGAGGCTGAGGTGGGTGGATCACCTGAGGTCAGGAGATTGAGACCAGCCTGGCCTACATGGTGAAACCCCGTCTCTACTAAAAATACAAAAATTAGGTGGGCACAGTGGCATGCACCTGTAATCCCAGCTACTCAGGAGGCTGAGGCAGGAAAATCGCTTGAACCCAGGAGGCAGAGGTCACGGTGAGCCAAGATTGCACCACTGCCCTCCAGCCTGGGGGACAAGAGTGAAACTCCGTCTCAAAAAAAAGAAAGAAAGAAAGAAAGAATCTCACTCCTCTGCAGTCTCCCTAATTCAAGGAAAATCCCAATGGACTAAACTCCGTTAAGACTGGAAGAGACAGGACAGGCGACCTGGGAGGCCTCTCAGTGGATCCTCACCACACAGGCCGCCTGGGTGGATCCGTCATGGACCCTCACAGAACAGACTAACAGCATGTCTCCGTCTCCTACAGCAGGCCCCTGGTGATCTGTTCCGATCATCAGCAAATCTCCCCACATTTACCATGTGGGCTGCACACGGATTCCAAATGTCAGCAGATTAAAATACCGGAAAATTCCCTCGATCCTGACAGCGCGTTATGCTCTGGAAAGGTCAGACATGATGGCTGTAATTCTGAGCCTCAAGTATGACTGTTTTACAGGAACAGACCCTGGGTTAAAGGTCTTGCCTTTTACAGACAGCCAGAGAGCCTCTGCTTACACTCTTCTGGGGAACGAGAGGTAAAAGTAACTGTAACACTAGGGGTGTCTTGTGTCCAGCAAATGTTTTCATCTTTCAAATGCATTTAGGACACAACAGACGCATCACAGTCACTGTGTTCAGTGCACCGTGAGATGCGGCTCAAGGCCGACATTCCCTTGCTCTGCCATCAGCCCACGTCCGACCCTCCCACGGCTGCTGCACGGCCCCCGCTCTGAGCCCACACCGGCTGAACGTCCTCCTCTAGGCGGGAGCACCCGTGGCCCGCGCAGTGCCATACCCACTGTGCCCGCCTCCTTCAGGCGCATCTCTCCAAGCTTCTTGTTATCAAGGTGTAAATCGGCCAGCTGGGCTCCAAGCTTTGCAGCATGACTGTCAAATCAAACGACAGCAACTAAACAGATGACACACAGAATGGCAACACACCCACTGCTCAGTCTCAGGGCACATAAAGAGGGTCAAACTTTTTTATTTTTTTGAGATGGAGTCTCGCTCTGTCACCCAGGCTGGAGGGCAGTGGCACGATCTCGGCTCACTGCAAGCTCCGCCTCCCAGGTTCAAGCGATTCTCCTGCCTCAGCCTCCCGAGTAGCTGGGATTACTGGTGCCCGCCACCATGCCTGGCTAATTTTTTTGTATTTTTAGTAGAGGCAGGGTTTCACTGTGTTGGCCAGACTGGTCTCAAACTCTGACCTCAAGTCATCCGCCCACCTTGGCCTCCCAAAGTGCCGGGATTAGAGGCGTGAGCCACCACAGCCGGCTAGTAGGTCGGACATTTTGAGGACAGAAAGTAGGTTCTGGTGAAGCAAGAGGGGGATAAAGGTGTTGATTATTTGACGATCTTTCCCAGCCTCATCCAAGTTTGCAGTGGTTTTTTTTTCCTCTTTTTTGAGACTGAGTCTCGCTCTACTGCCCAGGCTAGAGTGCAGTGGTGCGATCTCAGCTCACTGCAACCTCTGCCTCCTGCGTTCAAGTGATTCTCCTGCCTCAGCCTCCCGAGTAGCTGGAATTAGAGGCGCCTGCCACCACATCCAGCTAATTTTTGGATTTTTGGTAGACATGGGGTTTCACCATATTGGCCAGGCTGGTCTCAAACTCCTGACCTCAAGTGATTCACCCGCCTCAGCCTCCCGAAGTGTTGGGATTCCAGGCGTGAGCCACCGCGGCCGGCGTGCAGCGAGGCCTTTGGTCAGCATCTCACTTTGGGAGATTCCTCTTGCTTCTGCCCTTGGTTGCAGAGAGTGCCTGCCGTTCATTCTGCAGAACTCATGGTATGTGGAGTCACGGGTTCTTTGCATTACACTCCTCAAAATGATGTCCCCAGTACAAGCTTCAGTCATCAGAGAACCACTTGGTGGAAAAGAAAGCCAGCTGGGGGCTGGTGTGAGGGTGCACCTGCTCAGATGCTCAGATAACAAAGCCAGCCGGGGCGGGGCATGAAGCCAGCTGGGGGGTGGTGTGAACACACACCTGCTCAGATAATAAAGCCAGCCAGTGGGTGGTGTGAAGACACACATAATAAAACAAGGTGTGAAGACACACCTGCTCAGGTAATAAAGCCAGGTGGGGGGTGGTGTGAAGATGCACCTGCTCAGATGCCTCATGTCCATGTGCTCCATCACCAGCACGCTCCCGCCGCCTGGGGCATCCAGAACCTTGATGGGCTTGGGCACTTTCACCGTGTTTGTTTTCAGGATGGCAGTTAAACTTGCCATCTCACCTTCAAACATTCTTCTGGCCTGTCAGAAAAATACGAGAGGAAGTGGAAATACAGGGAGGCAAGGTTACTTCCGGAAGGTTCTGTAGATATGTTTTCCTCTAGCATTACAACTTCAAACCAAGACTATCCTGACTGAGGATTCCATACACATGGACAGTGTTTTCAAACACACTTGCCAACAGGGTAGGCTACAGGTTCAGAGGCTGTACTGGAAGAAGAGGGCTTGAGCTTTCCAGTGTTGGACTACACTTGTGTGCTGTGGTTGAATTGGGAGGTTCTCTGGAGAGAGGAAAATCGAAGGCACTAATATTCCACTAAGATCCGGCAACAGTGGGACTGTGAACATGGGTTACCTGTCAGTGTCCTCAGACGACACCTCAACTGCAGTCCTGTTCCACCTACAGGACACAGACTCACCCGACCTCTCAGGTGCAGGCGGCACCCTGGCTGCCTATGCCAGTGACCTGGGGTCACTTTTCACCTGAAGAGACCACCAAGTTCCATGCCACCTCCTGCCCAGCACTGGAAACCACCTCATCTTGAGATGCCGTTTCCATCCAACTCCCCGGGACCACAGCAACTCCTCCCTTGGGTCCCCCTGGCTCACCACACAGCAGTGATCCCTAGAGTAGAAGTCAGAGCCAGCGGCCTTTCCTTTCCTCCTGCTACACACACCACTGCCCTGCCTGCTCTCCCATCCTCATCTGGGGCTCCACCCTTACACACACAGACACATAACACACACACACAACATATACAGACACACAACACACACACAACACATACAGACACACAACACACACAACATACGACTTACAGACACACCATACACACACAACACACAGACACACACACACAACATACACAGCAGTGATCCCCGCAGAACAGGTCAGGGCCAGCGGCCTTTCTTTTTCTCCTGAGACACACACCACTGCCCTGCCCACTCTCCCATCCTCACCTGGGGCTCCACCCTTACACACACACAGACACACAATACATACACACAACATACAAACATTACAAACATACACACATACAACGTACACACACACAACATACACATAGACACACACACTCTCCTCGTGCTCCTGACTTCCAGCTGTCTTCATCCTTCTTTCAGTTCTTCAGAGTCCCCACCTCCTCAGCCTCAGAGCCCCACCACAGCTGCCATGTCACCGCTGCTAGGAACACTCTTTTTTTTTTGAGACGGAGTCTCATTCAGTCACCCAGCAGGCTGGAGTGCAGTGGCGCGATCTCGACTCACTGCAACCTCTGCCTCCTGGGTTCAAGCGATTCTTCTGCCTCAGCCTCCCGAGTAGCTGGGATTACAGGCGCCCGCCACCACGCCCAGCTAATTTTTGTATTTTTAATAGAGACGGGGGTTTCACCTTGTTGGCCAGGCTGGTCTCGAACTCCTGACTTCGCGCTCCACCCACCTCTGTCTCCCAAAGTGCTGGGATTACAGGCGTGAGCCACCGCGCCCGGCCCGAGAATGAGTCTAACAGAAGGACAGAGCATGCCAGGGTGTGGTGAGGCGCAGCAGCTGGCCTGGGGGCAGCACCTTCGCCCCGTTTCACAACGTACTGACCGAGGCTCACGGGGGATGGACACCTCCAGAGTCACTTAAGCTGAGGACTTAAGCAGCTTCCCCGGCTAGAACGACCCCACTTAACCAGCACCGCAGGGCAGGAACCCCGGGAGCAAGACTGCAGCAGCCAGTCCCGCCCCATTTCACGTAGCGCCCCCGAGAGAAAGTTCACGGAGAACAGGAGGTGTGGGGCGGCCGCGGTTCCTGCTCCGGACAGTTCCCCGCAGGTGCAAACTCCTCCGGACGCCCCGGACGCTTCCGCCGCCCCCGTTCACCGCTCGCCCCGCGCAAAGGGTTCCCCGCAAGGGGCGGCGGCGGCAGTCCCGGGAGAGCCACCCACGGCCTCCGGCGGGAGAAGCCCAGGCCGCGCCCCGCGCCGAGGCCCGCGACCCTCTCCGGAAAGAAACCGGTCCCCCGGCCCGCCCGACCCGCTGCCTGACCTCCGCCTTGGGGTTCACTTTCACGAACACTCGTCCTTGATCCGTGTCGTAGCTCCGGCCCTGGCTGATGCACCCGCCCCCCGAGTGGCCCGTGGCCCTGACAGAGCTGCAGCCCAGCTCGCGCCTCAGGAGCTCCTCCATGTTCCCGCCGCGGCCGCGGACCCGCCCCGGATCTGGCGGAGACTCGAGAGACGGCGGCCGAGCGGGCAAACATGAGTCCGCGCGAGGATTGGGCGGGGGGCGGGTGGGGGCGGGGCCCGGCCGCAGAGACAAGCGCTAGGATTGGGTGGCGGGAAGGGGCGGGCGTGGCCGCAGAGATGAGCGCTGGGATTGAGGGGCGGGAAGGGGAGGGGCCGGGAGGCAGGTAGGCGCGGGGGATTGGGTGGGGGTGAGATGACGTCAGGGGGCGGGGCCTGACCGACCCCGACCCAGACGGTTTGGGTTCAACTCTCCTGCACAAAATAAGTGGAAATGCTGATGGAAATAGTTAGAATATATTTTCTAAAGAGCTGACCCACTAGCAAGGGGCATCAGCCCAAGGTCTGGGTGCCGGGAGCCCAGAATGTTAAGATTGCTTTCGCCCGGGCGTTTGCTGAACCCGAGGAACAGAGCTCCTGATGTGGGGAGTGGCGGGCGCGCTCGGGGTGCACGTGCAACGGAGACACCGCCCCTAAACCTGGGGCCCTGAGGCTAACAGCTAACAGTGGCCCTGCCGTTACGGCCAGTGTCAGGTGCCAGCTGGGCTGGACCAGGAATTCCCAGAAACCTGGCAAGGCATGATTTGGGGTGGGTCGTGCTGAGGGCCACACCATCCGCTTCCCCGCTTCTGAGGCCTTCCGACCTGGGCTGAGCCCGGCTACCCGAGTCCCGGGGTCTCCGGCTCACAGACTTCTCGGCCTCCGTAATTGCAAACGCCAGCTCCCCCAGTCCATCTCCTGTCCTGGATCTACGTCTATATCCTACTGGATCCGTCTCTCTGGAGAACCCTAATACAGCTGTCAACACAAGGATGAACTAACTACAAGAAGGCCTGAATAGGAACTCTCCCAGGGGACGAAGAGGTTTCAGCCTTCAGCAAAGGATGGTTCATAGAAACCGTTCGCATAGTCGGCCCTCCACGGACTGCAACCCTAGTTAATATTACCTACAGTAAACAAAAAATTCAAGTATAGATTTTAGTCTAAAGCAAATAGGAAATGTCGCTTCCCTGGACGTTGGGAGAAGCAAACACGAATCCTCTCCTGAGGCCGGAAGCGGTGGCTCACGCCTGTAATCCCAGCACTTTGGGAGGCTGAGGCGGGCGGATCATTTTATAACTATCTATTAAATGGTACATATGTGTGTGTTCACGCACTTTTCTGTGTGTATACCGCATTTCATAATTTTAAAAAGCAAAAAAGATTAGCGGGGCGTGGTGGCGGGCGCTTGTAATCCCAGATACTCGGGAGGCTGAGGCAGGAGAATCGCTTGAACCCGGGAGGCGGAGGTTGCAGTGAGCTGAGATCCCGCCATTGCACTCCAGCCTGGGTGACAAGAGCAAAACTCCGTCTCAAAAAAAAAAAAGGCAAAAAAGAACAGATGAAAATCCGCAGATGGTAATAGATAAATCAAGGAACACATTAGAGAAGAGTGAGAGAATTAAAAGGTGCTCCAAAGGCGGTGGAGTGGGTGAACCACTCCCTGTATGCTCCTCCCCTCGGGCCAGGGCCTGCGGATGTCCCTGTTTTAATCTGTGGCCTTGACCGTTTGGACATTTTAACTCCATGCCATGAACATGAAGATTTTCATCAGAACTATGCCACCGTTAAGTTTTTGTTGAGAAACTTTTTTTTTTTTTTTTTTGAGATGGAGTCTTGCTCTGTCGCCCAGGCGGGAGTGCAGTGGTGCAATCTCAGCTCACTGCAACCTCTGCCTCCCAGGTTCAAGCGATTCTCCTGCCTTAGCCTCCTGAGTAGCTGGGATTACAGGCGCACACCACCATGACTGGCTAATTTTTGTGTTTTTGTGGAGATGGGGTTTTGCCATGTTGGCCAGGCTGGTCTCAAACTCCTGACCTCAGGCGATCTGCCTGCCTTGGCCTCCCAAAGTGCTGGGATTACAGGCATGAGCCACTGTGCCCGGCCGAGAAAGCATTTTTAGGAGTGACTTTTGGGCCGGGTGCGGTGGCTCACGCCTGAAATCCCAGCACTTTGGGAGGCCGAGGCAGGTGGGTCACAAGGTCAGGAGATCGAGACCGTCTTGGCTTATTCGGTGAAATCCTGTTTCTACTAAAAACACACACACACAAAAAAATTAGCCACACGTGGTGGCAGGCGCCTGTAGTCCCAGCTACTCGGGAGGCTGAGGCAGGAGAATGGCGTGAACCCGGGAGGCGGAGCTTGCAGTGAGCCGAGATCGCACCACTGCTCTCCATTGCACTCCAGCCTGGCAACAGAGCGAGACTCCGTCTCAAAAAAAAAAAAAAAAAAAAAAAGAGTGACTTTTGGCCAGGCACTGTGGCTCACGCCTGTAATCCCAGCTACTCAGGAGGCTGAGGCGGGAGAATCGCTTGAACCCGGGAGGCGGAGGTTGCAGTGAGCCGAGATCGCACCACTGCACTCCAGCCTGGGTAATAGAGTGTGAGACTCCATCTCAAAAAAAAAAGCAAAAAAGAAAAAAAGTGACTTTCATCTAGCTAATTTAATTCCTAACCAATTTTCTTTTTTGTCCATTCAAATGGTTTATAAATGACTTTTTCCATTTTCATTTTCAATTGAATGATATTATCTTCATCATATCAGTTTAAGTTTTCAGTCCATTTTTCCTGTCTACATGGAATTGCCGACTGCACAAAGAACACATGAGGGCTCTCTCAAGGCCATCATTTCCGCGGAGTCCCATTTCCTGACTCAAATGACAAGCTCTCAACTTTCTACTCAAGATCATTGAAACATCTGTGTTGATTATTTGTAACCGGGATATGCTTTATTTATTAGATAAGAGACTAACCGTTGGTGCGTTGATGAGTTCATCCTTGAGATGTTGTGTGTTGTTCTGTGGCTGAGGATGTGGCCGTGGTGTTGCTGGCCCCACACATCTGCGCGTTTCTGGGTCTTGCACACGCACCCACACTGCAGGCCTTCACTCCCGCGTCCTGCTTTGCTCTGTCCTGCTCTTGCTGTCTTTCTCAGACTTTCCGTTCCAGCAGCGTTTTCCTCCTCTGCAAATGAGATTCTCTTCCTGGTGTCCCAAGGTCAACATCCCCAGTAATTCACTCCTCCTGAGGATGGCTCCAACTCGCTTCTCTGCCCACACCTGCCTTGTGCTTGGATGCATGTGCACACAGAGTCCCTGCCTGACTGTCCCCCTTGTGGCAAGCCCCTGGGTCACTCTGCATGTGGCACCCACAGATGGCGGCAGCAGCCTGTCTGGAGCAGTCACTACATAGACATGCGACACCCACAGATGGCGGCGGCCAGTCTGGAGCAGTCTCTGTATAGACATGCGACGCCCACAGATGGCGGCGGCCAGTCCGGAGCAGTCTCTGCGTGGGCACGCGACGCCCACAGATGGCGGCGGCCCGTCTGGAGCAGTCACTGCGTGGGCATGCGACGCCCACAGATGGCGGCGGCCTGTCTGGAGCAGTCTCTGCATGGGCATGCGACGCCCACAGATGGCGGCGGCCTGTCTGCAGCAGTCTCTGCATAGATATGTGACACGCACAGATGGCGGCGGCCTGTCTGGAGCAGTCACTGTCATGACACCAGCAGCAGTGGGGAGGTGGCGCCGGGGCTGCGTGCTCCACGGAGCTGGTGGGAGCCAGGAACAGGCAGAAGCCACCCACCTTCCAAGCCAGCAGGGAGAGAGCCTTGTGCTCCCCAGGTTCAGTGGCAGCTGCCCAGCCATGGTTCCAGATCTGCGCATTCCTTTGCTCTTGGGGGTGGGAGTGGGCAGGAACCCCATCCTCCTGGGTGCAGGTGCAGCTTCCCAACCATGGCTGAGAAGGGGCTGAGGGCAGCTCCTTGGCACAATCAGCCTGGACGCCATAGATGACGGCAGGAGGCAGAGAGGCTCTTGGGTGGAAAGGGGCAGGTCCACAGTGAAGGCCCACCCTGAAGCCAGGGATGGCCTGAAGCCTGGGAGCTGGGCTGAGGGACCAGAATGGGAACTTATAGTGCTTTGTCCAGGCCCACCCATGGCCGCCCATGAACCAGTCAGCATGCACTTCCTCCCCTCTGAAGCCTATGAAAACCCCAGACTCAGCCAGATTTGAGGAGATGACAGGATGACCTGCCTGCAGAGAGGAGCTACCCACTCCAGGGTCCCCCCTCCGCTGAGAGCTGAGCAGATGCTGGAACTACCAGCTGCAGAGAGGAGCTACCTGCTCCAGGCTCCCCTCTCTGCTGAGAGCTGAGCAGACATTGGGACTGCCAGCTGCAGAGAGGAACTACCCATTCCAGGGTCTCCTCTCTTCTGAGAGCTGAACGCTAGCTGGGATGCCCTGCCTGCGGGGAGGAGCTACCCACTGCGAGTCTCCTCTGAGCTGTTCTGTTGCTCAGTAAATTTCCTGCTGGCCTTGCTCACCCTCTACTTGTGCCCATACCTCATTCTTCCTGGATGCAAGACAAGAACTCGTGACCTGCCAAATGGCAGGGCTAAAAGAGCTGTCACACAAACAGGGCTGAAACACGTCCCTTGCTAACAATGTTGTGAGTGACAAGAAGGAGAGAAGAGAGAGGGAGAGAAGAGCTGTGTCCCTTCGGGAAGCCCAGACCTAAGACCTCCCCAGCCAGGCCTGCGACACCGTCTCTGAGGCTCTGCGGCTCCCGGCGTCTCCAAGTTTCTGGGTGCCCCTGCATTCCCCCGTGCCAGCCATGGAACCTGCTCATGGTGCACCTGGTCCAGCTGCAGCCTCGCAGGGAGCCAGCGCCCCCAGTGGCACCCGAAATGGCCCGCTCTACCATAGCCGGTGTGCCTGGCTGTGCGCAGTGGCCAGACCTCACGATTTCTCCCTCACACACCCCTCGCCACTCCATGCCTGGCAGGTGTGAGATTCATACCAGTAGCATGAGCTGAGCACAGCCTGTCAGGCCAAGTGCACTGAATGAGCCCAGTGGGCCTGAGTAAAAACTTGGGCAAAGGTGCGACTGGCCACAGAGGTTTCCAGCTGGCGAAGCAACACCCCAAGGATCCCGTGACATTGCCACCGAGCCTGGTGCCCCCACCCAGAGCCCGGCGCCCCCACGACACCGCCGCAGAGCCTGGTGCACTCAGAAAGTGTCTGCCAGCCAGGTGCAGTGGCTTGTGCCTGTAATCCCAGCAGTTTGGGAGGCCGAGGTGGGCAGATCACCTGAGGTCAGGAGTTCGAGACCAGCCTGGCCAACATGGCGAAACCCTGTCTCTACTAAAAATATAAAAAGTAGCTGGGTGTGGTGGCGGGCACCTATAGTCCCAGCTACTCAGGAGGCTGAGGCAGGAGAATCACCTGAACCCGGAAGGTGGAGGTTGTAGTGAGCTGAGATTGCACCACTACACTCCAGCCTGGGTGACAGAGCGAGAGTCTGTCTCAAAAAAAAAAAAAAAATAGTGTCTGCTGTGCCCAGGATGGCCCAGGGTGGTCGTGGAACTTGTGGCACATTTTCCTCTTGTGGCTCCCTGAGATGCCCAGGATATGCTAATGAGTAGGATGAGTTTGGCTACCGTGCTGCAATCACCAAAAATTAAACAAAACTCTGCGGGCTTGGGTAATGCGCACACCCTGGGTGTTGGAGGGTAACGGGCGCAGAACTGAGGCTCCACCCAACAGCCGATGTCAACTGATATAACTGGGCAGCACCTACGCTGGCAGCGGTAAACACCTCACAGGTGCAAGGAGCCGCTCCCACTCGAGACACGGGGAAACTGAGGCCCAGAGGGGGCCCTGCTGCCCAAACCACTTGGCAACCCGGCTGGGAGGAGTGGAGTCAGGATTCCACCCCAGCCAAATTTCTCACTCCCTCTGACCTCCAAGTATGCAAAATGAAGCCCACAACACTCGCCAGGTGGGACGTGGATTAAAGACACGAACGGACAGAAACAGGTGTTCCCAAGAGGGGGTCAGCCCTAACTAGGGGGCGTAGCTGAGCCGGCAGGAGCCTTTGTGTCCTCCACGTGGCTCCTGTCGGCCTGTGTGGGGTCTGGCCGCCTCAGGGCTGCCCGCAGCCGGTGGAGCCTCTGCAGGGACCTGGGGCCATCTCTTCCCACCAGCCTGCGGCGTCACCTCCATCCTAAGCGAAGCTGCTGTGGTGTTGGGAGGAGCAGATGGGTCCCCCTTGTACCCTGGGGAATGGCCGTGCCTGCTCTGGCTTTGAAAAGTGGCACCTTTTGAAGGGTCCCTGTCCGTCCACCTCCTTCTTGTCCTCCCCTCCAGCGTCCTGCTCCTTCTGGCAGCCCCACCTCACCCTCAGGCGCAGCTGCTGACCTCCCCAGGCAGGGGTCTGGGCTGAGACCAGGGAGCAATACTCCCCCCGCACTCCTTGAAGCTGGTCCTGCTTGAGCCACTCAAAACCCGAGATTCTCCCCACAGCAGGCACATGGGGGAGGCTGCCCATGCAGGCTGCTGCGGGGGCCGTGACCAGGTTAGGAGCTGGCACGGGGCTCAGAACGGGTGGCCTTCGGCCACCAACAACTGCAGCACCGGCTCCAATTGAAGTTTGTACGTTTAGCCTGCATCCCTCCCCCTGACGACTGAGGGGTTTTCAAGCTCTAGAGCCTGAGTGGGAACCCTGGCAGCTCTGAACTGTAGAGCCAGGCGGGAACAGCGGGGTGGTGAGGTCCTGCTGGAACTTTCCAGAACAGAAACGATAGCGCACCCATGTGAGCCCAGACCCATCCCGTCTTCTCTACTCGGGTCCGCCTGGTGTGAACCATCAGGGGCAGAAACCCGGCAGGAGGTGGGGCAAGAACACAAGGACACAAGCCTTAGAGGCTGGACACTCCAAGTGTCCACTGGAGTGTGGTGTGTACACCCAGGGTCTGAGCCTTGGAGGCTGGAGAACAGCTAGCCTGCGGTGTGGATGCCTGGGGTCCAGGACAGGCAGCAGCCATGTGGAGCTGCGGAGGCCCGAGCCACAGCCTGCCCAGGGATCAGCGCTACCCTCCCCAGGTACAGGCCAAGGGGATCTGTGTCCAGCCTTGTGTGAGGCCCTGTCCACCCCAGTCCTCACCCCCAGCTCCTCCGGCCATGCAGGACACGCCCTCCTGGGCTGTTGGAGCCTCATCACCCTGGGATCTGTGAACACACACCTGAGGGGTCTCCTTGGTCCCTCACACTTCCCATGGGCTCACCCGGGCCCACCCAGACCTCCCCTACCTGTCCAGCAGCTACAGCTCCGGCTGCTGAGGGTGGGGATGAGCAGGTGCGGGTAGGGTGTGCAGAGAGGGACCGGGAGAGCATGGCAGGAGAGCAGAGGTGGAATGGGTGGAGCAGAGGGCAGGCATGGGGGCAGTGGGCGGGATGAGTGAAGCAGTGGGTGGGGCAGGTGGAGCAGGGGGTGGGCACGGTGGGGGGGCAGGGGACAGGGGTGGAACACGGGGGCAGGGGTGGGTCATGGGGGCAGAGGGTGGAATGCGGGGTCAGTGGGGTGAGGCATGGTACAGGGGGTGGGGCATGGGGGCAGTGGGTGGGGTCAGGGGTTGTACAGGGGGTGGGGCATGAGGGTCAGTGGGCAGGGTGGGTGGAGCAGGGACCTGGCATGGGGGCAGGAGACAGGGGGTGGAACACCAGGGCAGTGGATGGAGTGGGGGATGGAGCAGGGGGAGGGCATGGGGGCAGTGGGTTGGGTGGGTGGTAAGGGGAGAGGGAACTTGGCAGTAGGCAGGATGGGTGGTAAGGGGGCAGGGCACGGGGGCAGTGGGTGGGGCTGGTGGTAAGGGGGCAGGGCATGGGGGCAGTGGGCAGGGCAGGTGGCAAGGGGGCAGGGCACGGGGGCAGTGGGTGGGGCTGGTGGTAAGGGGGCAGGGCACGGGGGCAGTGGGTGGGGCAGGTGGTAAGGGGGCAGGGCACGGGGGCAGTGGGTGGGGCTGGTGGTAAGGGGGCAGGGCATGGCAGCAGTGGGTGGGGCCATGGGCGGGGCTGTGGCGGGAGCCCTGTGTGAAAATGGGTTTTGTCTTCAGGGCTCTGGTACATCTGGGCCATCCATGAGGTTACAGTTTTGCTTAAGATACGTTTTCTTTCTTTCTTTTCTTTTCTTTTTTTTTTTTTTTTGAGACAGAGTCTTCCTCTGTCGCCCAGGCTGGAGTGCAGTGGTGCGATCTTGGCTCACTGCAACCTCTGCCCCCTGGGTTCGAGCGATTCTCATGCCTCAGCCTCCCGAGTAGCTGGAAATACAGGCACCTGCCACCACGGCCGGATAATTTTTGTATTTTTAGTAGAGACGGGGTTTCACCATCTTGGCCAGGCTGGTCTTGAACTCCTGACCTCGTGATCCACCCGCCTCGGCCTCCCAAAGTGCTCGGATGACAGGCGTGAATCACCGCGCCCGGCCAAAATAGGTTTTCTTTCTATAGCAGAAGAGCAGCTGGCCCCCTGGCTGTGAATGCTTCGTGAGTCATCAGCTAACATACATCCAAACTGCTCAGCTGTTAGTTTCTATTTACTTCTTGACAGCAGAGGAGAGAAAAAAGAAGAGTTAATTGCAATGCTCAAGTGCCTGGCTTTCAGGGAAATATGGTCAGTGTCTTTTTACAGTTCCTCAGTCTATTTTTGTCTAGGCATCAGAGAATGAAACTTAAGAAAGAAATGCTTTCCAATAGTCCGATGGTATAAAAATGTCACATTATGTAAAAAAATTCCTTGTGTATTGCCTAGAGGTGGCAGGTGTTCCTCCTTGCCTCCACCTACCACAGCAGGGCCCCCCAAGCCCCACAACCATGCTGTAGGCCAGAGACCGCCGACTGATGCGGCAAAACACCCACTGCAGGGCAAACTGCAGAATGAGTTCTTGCTGCAAAAACACAACCCACGTCTGGCAGTTCCTCAAACCATCGAACGGAGAGCTACCGCATGATCCAGCAATTCTACTCCTACGTATATGCCCAGGAGAAATTCAAACACACATCCACGCAGAGGCTCGTATACAGTGTTCACAGCAGCTCAACCTACAGTGGCCAAGAGACGAAGCCACTCAAGTGTCCATCAAGGAAAGAACGGATGGACACCATGCGGCATTTCCATACAATGATATTATTCAGCCAGGGCCGAGCACAGTGGTTCATGCCTGCCATCCCAGCACTTTGGGAGGCCGAGGCAGGTGGATCATGATGTCAGGAGTTTGAGATCAGCCTGGCCAAGATGACGAAACCCTGTCTCTACTAAAAATACAAAAATTAGCCCGGCCTGGTAGCACGTTCCTGTAATCCCAGCTACTCGGGAGGCTGAGGCAGGAGAATCACTTGAACCCGGGAGGCAGAGGTTGCAGTGAGCCAAGATCACGCCACTGCACTCCAGCCTGAGTGACAGAGCGAGACTCCGTCTCAAAAAAGAAAAAAAAGAAAGAAAGAAAAAATAATTACAAAAAATTATCAGGGCATGGTGGCACGTGCCTGTAATCCCAGCTACTTGGGAAGCTGAGGCAGGAGAATCTCTTGAACTCGAGAGATGGAGGCTGTAGTGAGTCAAGATTGTGCCATTGCACTCCAGCCTGGGCAACAGAGCGAGACTCCGTCTCAAAAAAAAAAAAAAAAAAAAAAGGGAGTCCTTCTTCTTTTTTTTTTTTTTTTTGAGACAGAGTCCTGTTCTGTCTCCCAGGCTGGAGTGCAATGGCGTGATCTCGGCCCACTGCAACCTCTGCCTTCTGTGTTCAAGTGATTCTCCTGCCTCGGCCTCCGGAGTAGCTGGGATTACAGGCATGAGCCACCACACCCAGCTAATTTTTGTATTTTTAGTAGAGATGGGGTTTCACCATGTTGGCCAGGATGGGCTTGAACTCCTGACTTCAAGTGATCTGCCCACTTTGGCCTCCCAAAGCGCTGAGATTCCAGGCCTGAGCCACTGCGCCCAGCCCTAAAACGTAGGCGCTTCTGACGCACGCTACAACACGGATGAAACTGGAGGGCATTATGCTCAGTGAAATAAGCCAGCCACAGAAAGACAATACTGTGTCATTCCACTTATACGAGGTCCCTAGAGTTGTCAAATCTGTAGAGACAGGACGTAAATGATGTTGTAGGGGTCAGGGGAGGACGGAGAGCTGACATTTGGTGGGACCGAGGTTCTGTCTGGGGAGATGGAGAAGACCTGGAGATGGAGGGTGGTGACGGCTGCGCCGCGGTGTGAATGTGCTTGATGCCCCTGGACGCTGCACTGGAAAAGGGTGATAGTAAGTTTCATGTCGCCTACATTTTACCACCATTTAAAGATCCAAACAGGCCGGGCACAGTGGCTCATGCCTGTAATCCCGGCACTTTGGCAAGCCAAGGCAGGTAGATCACTTGAGGTCAGGAGTTCGAGACCAGCCTGGCCAACACAGAGAAAACCTGTCTCTACTAAAAATACAAAAATTAGCCGGGTGTGGTGGCTCATGCCTGTAATCCCAGCTACTTGGGAGGCCGAGGCAGGAGAATCACTTGAACACAGGAGGCAGAGGTTGCGGTGGGCCGAGATCGCGCCATTGCACTCCAGCCTGGGAGACAGAGCGAGACTCCATCTCAAAATAAATAAAATAAAATAAAAACCAAACAAGGCTGGGGCTGCGCTGCAGTGCTGACCAGCTCCAGCGAGGGAGGCCGAGGCAGGACAGTGACCAGCACGGTTTCTCTGAGTCCCTGTTTCCTCAGGCAGCAGCAGGAATGATAACCTCCACCTCTCAGGGTTTCTGGGAGGCGAACGTGGGTGAACCTCGGATGCCCTGAGATGGTCACTACCCGTCGGCCCCAGGCCGGATGCTTCTGGATCCTCCCTTGCCCCCAGCCCCGCTGTCCCCGTGGCCATCCTCTCCACTGCATGCTGGGCTACGGCAGACACCCCGGCCCGGTGGACACAGCAGTCACAGCTGCCCAGGAGATGCCGGCGGGAGCCACCAGGACGGAGCCCAACCTTGGGAACACGCCTTGCAGTGTGGGGACAGGATGAGGCTCTCGGGAGAGAGGCTGCCACATGGAAATCAAATTTCTGTCAACCAGTGCTCTTCAACTGTTGGGAAGGGCAGCACCCCCCACTTTGACAATTCTGGGAGCATTTCTGATTGTTGTAGGAGGTGGCAGTGTTGCTGGCATCTAACGTACGGGGGCCAGGACACTGCCCAACACCCCACAGTGCTCAGGTGCACCCCAACCAAGAACCCTCGGCCCCACGCATCCACGGGCTGGGTTGGAGACACCCTCGCTTAGTGCTGAGGGCCATCCAAGGGCCCCTGGACCAGAGGCCGAGGGACAGCCGCACCCACCTCCCTGCCCAGGCTCTAATGGGGTGGGCTCCACATTCCACAACTTGCTTCCACCCTCGGTGGTGCCCAGGTCCCCCCCCCACCATGGGCCCTATTGTGGACCAAATGTTTGTGTGCCCCCAGATTAATCTACTGGAACTGTACCTGCAAAGTGATAGTCTTTTATGGACCAAATGTTTGTGTGCCCCCAGATTAATCCACTGGAACTCTACCTGCAAAGTGATAGTCTTTGAAGATGGGGACTTTGGGCTCCCGTCTTTGGACTCTGCAGCTGCAGACCAGTCCTGCATCCTCACTGTCCCCGATCCACACCTGCAGGGCCAGATGGCCCATGGCAACGAGAATGACGGAGCCACTTCTTCCAGGGTTCCACCGACTCAAGACCAGCTCAGACCCATCCCCATGCACAGCGCGCCCTGCCTGGCTCCGAGGGGTGGGAGGTGGTTCATTAAGAGGCTGCACGGTGGTGAGCACGAGACGGGAGTGAAGAGGTTTGGGTCGGGGATTTGGGTTGTCCTGAGGACAGACCACCCACCTGCCTGAGCCCCCCATTTCCTATGAGTGCAGGACTCATTCCTATGAGTGTAGGAATGCTGAGGGGCATGTCGGGATGACAGGCAGGGTCGGGGGAGTGTCCCAGGAAAGGCCCGAGGCTGCACATCTCAGCCCTCACTGACCCAGCACGTCCGGCCTCAGCTGTGTCTGGAAACGCGCCGGATGCCTGCAGAGAGCCCACACTCCCCTGGGCATGGTCGTGGTCTCAAGTTGTTAGAACGTCACCCTCACATAAATGGGAGGTGAACGCACGTTAGGTTCACCCGGGTCATGAGTGGGGGGCCCGGAAAGACTCAGGAGCTGGCTGGAGACGTTCCTGAAAGCCCCGATTCTGCAGCCGGTGGAAGCAGCAGTGACACAGAATTGCTAAGTCAGACGCCAGGCTGCTGGGTCCACAGGACCAAAACCGCTGGGCCAGGCAGGGTCACGTTTTCCGTTTTCTACAAGTTCACTACAAACCTTCCAGGGCTGCACAGTCAGTGTGGAGGAGAAGTCAAAGTTCACTCCCCGGGGAGGTGTGGCAGCATTGCCCTGTGGTCAGCCCCGCCCTGGAGGCGACAGGTGTGTCCACTGATGGTTCTGATGGGACCAGGGCAGAGGGGCTTCCTGCCGGAGCTGTCGACCCCCGGGTGGAGTCCTGAAGGACCCAGGGGCGCTGACCCAGTGAGAAGGGCCACGCACGTGCAAAACGGGGGCCTGGTTTTTTCAGGTGCTGGAGTGGCATGGAGTATTCCAGAAACACATCGTCTGGTGTCCTCAGCAAAACAGCTGAGAAGAGCAGACGTGGGCTGTGCCCTCACATGGGGCAGGAGCAGAACACAACAGGGCCATGAGCTCAGCGGTGCCAGGAGGCGCAGCCAGTGTGAGTAGGGCACGTGGGCTCCGCCGGACTGCAGTAGAGGTGGGGGTGTGAAGAGGTCAGGTGAGGGTTGGGTAGGGGTCAGGTGGGGGTCGGATAAGAGTGGAGGATTGGGTGAGAGTCAGGTTGGAGGTGCAGGTCGGGTGGGGTCAGGTGAGGGGTGAGGATAGAGTGAGAGGTGGGGGTCAGGTTTGAGGTGGGGGTGTGAAGAGGTCAGGTGAGGGTTGGGTGGGGGTCGAGTGGGGGTTGGGTGAGAGGTGGGGGTCGAGTGAGAGGTGGGAGTTGGGTGGGGGTTGGGTGAGAGGTATGGTGAGAGGTGGGGGTTGAGCGGGGGTCAGGTTTGAGGTGAGGGTCAGGTGGGGGTCAGGTTTGAGGTGGGGTTTGGGGGGAGTCAGGTGAGACAATAAGGTGGGGCCTGAGGGGTCTCAAGGGTGGATGGAGAAGCGCCCCAAGCACTCATCCTGGGTCTCTTATGTCCCAGCCACGGCCAGCAGCCATCCCCGAACCCTCCCTGCTGTGCCCAAAGGGCAGAGCCAGTGCCCGGGGCCCTCACCCGCTGGGAAGACCAGAGACCACAGGGCTGGAAGGCGGACGCAGGCTTCCCCTATGAGCACTCGGAAGGCACGTGCTGTCTCCCGTCGGGGGTGGGCGCTGGTGCAGCCATGTTTGGAGAGATCCCCTCCCACTTAGTTCTCAAAGTGGGGTTCCTGGAGCTGTAGCATCACCACCATCTGTAACCACGTTGCAAATGCAGATTCCTGGGCCCCCAGTGCTGAATGGGAGCCTCTGGGTGTGGCCGCTGTGCCCTGCTCCAGCGTGGGAACCACTGGCGGGGGGCTCTGCTTCTGAAGGGAAGAGGGGACTGTGTGAGGGGCAGCGGTGCAGGGGTCCCGTAGTGCAGGGGAGAGCAGAGAGGGGCCTGGCGACGGCCTCTGCCTCGCCCACCAGCCTCATCCAGCTGTGACCTTGTTGCCTCTGCCCCCGCTGGCCCTCCCGGCTGGAAGCTGCGTCATCTGCTGGGGTTTCAGTTCCGTGCGCTCAGAGGACGCACTAAGATGCAGAGATGCGGGGCCCCAAGCATGATGAGACCCCCAATGTAGTTGATTCACCCGGAGGTGGGCACTGATCCCCACTGGGGAATTCCCTTATATGGGAATTTGGGGATCAGACCTGAGAGTGAGTGAGGCCGTTCTCTCTCCAAGGGGTGAAACCTGGGGGCCATGTTTTCTCCTGTGAGGAGGGAGCCCCTCTGCAGCGACAGGAAGACCAGCGGGCACCGTGGGAGGAACAAAGGCGGCAGGTGGGCCGGCCTCGCCGGCACTGGGTCCCTGGCTCAGCTACTTCCAGGCCGGCCACACCTGGCCCTTCCCACAGCACAGCCGGTCAGCCCTTCCCAGCTCACAGGAGACACTCCCAACCATCCTTCCATAAAATCGACATCGTGCTTAGGCTGGTTCAAGTTGCATTTCCACTGTTTGCACATCACAGACGGAACTATTTTAAAAATGAAAAACATGTTAGCCTTCAAGCTAAATTTGGAAGAAGAAAAAAGAAAAATGCCCCCTCCCTGTGCCCCCTCCGTGGGAAAATGCTGAAATAGATATTATGTGAATTACTGAGGCTGGTTTAACTTCCAGCAACAGAAAATCCATCTGGAGGTGGCACCAGGGAGCTGCTCTGTATCACAGGACAGGAGGCTCGTGGGTGGGCCCACAGTGCCCAGACGCTGAGAGGAGACTTGGAGTCTGCGTTCCTGTTTGCGAACCCCCAGCAGACGCCCTCACATCTCACTGCTGGAGTCTCCTCGTGGGCCACACCTACATGGTCACAGGCAGGAGTTGGCAGGAGCACAGGCATGGCTCAGAGCAGCAGTTTTCACAGTGGGGCCCATGGGCCCCCACAGGTCTCTGAGACCCTTTCATGGTCCTATTGGATTAGAGCCCACCCTACGGACCTCCTCCTAACCTGATTACATCTGCAAAGACCAAAGTATTTCCAACTAAGGTCACAGTCACAGCTTCCAGAGGGTGTGATTTCAATAAATCTTTTTAGGGACTCCATTCAACCCAGACAACCAAAACTTCATACGTGGTGAACCTTTGTCTCCTGTTTTCTCACGACTGCAGACAAGCCTAAACAAGATGACTTTTTTTTTTTTGAGACGGAGTCTCGCTCTCTCACCCCAGCTGGAGTGCAGTGGCACGATCTTGGCTCACTGCAAGCTCCGCCTCCCTGTTTCACGCCATTCTTCTGACTCCCAAATAGCTGGGACTACAGGCGCCTGCCACCACGCCCGGCTAATTTTTTTGTATTTTTAGTAGAGACGGGGTTTCACCGTGTTAGCCAGGATAGTCTCGATCTCCTGAACTCGTGATCCACCCGCCTTGGCCTCCCAAAGTGCTGGGATTACAGGCTTGAGCCACCGCGCCCGGCCTTTTTTTTTTTTTTTTTAAGATAGCATCTCACTCTGTTGCCCAGGCCGGAGTCCAGTGGTGTGACAGCGGCTCACTACAACCTCTGCCTCCTGGGTTCAAGCAATTCTCCTGCCTCAGCCTCCTGAGTAGCTGGGACTACAGGCTAGCGCCACCGTGCTCAGCTAATTTTTGTATTTTTAGTAGAGATGGGGTTTTGCTACGTTAACCAGGCTGGTCTCGAACTCCTGACCTCAAGTGATCCACCCACCTTGGCTTCCCAAAGTGCTGGGATTACAAGCATGAGCCACCACGCCCGGCCTCACCTCCACCTTCTGATGACATTTTACTCGTGGAGAAGCATCAGTAAATGTTCCTTTCATTCCTTCTGCCCACAGAGGCCTAGTCTCCAGAGCAGCCCCAGATCATGGGTGGGTGGATGTTCAAGGAGATTTCAGCGTGGCCACAGGGAGGAATGTTCCGATGATCCGAGATGGACAGGTCTGGAAGCCTGGCTCTGAGTTGGGCAGAAGGTAGGCTAGTGCTGTCCAGACACCTCCACCCTCTGCCTGGACTTTACACATGTACTGAAACTGGGGAGGAGGAAGAGGTATCCCACCACAGGACTGTCCCTCAGGAAACTGGGGGCCCTGGTGGGAGGAAACCTGCTTTGGCTGTAGAAATAAACACCTCTGTTTGGTGAAAGCAATGTTTGGGGCAAGAAGATGGACACCATATCTGAACACAGCCCTCTTCTGACGTGGTTATTTTACCTGGCCCTCCAGGTGGGAGTGGCCATGTTCCAGCTCAGCCAAGGCCAGCTTGGAGGTGACAACTAGGAGGTGGTGAGGACCTTCTGTGGGGCAGGAGAAGAGCAGACAAGGGCTCCCCCATCACCTGTCCTCTGTAGGAAGTGGTCTGGCCACCCCTCTCCATGCCCCACCGTGAACACTGCTGGACTGCTGGGTGTGACCCCGAGGGTGGGCTGGGGGCCTCCTGACCCCTATTGTACAGTGAGTCTGGATGTGTAGGTGGGGAGCGAGCAAAAGAAGGTACCCTTTCCTCACTAGGTAATAGCCATGTGACCCACAGCTGATTGGAACATGGAGACTGAGGGTTAGGGATGGGAAGGAAACTCCCCTGAATTCTTTTTGGCAGAGTGGTGGGGCTGGGGACTAAATGCCATCTTTCTCATAGTTTTCTAGCGTCCACCTTCCATCCTCTTTTCTTCCTCTGACCTTCCTTCTAAAAAAAAACAGTGCTGCAATCCCAGCATTTTGGGAGGCCGAGGTCGATCACTTGAGGTCAGGAGTCAAAGACCAGCCTGGCCAACATGGCAAAATCCCATCTCTACTAAAAATGCAAAAATTAGCTGGGTGTGGTGGCACATGCCTGTAATCCTAGCTACTTGGGAGGCTTGAATCCAGGAGGTGGAAGTTGCAGTGAGCCAAGATTACATCACTGCACTCCAGCCTGGGCAACAGAGCAAGACTCTGTCTCAAAAAAAAAAAAATGTGGCTGCATTAGTAACTAAAGCAACTAATCAACCAATGAATAACAGGTGTTGCAAACTAAATTGGCATTCCAAAGTAAACATTTTCTAGGTCCAAATGAATGCAAATGACAAATATAATAATCTTGACTTCAGTCTCTTTTGTAATTCTTCTTCCGCTCCCTCTTCTGTTCCTCCCCCACAAAAAACTTCTAATGGGGTCTAGAGCAGTTCCCTACACAACGCAGGGTGGAGGGGATGAAGTAGTGGGGGCATTATCCTTCTTCTTGGACGGAGCTCGCCCTTTGCCTGCTGCCTGAATTCTGCACCAAATAAACCAATGTGCACCTGGTGAGACCCTCAGAGCGAAGGGCAGACCTCGGCCTGGCAACCCTTGCTCTCTAGAGCAGAGGAGAAGCCAAAAGGCTGGAGGGTCCCACCCAATGCTCTCCTCCAGCACGCACGCAAACACATGCATGGATGCACAAACAAGCGCACGCACACATAGGAGCGCATGCATAGAAGCAGCACACGCAGACACACACATGCAAAGATGCCTGCAAAGGCACACATGCACACGCACATACATGTGCAGACACCTGCAGAGGCACACATGCACACGCAGACACACAGATGTGCAGACATCTGCAGAGGGACACATGCACACGCACATACATGTGCAGACACCTGCAGAGGGACACATGCACACGCAGACACATAGATGTGCAGACACCTGCAGAGGGACACATGCACACGCAGACACATACATGTGCAGATATCTGCAGAGGCACACATGCACACGCAGACATGCACACACACGAACACATGCACACGTACACAGGCGCATGTGCACACACAGGCATTCAGGCACGCCGCGTAAATGGGGCAACGACGAGGCCCTGGATGAACCGTGGGGAGAGACCGCGAGCCTGGATTCTACGGCGACAGGGACTCCTCCGGCGAGGCGGCCTGCGGGGGCCTTCCGGCCGCGTCCGCCAACTGGACCGACCCCGAGCCCCACCCGGCCAGGCACCCGAGGTCTCCCTGGTGGGCAGGTGGGGAGGCCCCACGCTGGGACCCTGCACCGCCCCTCGCCCCTCCCGACTCGGGGCGTGCAGACCCGACGACCGTGGGAGCGAGTTCGTGGCGCTCACGGGCGCACGCGAGAGTGTAAACACCCGGCCCCACCCCCTGATCGCCCCCACCCCGCCCCGCCATTGGCTGCGGGAGCAGAGTCCCCGCCTCCTGCTTGTTCTGGCTCCGCCCCTGCCCCGTCTCCGGGCCTCCATTGGCTGTGGTGACAGCGACCTTTCAGGAGGGGCGGGTGGGCGACAGCCCGGAGGCGGTGACGAGAGTAAGATGGACGGACAACCAAGCCAGTGAAAGCGCGCAGCTGCCCTAGCAACTGCGGTCCACCAATGGCGGGGCCGGGCGGGGATGCGCGCTGTCAGCGCTGGGCGGCGGGGCGGGGCCGGAGGCGAGCAAGGACTCGGGGCCCGCGCGGCGCCTCTCGGGGCCGGGCCGCCGCCTCTGCGCTCAGCCCCGCAGGCCGGGCATGGGTGGGGGCGCCGGGCCGTCACGATGAGCGCCCTGGGCAGCCCGGTCCGGGCCTACGACTTTCTGCTCAAGTTCCTGCTGGTGGGCGACAGCGACGTGGGCAAGGGCGAGATCCTGGCGAGCCTGCAGGATGGCGCGGCCGAGTCCCCGTACGGCCACCCGGCGGGTGAGCGCGGGCGGAGGGCGTGCCGGGGTGCGGGCGCGGGGCCGGGGAGGGGCGCGGGGCTGGGGAGGGGGTGCGGGTGGGGGTCCGGGTCCGGGGACGCGAGACCGGGCAGGGGTCGGGAAGAGGCCGGGGCGCGTGGCCGGGGAGGGTAGGAGTCCCGGTCCGGGGGCGCGGGGCTGAGGAGGAGCGCGGTTCGCGGGCGGGCCTTTCTCCGCCCGGCCCTGGCCCTCGTGCTGCGGCGTCCCTGTTGCACCCCCAGTTCCACTCGAGGCCCCGCGGCGCAGTCTCCATCCTTCTCCGCAGTCTGCGCGCAGCGGGAGCCCGCGGCTGGGCCGGGCGCTGGGCTCCTCCCGACCTGGGGCCGCTGCTGTGGGGACCCGGGGCGGGGGCTCGAGTCCGCAAGTGCGCGTTCGGCCGCGGGGCAGGAGGGGCGGGAGGGGACGCGAGCTCCGGGGCTCCTGGGGCGGAGCGCGGCGAGCAGGCGCCCAGGTGCTGGGTCTGCGCGTGGGTCGGAGGGGAGGGGAGACCAGGGTCCGGTCCCGAGGCCAGGGGTCCCGCGTGTCCGGGGGAGAGGAAGGAGCACAGGTGACTCGCGTGCGGAAGAGGGGACCCCCCACGACAGCGGCCGGAGAGCGGGTTCCAGGGCGAGGGGAGGCCGGAGCGCCCAGAGCTCCCAGGCAGGCAGCCCGGGGATCCCCCAAGTTTGAGGCTTGAAAGCCGGCGCCCGGCGAGGGGGTGGACGGCTCCGGGGAAAGAAAGGCGGGGGCAGGAACCCAGGAGAAGGGGGAACGCGCAGAGGCGAACACCTCGGCTGGGAGTGAGGAGCAGGCGGGGCCTTCACCCACGCGCATCCCTGGAACAGCTTGGACGAGGCCGACCCTGAGGCTGTGGAAGGAGCCCAGCCTGTGCCCACCTTCCTGCCGCGCCTCGGGGCTGAACCCACGCTTCCAACAGAGACCCGCTCTGAGTCCTGGGCGGAGGAGGGCAGCCGGGCGTGGAGATGGAGTCTTGGTGGGAAGGACCTGTCAGCTCTGGGGCCTGGGAAGGGTCTGGGAAGCCCCAGGTCCAGGGTCCTGCCAGAGACGAACTTAGCGGGAGAGGGTGGGAGGAAGCGGGATCTGAGGCTGCTCGGTAGAGGGTGCAGGCTGTCCCCTAAGGGCAGCTCCAGGCAGGCGGCGTGAGCACCAAGGGAGTGTGGCACGGCTGGAGGGGGTGGCCTGAGACTGTGGAGCGTGGGGTGGGACTCAGGTGCCCGGCCACACCTCAGCTTAGGGGACGGGGTGAGGAATGGGCAGAGTTTGGGGGAGCAGCTGAGATGGGCTTGGGCTCACGACCAGCACCCAGAGGCCTCCTGAAACTGCAGCATGCGGGGGAGTCTCTGGCAGCTGGTGGGTGCAGAGTGTGCTCCGTGGGGCAGGAGGGGAGCCTGCGTCTCTACCTGTCCCCAGGCGCCGCTGCCCCCGCATGTCCTACCCCCCTCCCCGCTCGGTGGCAGGTCTCTAGGACCGTGGTGTCCAGTAGGATGCCATGAGCCACGTGTGGCTGTGGAAGTGTAATTAGAAGGAAAGAAAACAAAAAGCTTCCATTCGTCACATTTCTAGATAGTTCGGATGTCGCTGTGGCAAAGTCCGAGGGCCAGCGCTGCCCTGGAGATTGAGCGCCTGGAGGACAGGGCTGGAGATTGAGCGCCTGGAGGACAGGGCTGGAGATTGAGCGCCTGGAGGACAGGGCTGGAGATTGAGCGCCTGGAGGACAGGGCTGGAGATTGAGCGCCTGGAGGACAGGGCTGGAGATTGAGCGCCTGGAGGACAGGGCTGGAGATTGAGCGCCTGGAGGACAGGGCTGGAGATTGAGCGCCTGGAGGACAGGGCTGGAGATTGAGCGCCTGGAGGACAGGGCTTTGTCTGCACTGTGCCCTCGGGGTCTGGGCTCAGTGAGGGATGAACCCTACCAGAGCTACAGGAATAAAGCACCCAACAACGTGTACGCCCAGACGAATATGGCGCTTTAAGAGCTGTGCGTGTTTTGGGGGAGCAGACGGTTGACAGTGTTGAGTTTGATTGAAGGTGAGTGCCGTGGGGCGTGTGTGAGAAGGGTCACGCACAGAATGTTTGTGAAACTTCCTTCTGGTTGGTTTGAATGGAGGCTCGGGGATGCTTCTGCTGCGTGACTTTTGGTTGCTACATGCCGAACTGAGGACGAACCAAAACAATGGTCCAATGCTTTGTAATAAAGGCTTTCCCTTGACACGGAGGGAGGATTTAGGCTAAAAATACACCTCCCACCGGGCCGGGGGCGGTGGCTCACACCTGTAATCCCGGCTTTGGGAGGCCAAGGCGGGCGGATCACCTGAGGTCAGGGGTTCGAGACCAGCCTGATCAACATGGAGAAACCCTGTCTCTACTATAAATACAAAAATTAGCCGAGCATGGTGTCACATGTCTGTAATCCCAGCTACTCGGGAGGCTGAGGCAGGAGAATTGCTTGAACCCGGGAGGCGGAGGTTGCAGAGATCGCACCATTGTACTCCAGCCTGGGCAACAAGAGCGAAATTCTGTCTTAAAAAAAAAATCCCATCAAGAGCTTTATTGTCTACTTGGCCTGAGCTGCTGTAGAAAAAACTGATATCACGGGTGTACCCTTGCAGGTTTTTGATTTACCAAATATTTGTTTTAGAGTTAAGAAAAGATATTCTGAAAAATAGTAAGAAGTTGAGATCATTATGTTTTGTTTTTTATTTTTTCAGAGACAGGGTCTTCTCTGCCGCCCAGGCTGGAGTGCAGTGGTGTGATTGCAGATCACTGCAGCCTTGACCCTCCTGGGTTCAAGCCATCCTCCTTTTTTGGCCTCCTCAAATGCTGAGATTATAGGCCTGAGCCACAGCACCTGGCCATGTTTTTTTTTTTTTTTAATGACATGTTTCGCTGAGAAACACTATAGGTGCTTGTTATTGAAAGGTGAGGGCAGCCGGGCGCAGTGGCTCACAGCTGTAATCCCAGCACTTGGGGAGGCCAAGGTGGGCGGGTCATGAGGTCAGGAGTTTGAGACCAGCCTGGTCAACATGGTGAAACCCTATCTCTACTAAAAATACAAAAATTAGCTGGGCGTGGTGCCGCGTGCCTGTAATCCCAGCTACTTGGGAGGCTGAGGCAGGAGAATCGCTGGAACCCAGGAGGTGGAGGGTGAAGTGAGCTGAGATCACACCATTGCACTCCAGCCCAGCGACAGAGTGAGATTTTGTCTCGAAAAAAAAAAAAGAAAGAAAGAAAGAAAGAAAGATGAGGGCGTTCGTAACTCCACACTCCATTTCCCTCCACCCAATTCCTCCTGAGTTTTGTAGCCCAGGCTGTTATTTTTATATTGTCCAGGTTTATAGCCCTTGCTTCTGTATTGTGGCTGTAGTGCCCGCAATGATTTAGTATCAATTCAACATTTAAATACAGTCAGTGCTCACCAAAGTCCTTTTACCATTTATGTCTCTGTTCATTGTGCTGTCCCTCTTAATCACCTAGATTTCATTATCAGTCGTTTTTTCAGAAGGACTCGAGTATTTCCTGAGTGTTTTTTTGTGTCTGAGAATGTCTGCCCATGGTCTTTATCTTTGAACAATGTAGAGATATCTTGGCTGGGTATAATACTCTTAGATTTATTTTCTTCCCCAACACTTTGCAGCTGTCATTCCACCATCCCCTGGCTCACATGTGCTGTGGGGAAGCCTGAGGTCAGCTGATTTTTCCCCATGTGGAGGCTTGTCCTTCCCTTCATGAATTTCTGAGGAATTCTTTCTTTTTGTCTCATAGTTCTTCTGCTTAACCAGACCATGTCTCAGAGTTGAATGTTTGTGTTAAACTTTTAGTATGAACGTACTCTTTGAGTTTCCAGGTGTGTGTGTGTATGTGTGTGTGTATGTATTTTTTTTTTCTTAGATGTAGTCTCAATCTGTTGCCCAGGTTGGAGTGCAGTGGTGTGATCTCACCTCACTGCAACCTCCACCTCCCAGGTTCAAGTGATTCGCCTGCTTCAACCTCCCAGGTAGCTGGGATTACAGGTGCCTGCCACCACACTGGGCCAATTTGTTTTTGTATTTTTAGTAGAGACGGGGTTTCCATGTTGGCCAGGGTGGTCTCGAACCCCTAACCTCAGGTGATCTGCTTAGCTCAGCCTCCCAAAGTGCTGGGATTACAGGTGTGAGCCACAGTGCGCGGCCTGAATTTTTCTGATTATCTTATGCCTTTCCTATTTGTTGGTAATTTTGATTTCAGTAAACTGTTCTAGCTGTTTCTAACTTATTGATTAGTTCAGTAAAGATGTTATTTTTGTCTCCTAATTTTCTCTTAGTTTTGGAGTTTTCCTTTTTTTTTTTTTTTTTTTTGAGATGGAGTCTCGCTCTGTTGCCCAGGCTGGAGTGCAGTGGCACGATCTCAGCTCACTGCAACCTCTGCCTCCCAGGTTCAAGCGATTTTCCTGTCTCAGCCTCCTGAGTAGCTGGGACTACAGGTGTGCGCCACCACGCCTGGCTAATTTTTGTATTTTTAGTAGAGACGGGGTTTCACTTTGTTAGCCAGGATGGTCTGGAACTCCGGGCCTAAGGTGATCTGCCCGCCTCGGCCTCCCAAAGTGCTGGAATTACAGGCGTGAGCCACTGCGCCTGGCCAATGTGCACTTCTGTGACTGTGTCTCTGGCCCCCGTTATGTGAAAGAGACTCTCCCATGTTGTGTGAGGCTGTGGGGTGTTAATTCTCATGGTGGTGACATCCCTTTTGTGACTCTACCGTGATTTATTCTCCATCCTGCGGGTGACGGGCATTTGGGTGGTTTCAGGTTTCTGACTATTATGGTTTGTTCTGCCATGAACATTCCTAGTACACATCCTTTGCATTTCTGTTGAAAGGTCCCTATGCGTGTGAATCGCTGGGTATCAGGCACGCAAATGTCTGCACAGGTTTCCCTGTAGTAGATTCTCGCAAAGCATTTTTCACTTGGTGCTCCCACCAGCAAAGCTGGAGGCCCCGGCTGCATCATCTTCCCTCTCAGCACGGGGCTGTCTCTGTCCTTCTGTGGTGTGTAGTTTGCCTTTGCATTTCTCTGATGACTGAGCACCTTTTCATACGTCTATGCGAAATTCCTCTTTGGAAAAATGCCCAAGTCGGCCGGGCCTGGTGGCTCACGTCTGCAATCCCAGCACTTTCAGAGGCCGAGGCGGATGGATCACCAGAGGTCAAGAGTTCGAGACCAGCCTGGCTAACTTGGTGAAACCCCATCTCTACTAAAAATACAAAAAAAAATTAGCCAGGTGTGGTGGCGGGCACCTGTATTCCCAGCTACTCGGGAGACTGAGGCAGGAGAAGCACTTGAACCCGGGAGGCGGAGGTTGCAGTGAGCTGAGATCGCACCACTGCACACCAGCCTGGGCAACAGAGTGGGACTCTGTCTCCAAAAAAAAAGAAAAAAAATAGAAACAGAAAGAAGAAAAATGCCCAAGTCTTATGTCTGTTTTTTCATTTAGGTTGAATTTCTTTCAATGCTTGCTAGGAGTGTTTAAAATATAGATTCTGGCTGTGAGTCCTTTGTCGGCTGTGTGATCCTGGATAGCCACTCTCATCTGCACGTCACCTTTCCACTCCTTCAGTGGTATTTTTGGATGAACAGAAGCTCTTAATTTTAACATAATCCAAATTATCAGTGTTTTGTGGTTAGGACTTTGGGTCCTGTTGAACAAACCTTTGCTGCTCCCAGATTTAAAAAAAAAATGTTCTCTACAAGCATCGTTTTACCTTTGACATGAATGGCTGCCTCCAGCTGGGGTGAGGCCTGAGGCAGGGATCGAGACACACTTTTTTCAGTCGGATGCCCCCCACCCCCACCCCGCATCGCACGGCCACCGTTGTCCCAGCTGAGAGCCCGCCTGTGGGTCTGGGTCTGCACCGTTGGCCCGCCTGTCTCTTGTGTGTGTGCCCCGGGTCAGACTCTGTCTTCTGTGGATGGGCATGCCCTGTGCTGGCCAGGGCAGTCAGATGCATCTTGTCCTTGCTCAGGCAGCTGTGCCCAGGTGTTCCCTTTGCTCCGATACGGTCAGCGAGGCCTGGATTCTCCCTCCTGGGCGTTTGTCTTCCTCTCGGTCTGTAGTTGCAGGGCAGAGTTCTTGGATCTTGGACCCTGTCGGCAACTTGACTCCACAGACTATGTGGACCCCACTGCTCTGCCTGTCACCTCAGCCCACGGACCGTGCGGGCCCCACTGCTCTGCCTGTCACCTCAGCCCACGGACCGTGCGGGCCCCACTGCTCTGCCTGTCACCTCAGCCCACGGACCGTGCGGGCCCCACTGCTCTGCCTGTCACCTCAGCCCACGGACCGTGCGGGCCCCACTGCTCTGCCTGTCACCTCAGCCCACGGACCGTGCGGGCCCCACTGCTCTGCCTGTCACCTCAGCCCACGGACCGTGCGGGCCCCACTGCTCTGCTGGTTACCCAGGGAAGTGTCTTCTGTTCTGCAACACACCTCACACACGCTGGTACCCCTGGTTCCTGGTGGCCTGGACCCCATTTCCGTCTGGCAGCTGGGTCCCCGGTTCACGCTCTTTCCCCTCGGAAGTTCCATTTCTCTCCAGGCAGGGGTAGAAGGAAGGCGTCACCAGGCTGGCCCAGGATATGGTCGGGGCACAGCAGGGCCCTGCCTTTCCGCCACCCCAGCTGGTGCTTCCAACACCAGATTGTGTCCCTTCTCTGAGTGCTGAGTTTTCTGCCTTTTGCCCATTTTTTTGTTGTTGTTTTTTGAGATGGAGTCTCGCTCTGTCGCCCAGGCTGGAGTGCAATGGTGCCACATCGGCTCACTGCAACCTCTGCCTCCTGGGTTCAAGTGATTCTCCTGCCTCAGCCCCCCGAGTAGCTGGGATTACAGGTGTACCATGCCCGGCTAATTTTTGTATTTTTAGTAGAGATGGGGGTTTCACCATGTTGGTCAGGCTGGTCTCGAACTCCTGACCTCAGGCAATCCGCCTGCCTGGGCCTCCCGAGTAGCTGGGATTACAGGCGTGAGCCACCGCGCCCGGCCTTTTGCACATGTTTATTGGTGACAGGGAGGGGGGTGGATTAACTACACCAGATGCCACCACCTCTTGCCTCCCACCCTTTTCCCCAGCATGAGGGCCTCATTGTCTTCTCCAATCCTTTCTCCTGGCTGTTTCTTCAGTGTCCTTTTCCCAGCATAAAAGTCCCATTGTTCTTTCTTTGTTTCATTTTTGCTAAGAGCTAATAATAATAACCCTCACTTACTGAGAGGGGGAATCATCTTGAGAGAGGTTATATTGTGAGGCCCAGAGAGGCTGAGCCACTCCCTCAAGACTACACGGTGCGTGGACACACCGGGGTGCAGGTGCAGGGCCTGGCCCTCCCCTCTGTTTCCAATGTTTAATGTTGGGAGAAGGCTCCACTGAGGGAGCTTTTCTTCCCGGAGACGAGCATCAGAGCCTCCGTTATGGAAAGTGACACAGTTGCTGGGGTTTGCTCCTTCCTCTTTGCCTTGGACAGATGTTCCCCTGGGACATGCGTGCCCACTCCATGCTCCCCCGGGGCAAACGTGCACACTCCGTCTCTCTCCAATTCTGCAGATCTTCCCCTGGACACACGTGCACACTCTCTGTTCCCCAGGAACACACATGCACACTTCATCTCCCTCCAATTCTGCAGATCTTCCCCTGGACACACGTGCACACTCTCTGTTCCCCAGGAACACACATGCACACTCCATCTCCCTCCAATTCTGCAGATCTTCCCCTGCACACACGTGCACACTCTCTGCTCCCCGGGAACACATGTGCACACTCCATGCTCCCTCCAATTCTGCAGATCTTCCCCTGGACACACGTGCACACTCTCTGCTCCCCGGCAACACACGTGCACACTCCATGCTCCCTCCAATTCTGCAGATCTTCTCCTGGACACACGTGCACACTCTCTGCTCCCCGGCAACACACGTGCACACTCCATGCTCCCTCCAATTCTGCAGATCTTCTCCTGGACACACGTGCACACTCTCTGCTCCCTGAGAACACATGTGCACACTCCATGCTCCTTCCAATTCTGCAGATCTCCCCCTGGACACACGTACACACTCTCTGCTCCCAGGAACACACATGCACACTCCGTCTCCCTCCAATTCTGCAGATCTTCCCCTGGACACACAAACACACTCTCTGCTCCCCGAGAACACGTGTGCACACTCCGTGCTCCCTCCAATTCTGCAGATCTTCCCCTGGACACACATGCACACTCCATGCTCCCTCTGATTCTTCAGACAGAGGTGGATTTGCTGATTAATACAGCTACTCTTCTGGTTTCCCTTGGCAACCACCTCGAGATATAAAACACGATTTATAAAGTCATCACTTTCAAGTTTGAACTGAAAGTCAAATCATATTTTATCCTGCTTCTTTATAGTGCAGTCCTTAAGGAGGAGATGATGGTTTTCTACTTCTTTTTTTTTTTTTTTGAGATGAAGTTTTGCTCTGTCACCCAGGCTGGAGTGCAGTGGCACGATCTCGGTTCACTGCAACCTCCGCCTCCTGGGTCCAAGCAATTCTCTGCCTCAGCCTCCTGAGTAGCTCGGATTACAGGTGCCCACCATCACGTCCAGCTAATTTTTTGTAGTTTTAGTGGAGACGGGGTTTCACCATCTTGGCCAGGCTGATCTTGAACTCCTGACCTCGTGATCCACCCGCCTTGGCCTCCGAAAGTGCTGGGATTACAGGTGTGAGCCACGTGCCCGGCCAGTTTTCTACTTCTTTACCTCCTGCGGTACCACTTGTGAGAAAATTAATTTTTAAAATACATTAAATGTCTCTATGCATTTGAAAATAACACCATTGCATTGTATCAAGTTTTGCCATTAGAAGCCCTCAATTCGGCCCCACCTCGCCTGTGTCCTGCAGGGTCCTCTCCCCGCCCTGATGACCATCCTTTAGCTTGACCTGTTACTTCTGTAACCCCAGCCCCAGGTGAACCTGATTTCCAGTGACAGGCTGGGAGAGGCTCAAAGCAAGCCAGCCAGGTTTCTCCAGGCAGAGAGAGGGTCAGCTCTGGGGGCTGGAGGCCCACCCATCGCCCCTGAGTCCCCTGTCACCAGCCTGTCCACCAGCCTGGCACCAGGCACCACCGTGGTGCAGAGTGGACGCAGCTGGAGCAGGCAGACCCGCAGTCCTGCCTCATCCTGCCAGCCGCACCTGCTCACTGCTCCTCCTGCCCCAGGAGTGCAGGCTGCTCCGCGCTGGGTGCATTTGGAGTGAAGACAGTGGCAAGGGGCGTCAGAGGCAACAGTGGAATCAGCTGGTATGTGCTGGCTGTGGGTACTGTTCACATTCAGAGATGTTTTTAACCTTTATTTTAAACTTTATTCCCAGGATTCTTCAGCTTAATTAGCTCTATATACACAAAACCTGAAAAGAACAACAGCATCCAAAGGGCTTGGGCATAAAAATATTAGAGATCTAGACTTTATCAAACAAAACAATTTTTAAATTTTTTTTGAGACAGAGTCTTACTCTGTTGCTCAGGCTGGAGTGCAGTGGTGCGATCTTGGCTCACTGCAACCTCTGCTTCCTGGGTTCAAGCAATTTTCCTGCCTCAGTGTCCTGAGTAGCTGGGATTACAGGCATGCACCACCATGCCCGGCTAATTTTTGTATTTTTAGTAAAGACGGGGTTTCACTATGTTGGCCAGGCTGGTCTCGAACTCCTGACCTCAGGTGATCCACCTGCCTCAGCCTCCCAAAGTGCTGGGATTACAGGCGTGAGCCACCACGCCCGGCCCAAACAAAACTATTTGTTTATTTATTTATGTATTTTTGAGACGGAGTCTCGCTTTGTCACCCAGCTGGAGTGCTGTGGCGTGTTCTTAGCTCACTGCACCCTCCGCCTCCCGGCTTCAAGCACTTCTCCTGCCTCAAGCCTCCTGAGTAGCTGGGATTACAGGCGCCTGCCTCCACGCCTGGCTAATTTTTTGGTATTTTTAATAGAGATGGGGTTTCACCATGTTGGTCAGGCTGGTCTCGAACTCCTGACCTCGTGATCTACCCGCCTCGGACTCCCAAAGTGCTGGGATTACAGGCGTGAGCTACCGTGCCCGGCCCAAAACAATTTTTAAAAGTGGTCATGAGGGCCAGGCATGGTGGCTCACACCTGTAATCCCAGCACTTTGGGATCGCTTGAGCTCAGGAGTTCAGACCAGCCTAGGAAATATAGGGAAACCTCGTCTCTACAGAAAGTTTAAAAATTAGCTGGGCGTGATGGTGACTTAGTGTGTTTTGGGCCCCGGCTGGCAGAGAGAAGGATGGACTGATGGACGCTCAGCACCATGAAATGAAAACTTTCAGGGATGTAAAGTCTTTTTTGAAACCGGGTCTGGCTTATTGCCCAGGCTGGAGTGCAGTGGTGCGATCACAGCTTAATGGAGCTTTGACCTCCTGGGCTCAAACAGTCCTCTCACCTCAGCCCCCCAGTTGGCTGGGACTATAGGTGCATGCCACCATGCCCGGCTAATTATTTTATTTTTAGTAGAGAGAGGGTCTTGCTATGCCGCCCAGGCTTGTCTTGAATTTCTGGGCTCAAGCGATCCTCCTGCCTCAGCTTCCCAAAGTGTTGAGATTGCAGACATGAGCCACCGCGCCTGGCTGGGGGCGTAAAGTCTTGAAGGCACCTGCCCTGCATGATCGGCAGCCAGTCAGGAGGGCTGGTTTTCCAGGAACCCTGTGCTTGACTTCTCAGTCTCTCCGAGGATGCCAGCACCTCTCACAGAAGCTGGCGGCCATGTCCTGGAGAGAGAGCCCCAGAAAGCTGTCAGTGGAGAACAACGAGGCCATTGTAACAGATCTTGGGGTTTTCTCAGCTAGGAATGAGCCTCAGGCTGTTTTTACTTTATGTGGGTTACGTATCTCAACTTCTTGCAGCTAATAATTAATTAATTACCCTCCCCCTAATGTGACTCAGCAAAGTTTGCTCCTGAATTTGAATCAACTGGTGTGTTATTTATATTTGTGACTCGTGATAGGACTGGCATTTTGTTTGACTAAAAATAAAAGCAAAAACAAGTTTACAGAGGCATAAATATACATATTAAACTTTAGTGACCCTAATACATAAGGCCAGAAGTTATTATCTTAATAGGAAAGAGTAAATAGATAAGTATGAAGAGTATGAAATTTTCTCTTAGATTAATAAAATTCATCTGGAAATAAAGTCTGTTTCTTCCAGCTCAGGAGGCCACGTATGTTTGAGGAGAGAACACTGTGGTACACTCACGGGTTCAAATTGCGTCGTGTTGGTTTGACTTTGGAGAGACATAGAGGCCAGCGTCATCAGATCTGGGCATCATCGGGGGTGTGGGGGGGCCCACAGACAAGAGTCTTCCATGCCCTTGACCTCTGAGCACCCTTCCCCCCAGCACTGGACAGGAGGGTCTTTGATACCCCTGAGCTCTGAGCCTCCTTCCCCCCAGCACTGGACGGGAGGGTCTTCCATGCCCTTGACCTCTGAGCACCCTTCGCCCCAGCACTGGATGGGAGGGTCTTCCATGCCCCTGAGCTCTGAGCATCCTTCCCCCCAGCACTGGACGGGAGGAACGTGGAGGAAGGTGGGGGGCTCCAGAGCTGCTGAGTGAAGTGGCTTTTGGATGGGCTGCTGTGACTAATGGAAAAGAGCTGCTGAGTGAAGGGGCTTTTGGACAAATTGAAACAGAGATTTATTCTCTCACAGTTCTAGAGACCAGAAGCCCAGAATGAAGGTGTTGCCTGGGCCACGCTCCCTTGGCAGGCTCTAAGCGGGGACCCTTCCTGACTCCCCTGACTTCTGGGGTGCTGCTGGCAGCCCTCGGCGTTCTGTGGCCTGTGGCAGCACCGTTCCAGTCCCTGCTGTCTGTCGTCACACAGCCTTCTCTCCTGGGTGTCTGTGTCCCCAAATCTCTCTGTGCTTATAAGAACACTAGCCATTGGATTTAGGGCCCACCTAACTCAGTATGACCTCATCTTAACTTGATTACATCTGAAAAGACCCTTGGCCGGGCGCGGTGGCTCATGCCTATAATCCCATCACTTTGGGAGGCCGAGGCAGGTGGATCACTTGAGGTCAGGAGTTCGAGACCAGCCTGGCCAACATGGGGAAATCCCATCTCTACTAAAAATACAAAAATTAGCTGGGCGTGGTGGCAGGTGCCTGTTATCTCAGCTGCTTAGGAGGCTGAGGCAGGAGAATCACTTGAACCCCGGAAGCGGAGGTTTCAGTGAGCTGAGATCGTGCCACTGCACTCCAGCCTCCAGCCTGGATGACAGAGTGAGACTTTGTCTCAAAAAAAAAAAAAAAAAAGAAGGCTGGGTGCGGTGGCTCACGCCTGTAATCCCAGCACTTTGGGAGGCCAAGGCGGGCAGATCACGAGTTCAGCAGTTTGAGACCAGCCTGGCCAACATGGTGAAACCCCGTCTCTACTAAAAATACAAAAATTAGCTGGGTGTGGTGGCGGGCACCTGTAATCCCAGCTACTTGGGAGGCTGAGGTAGGAGAATCGTTTGAATCCAGGAGGTGGAGGTTGCAGTGAGCTGAGATCGCACCATCGCACTCCAGCCTGGGTGACAGGGCGAGACTCCGTCTCAAAAAAAAAAAAAAAGAAGAAGAAGAAGAGATCCTGTTTCCGAATCAGGTCACATTCTGAAGTTCTGGGTGAATGTGAGCCTTTGGGGGACACTTCAACCCAGTATAGATAGATGGTGAAACCCGAAAGGACAGTTTCGTTCTCATGAAGGAAGAGCTGGGCACCCAGGGACCCTGTGGGTCCCCTCTTCTTGGAGCTTCAGCACTGGAGCCCCTGGCCCTGTTGGTTCCTGTTGGCTAGGGCCCTGGAGGGGCCCCTAGGACCTGCCCTGGAGGCAGGCCGGGTGCCTGGGGCCCGCCCCATCTGAGCGTTTCACTGCTGGGCTGTCTCCTTGGGACCCTACGGGCTACACAGCTCATTCTGCCGGTCGTCCATGCTTGGGGTTGGAGCACTGAAGCTTCGTCCCTGTGTGCGGTGAAGGACTTGGTGACTCCAAGGAGGCCCCAGGAATCTGCGTTCAGTTGAGTGCACGGCCACAGTTGAGGACCACTGCGTGTGCTGTCTCTTTCTGTGGTGTTTCTCCTCCTCCTCCCTCCCCACCCTCCTTTTCCCTTCTGGCCCACTTCCCCCTCCCCCTCCCTCCTCCGTCCTCCCTCCCCCTCCCCATTCCTTTCCTCTCCCGCTTCCTCTCTGCTTTTATTGAGATATGGTTTACTTACAGTAAAATGTCTCCCTTCTTGAGTTTTTTTGTTTTTTTTTTCCTTTTTTGAGACAGAGTTTCACTCTTGTCACCCAGGCTGGAGTGCAATGGTATGATCTCGGCTCACTGCAACCCCTGCCTTTGGATTCAAGCGATTCTCCTGCCTCAGCCTCCTGAGTAGCTGGGATTATAGGCGCCTGCCACCACGCCCGGGTAATTTTTCTATTTTTAGTAGAGATGGGGTTTTGCCATATTGGCCAGGCTGGTCTCGAACTCCTGACCTCAGGTGATCCACCCGCCTCGACCTCCCAGAGTTCTAGGATTACAGGCGTGGGCCACCGTGCCTGGCCCCGTCTTGAGTTTTGACAAAGACAGTGGTGTGACCGCCATCACGGTCAAGGTGGAGAACACCTCCACCACGCAGAAGTTTCCGCAGCCTCTTTGTAGGCAGCCCCTCCCCAACCCCACCTCCTCAGCCTCCAACGTGCCTGCATCCCGGAGGCCTTTGAACCTGGCTCCGGTCACTCAGCAGCCCTGAGCCTCTGAAGCCATCTGACTTGTCAGGTGCACCAAGAGCTCATTGCTTTTGATTGTGGGACAGTAGAGATGAACCACAGTCCATCACCCACCCACCCTCTGAGGAGGGTCTGGGTGATTTCCAGCTTTTGGCGATCTATGAAAAAAGCCACTGTGCATGTTTATGACTCGTTTTTGTGCGAACTTGTTTTTATTTCACTTGGGTAAATATCCAGGGGTGGAGTTGCTAGGTCATATGATAAATGAATGATTAACTTTATAAGAAACTGCCAAACCCTTTTCCACACTGACCACACCGTTTGCATCCCCGTCAGCAGTGTGTGAGTGTTTCAGTTGTCAACATTCTTTGGTTTTGTTTTTTTTAAATGTTAGCCACTCATGGGTGTGCAGTGGTATCTCATTGTAATTTTTTTTTTTTTTTTTTGAGACAGAGTCTCACTCTCTCACCCAGGCTAGAGTGCAAAAGCGCAATCTTGGCTCACTGCAACCCCTGCCTCCCGGGT
This sequence comes from Homo sapiens, assembly GCF_000001405.40. Lineage (NCBI taxonomy): Eukaryota > Metazoa > Chordata > Mammalia > Primates > Hominidae > Homo > Homo sapiens. The sequence continues at coordinate 82,684,141 of NC_000017.11, read as the reverse complement.
TCAAGCGATTCTCCTGCCTCAGCCTCCCGAGTAGCTGGGATTACAGGTGCCTGCCACCACACCCAGCTAATTTTTGTATTTTTAGTAGAGACAGGGTTTCACCATGTTGGCCAGGCTGGTCTCGAACTCCTGACTTCAGGTGATCCACCCGCCTCGGCCTCCCAAAGTGCTGGGATTACAGGCGTTAGCCGCTGCGCCCGGCCAGTATCTTATTGTAATTTTAATTTGCATTTCCTGTGCTCATCTACCATCCTCATATTCTCTTTGGTGAAGTGTCTTTTCAGATCTTTTGCCCACTTTTTCTTTTCTTTTCTTTTCTTTTTTTTTTTTTTTTTTGGAAACAGGGTCTTGCTCTGTTGCCCAGGCTGGAGTGCAGTGGTGCAAGTCATAGCTCACTGCAGTCTCCACCTACTGGGCTCAAGTGATCCTCCCACCTGTTTCCCCAGTAGCTGGACTCCAAGTGCACACCACCAGGCCTGGCTAATTAAAAAAAGAAAAGTTTTGTAGAGATGAGGGTCTCACTATATTGTCCAGACTGCCCTTGAGAGATCCTCAAGAGATCCTGGGCTCAAGAGATCATCCTACCTCGGCCTCCCAAAGTGGTGGGATTACAGTTGTGAGCCACTATGTCTGGCCTCTTTTGCTTATTTTGAAAAACCTGAATTGTTTATTTTCTTTTTATTGAATTTTGAGAATGTTTAAATACGTTTTGGATGTAAGTCTTTACCCAGAAATGTGTTTTCAAGTATTTTCACCCCATCTGTGCCTTTTCTTTCCATTTAGTATCTTTTAAAGAATAAGAGTTTTTACTTTTGAAGAAATCCAGTTGATCAGTTTTTTTCTTTTATAGACCATCCTTTTAATGTCATATCTAAGAAATCTTTGCCTAACCCAAAGTCACAAAGATTTTCTTCTAGAAATTTTATAATTTTAGATTTTACATTTATGACTATGGTCCATTTTGGGTTTTTTTGTTTGTTTGTTTCTTTGTTTGTTTTTGAGATGGAGTCTCACTCTGTAGCCCAGGCTGGAATGCAGTGGCATGATCTCGGCTCACTGCAAGCTCCATCTCCCGGATTCAAGCAATTCTCCTGCCTCAGCCTCCCGAGTACCTGGGATTACAGGCGTGTGCCACCATGCCCGGCTAATTTTTGTATTTTTAATAGAGACAGGGTTTTACCTTGTTAGCCAGGATGGTCTCGATCTCCTGACCTCATGATCTGCCTGCCTCGGTCTCCCAAAGTGCTGGGATTGCAGGCATGAGTCACCGTGCCCGGCCGGGTTCGTTTTTTAATATAGTGTGAGGTATAGATTGAGATTCGTTACTTTTGCACAGGGATGTCTAATTGTTCCAGCAGCATTTGTTGAAAAGACTATTCTTTATTGTATGGCCTTTGCACTTTGGTCAAACATCAATTGGCCATTTTTGTGTGGGCCTATTTCTAGACTCAATTCTGTTCCATTTTTCTATTCAGTATTTTTTATACCAGTACCATACTGTGTTGATTAAATATATAGTAAGTCTTGAGTTTGAGGAGTCTGAGTCTTCCAACTTTGCTCTTTTGACTTTCCTTTTAAATGTTGGCTTTGTTGATTTCTACCAAGAAAAGTCCTGCTAGGATTTTTGATTGGGACTAAAACTATAGATCAATTGGGGAGACTTGTCATCTTAACAATACTGATTCTGTCAATCATGAACATGGTATGTCTCTCCATTTATTTAGGTCTTCTTTGATTCCTTTTATTAGTGGTTTGTAGCTTTTAATATATAAGTCTTGCACTTTTTTTTAGATTTATACTCAAGTATTTCATGGTTTGGGGGCTACTGTACCTAGTGCTATTTAATTTCAATTTCTGATTGTTTACTGCTAGTATTTAAAAATACAACTGTTTTTTTCCATGTTGGCCTTGTATATTTTGATCTTACTAAATTCACTTATGAGTTCTAATAGCTTTCTTATTGGTTTTTGGAGAGGTGTATGTGTGTGTGTGCATGCGTGCCTGTGTGTGTGTGTGTGTGCATGCGTGTGTGTGTGTATAGTAATGTCATCTGGTAATCGAGATGGTTTTAATCTGCATGCCTTTTCTTTCTTTTTGTTGCCTTATTGCCCTGGTTATAACTTCCAAAATGATATTGAATTGGAGTGGTAAGAGTGGATATTTTCATGGGGAAAATATTTTCTCATTTTCATGGGGAAAGCGTTCTGTTTTTTACCATTAAGTAAAATGTTAGCTTTGAGGTTCTTTTTTTTAAGATGCACTTTATCAGGTTAAGGGAATTGTATTCCTAGTTTGCTGAGAGCTTTTGTTGTGAAAAGGTATTGGATTTTGTCAAATGCTGCCTCACTGAGATCATGTGGGTTTTTCTTTTTTGATTTATTGATGTGATAAATTGCATTGATAGATTTTCAAAGGTCGAACCAACCTTGCATTCCTACAATAATAGATTGCCGAATTTGGTATATTTTTTATTGATGGAGTTATCTCTTTTACTTTATATTTTTACTTTTAATTTATTGTATAGTAAGTTATTTTAATGATTGGAATCACAGTGCTAGAGAAATCCCCCATCTGAGCCCAGTTCTGGTGGCTCCAAAGCCTCCACACAGAGCCTTGAGATGCTTTGCTGCAGGGTTGCTTGTTTCGCACTCAGAGCCTGGGTTGCTGAGTGAGGCTGTGCTCATCCAAGCAGAGGGGCTTTTTTCCCTACCCAGTGTCTGACTGCACTGGTTAACTACTGCTTCCTGTATTAGGAGACTTCTCCCAGACGGCTGCTTCTAACTGTTCAGAGGTATTACTCTCGTTTGCCTTTTTGTCTAGAAATGTAATATTTCCTACCATAGGTAAGTTATGTTCCCTAGGAGAGCCAGCAATCTTTGAGTTATATAAATTGATTTTTAGCCAAATCTTCACTAAGGAGTTGGGGGTGGGGGAGCTCATTTACCACTTACCTACCAAAAACTCATGTTTTTTGAGTTAATATATTACCACATGTAGTGTTTTGGCAACTGTGTTCAATGTATATGAAGCAGATATATTTGCCTTCATTTTTAGCTAATTTTCTCTCAAACATCATTTTCTTTTCTCTTTCTTTTTTTTTTTTTTTTTTTTTTTTTTTTTTGAGATGGAGTCTTGCTCTGTTGCCCAGGCTGGAGTGCAATGGCGCAATCTCAGCTCACTGCCTCCCGGGTTCAAATGATTCTCCTGCCTCAGCCTCCTGAGTAGCTGGGACTACAGGTGCACGCCACCAAGCCCAGCTAATTTTTGTATTTTTAGTAGAGACGGGGTTTCACCATGTTATCCAGGCTGGTCTCAAACCCCTGACCTTGTGATGCAACTGCCTCAGCCTTCCAAAGTGCTGGGATTAAAGGCGTGAGCCACCGTGCCTGGCCCAGAAATTATATTTTAGAATTAAAACATTTGTATCAATACTTCATATGAAAAATGTTAAAATTACATATATCATTATAGGTATTACTACTAGGTAGAAAGAAAATCATATATATACATAAACAGTGAAATGAACTACACTGAAATATTAATCGTAGTTGTCCATGGGTGATAAGATTGTAGTGGTAAATATTTAGTACCAAGCATGAATGACTTGATTTTAAATAAGCTTTTTCATATGCGATATTTTTTTTAACTTCAGAAGCAAAGAGTGTCAGGCAGCCTTGGTGGGGTGGCCTCCTGGAACCCTCCAGCCTCCAGCCAGGACTTTGAGTTGAGAAGCTCACACACGTGGGGGAACTGCCGTCCCGTCCCCCGAGCGGCCCCGCCCAGAGCCCACACCCCTCTTTGGCAGGTCGTGGCCAAGGTGGGTGGGGCTCCTGCCTGCGACCCAGGGCCAGGGCAGGACTGGATCCTATGGCCACTCCCCTGGGTGTATGGGAACCTAGGAGAGACCCAGGCCCCAGTGTGGGGTCCAAGGCTGCATGAGACCTCCGTGACAGAGGTCACCCCACCCTGAGAGCCCGGGCCCGCCTGAGTTGAGCCCTCGAACCCTGCCAGGCCTCCGGTCTGAGCAGGACGGGCCAGCCCGAGGACAGCTGCCCCCTTCTCAGGCCCTGGGAGTTGTGGTCACAAGATGTCCAGCCCCACAACCAGCCTCAGGGAATCCACCACTCTGATGGGTTGTGAGGGGAGCTCTGGGATCTGGCCCCTCTGTCCCTCCCACAGCCACTGTGGCTGCCTTGATCCCCCTTCCCCAAGACGATGTCTCTTCGTGAGCCTCCCACGACTGCGTTCACCCCGCAGCCTGCTCGGGCAGCAGCTGCCACGCTCCAGGACACTGCTTCTGGGCCGTGTTCCTTCGTGTTTCCAGGTGTCCTGTGGTGGTGACAGCTCAGTGGAAGCTGGCCCCTGCCCTGTGCTTGGTGGAGGCTGCCCCCTGCCCTGTGCTCGGTGACCTGCAGGTGCTTAGTGACTGGGCGGGGCAGCAGTGGCCGCACAGGGTTGGCGTGGCCTCTGCAGCACTTGTCCAGCCTGATGCTGGTCCCAGGCCTCACCTTTTGGGAGTTTAGTGTCCTAAGACAAAGGTGATTTAAATAAATAAGGCTTGTGGCGGCCGGGCGCAGTGGCTCCCACCTGTGATCCCAGCACTTTGGGAGGCCAAGGCGGATCACAAGATCAGGAGATCGAGACCATCCTGGCTAACACAGTGAAACCCTGTCTCTACTAAAAATACAAAAAATTAGCTGGGCGTGGTGGCAGGCACCTGTAGTCCCAGCTACTCGGGAGGCTGAGGCAGGAGAATGGCGTGAACCCAGGAGGCGGAGCTTGCAGTGAGCCGAGATTGCGCCACTGCACTCCAGCCTGGGCGACAGAGCAAGACTCCATCTCAAAAAATAAAATAAAATAAAATAATAATAATAATAATAATAAGGCTTGTGGTGTCCTTCAGGCTACCGGAGAAGGTGGTTGCTGGTGGGCGCGAGCTGCTCCTGACTGTTCAGAAAGGGAGCTGCTCAGTGGTTCACGCCTGTCATCCCAGCACTTTGGGAGGCCGAGGCAGGTGGATCACGAGGTCAGGAGATCGAGACTATCCTGGCTAACACGGTGAAACCCCGTCTCTACTAAAAATACAAAAAAATTAGCCAGGCGTGGTGGCAGGTGCCTGTAGTCCCAGCTACCTGGGAGGCTGAGGCAGGAGAATGGTGTGAACCTGGGAGGCGGAGCTTGCAGTGAGCCGAGATGGCGCCACTGCACTCCAGCCTGGGCGACAGAGCGAGACTCCGTCTCAAAAAAAAAAAAAAAAAAAAACGCAGAAAGGGAGCTGCTTTCACAAAAACCACACACTTAAAGTCAGATGTGAGCATTTTACGGTGCAGGTGTAAAGCGGCGTTGAATCACCACCACACTGCAGCGTCAGCACCGGCCACTTCCAGGAGCCCTGTGCTGTCCAGTGGCCATTCGCCCTGCCCCTCCCCTCTGCCCCGGGGACCGCCAGTCTGCTTTTTGGCTTTCCGGTGTTTTAACTCAACATAAGACAGATTTCTCAAAAGCTGGGCTGAGAGATGAATACGTCTGTACATTGTATTGAATCAATATTTGCACCATCAACAGATCCTCGCTTGTGAAGGCGGTTATGCCACTTACTAAAATAGAATTAAGCAGGTGGTAGATGACTTAAAACAGATTCCTAAAATATTTACTCATTATGCAGCTCCAAGTGTAGAGAATGGTGTGGCATTTGACTTCTCCCTTTTTTGTTCTTGTTTTTTAGAAGGTTAAAATTATCTTTTTGTCCCTGTTTTCTGACTCACTCAGTGAACATTCTGACGGGCTTTGTTCTAGAAGCTTTGTATATCTTTATTATATTTTGATGGACAGAGTACATGGTAAGTTAATCAGCTAAGTGCAGTGAGCTTGAATTGTATTATCCTAACGCTAACACTGCTGATGTCAAAAATGTTTCTTAGTTTCTCGTGGACCAAAACGTAAGGTAACACAGAGAAGGAGAAACGGTAAATAACGAAAGAGCAAACACACAGATGGGAGATAAGGTAAAAAACAAAAACAAAAACAAAAAAAACTGCAAAGACTGAAACAAAATGGCTCCATCAATGGGCTTATGAAAAGAAGAGTCTTCTCACAAATTGAATTTGAACATAGCTATGAAAGGATATGGTTTGAGGATTTCTCTAGGCAGACATGGCTGCGTTAGAGGGTTTATCTTTGGAACAGCATTGATTTTAGAGAAAAAAAGAGAGACTTGAAATGAGTTTGGTCGCTGCTCGCTGGGCCCAGTGTCCAGACGTTCTGGGCTGTGGCTGAGGGATGGAGAAGAGGCCCCGGGTCAGGTGCAGGGGTCGGGCAGGTGCAGCACCGCAGCATCACTGACGCCCTCATCTGGGGTCAGAGGGCCCCACATCCGGGGGTTCCAGCAGACTTCAAGTGTCCTGCGCAAAGAGGATGCGGGCTCTGTGTAGGGCCAGGCCACCTGTGCCTGGAAACCCCAAACGCTTGGGTGCTGGCCCTGGAGACGGGTGGTGGACGAGGATTGGAAGGTGGACACGGGAAGGCAGGGTTCCCACTGGGAAAGGCCGAGTCCACAGGGACAGAGACGCGGCGTCAGGGCTGATGGAGAGCCACAACACAGGCCGCCTCTGGGCCTCGGACCTGTGGCAAGGGGGACACATCAGGGAAGGGCCAGAGTGTGTTGAGCTGGCCGCTGCAGGATGGGCCACCTCCTGGAAGCAGCCCGGCTTGTAATGCTTTCTGCCCTGTTGGGACGGGAGAAACCAGTGATTGGTTTTAGCTCTTTCTGAGGGGAATCTCATTGTAATGAGCTTTTACGATGGGCTGAGAACCTGGGACTTGGAAGAAATTCAGCTTTTAGTTCAGGTATTAATTCAGAGATAGCTTGAACATTAATTGTTTAAATTAGTAGGCTGGCCGGGAGCGGTGGCTCACGCCTGTAATCCTAGCACTTTGGGAGGCCGAGGCAGGTGGATCACGAGGTCAGGGGTTCGAGACCAGCCTGACCAACATGGTGAAACCCCGTCTCTACTAAAAATACAAAAATTAGCTGGGCGTGGTGGCGGGCGCCTGTAATCCCAGCTACTCGGGAGGCTGAGGCAGGAGAATTGCTTGAACCCGGGAGGTGGAGCTTGCGGTGAGCCGAGATCGTGCCACTGCACTCCAGCCTGGACGACAGAGTGAGACTCCGTCTCAGAAAAAATAAATAAATAAATAAATAAATTAGTAGGCTACCGGCCGGGCGCGGTAGCTCACGCCTATAATCCCAGCACTTTGGGAGGCTGAGACAGGTGGATCACCTGAGGTCAGGAGTTCGAGACCAGCCTGACCAATATGGTGAACTCTCATCTGTACTAAAATAAAAAATTATCCAGGTGTGATGGCGGGCATCTGTAATCCCAACTGCTGGAGAGGCTGAGGCAGGAGAATCGCTTGAATCCAGGAGGCGGAGGTTGCAGTGAGTTGAGATCACGCCATTGCATTCCAGCCTGGGCGACACAGCGAGACTCCATCTCAAAAAAGAAAAAGAAAAAGAAAAATTAGTAGGCCACTGAAGCAGAGATGTCAAACTGGCGGGGGTAAGCCTCAAAACAGGACCCATCCGAATGCAAAGGGAATGGTGCTTTGTAGGGGTGGCTGGGAAGAGCCGAGAGACTCGCCACGGAATTGGTGTGTGGGTGAGGAGAGGCTGTTGAAGGTCGGGGGTGCCCTGTGTGGGGGGGGAGAGGCTGTTGAAGGTGAGGGGTGCCCTCACTCTGTGGGTGAGGAGATGCTGTTGAAGGTGAGGGGTGCCCTCACTGTGTGGGGTGAGGGGAGGCTGTTGAAGGTGAGGGGTGCCCTCACTGTGTGGAGGGAGAGGCTGTTGAAGGTGAGGGGTGCCCTCACTGTGTGTGGGGGAGATGCTGTTGAAGGTGAGGGGTGCCCTCACTGTGTGTGACCACAGAGGTTTGGGGAGGAGTTGGAGCCTTTGCTGAGCTGACGTGGACTGCTGGCAGCAGGTGCACACATTTTGAGGAGCTGTGGTGAGTGCGTCCCACGAGGCGGTCGGTTCCCCATTCATAGCCAGGGAAACGGAGACCCGGGGGAGATGGACGAAGACATTGGTGTTGGGACTGGATTTGATCCCAGGCCCCAGGCTGCAGCGTCTGTGCTTTACCAGCCCTGTGGGGTCCTCACCGTCCCGTACCAGGAGACTCAGAGTACCAGGGGCTTCAGGTCGTCACTGTTGCCACCTCTCCCCCCTGGTGAGAAGGACCCACGTAGCAGATGGAGGGCACTGTTTTTTAAGGTTTTATCTCCCCACCCGCCTGCAAGAGAGTGAATGTTTGTGACCCCCCCAAATTCGGGTGCTGAAACCTAACCCCAAGGTGATGGTGTTAGAAGATGGGGCTATTGGAAGATGATTAGGTCACGTGGGGCTTTGTGGATGGGATGAGTGAAGCATCCAAGAGCTCCCTCGCCCCTCCAGCTAGGGGAGGACATGGGGAGAAGACACCTCCATGAACCAGGATGCAGCCCTCGTCAGACACTGGCTCTGCCTGGACCTTGATCTAGAACTTCCAGCCTCCAGAACTGTGATGACAAGTTTCTGTTGTTTAGGAGCTGCCTAGCTTATGGTATTTTCATTATAGCAACCCCACTGGCTAAGGTACTACCCTACCCTGCCCCACCCCCAGTTCTGAAGTATGGGGTAAAGGGAGTGCCATCCACGGGAGCAGAATAGATTCGGGAGAAGGGCCAAGTGCTGCTGTGAAGGAAGCCAGCGCTTGGTGGAGACCACGTCAGACAGGCGGCTGTCATTGTCCTTTCAAAGCTGGTCATTTGCCAGGGCAGGTTGTGGGTGTGGGTTATGCATCCGGGCTGTGCTAATGGGAACTGCCAGCTGAAGAAGACACTGAGTCCAGTTTTGGTCATGATGGTGAATAATGAAATCATTATCACTGAGTTCGATTTTATTTCCAGTTCTTGTTTATTGTTAGTGAAATTCCGGGATGTGGAGGTCATTGTACTTTGCTTGGGGAAGATGTGAAAATGCATCCTTTGTAGCTTTTCCCAGTTTAGGGGGTGTCAGATGTTTTCTCTCTCTCTCTCCAGTCATTGTGCTTTGTGGGTTTTCTACCAGACATTTTGGTGCAAACAAGAAAATTAACTCAAAATAGCTTCAGCACAGAGGAATGTGGTGCCCCACACAGCCGGCAGGTTGAGGGGCTGGTGTAGTTTCAGGCGTGGCTGGATTCTGGTGCCTGAACGATGCCGTCAGGATTATCTCGTGTTGTTCTTTCTCCTCTGCCTACTCCCTGCACACACCCTGGCCCTGCTTTCTTCTGTGTTAGGTTCATTCTGGGGTTCGTTCTTCCCACCTGGTGAGGAAGCTGGCCGGCAGCAACTCCAAACCATACGAACGTTGCCTGCGATGCCAGAGTGACGCAGGTGACAAGGAGGCCCCTCCCCCGTTCAGTCAGTCATTCCCCAGGTGTTTTAGGTTGCTTTTTCTTTTCTTTTCTTTTCTTTTTTTTTTTTTTTAAGACGAGTCTTGCTCTGTCGCCCAGGCTGGAGTGCAGTGGCGCGATCTCGGCTCACTGCAAGCTCCGCCTCCTGGGTTCACGCCATTCTCCTGCCTCAGCCTCCCGAGTAGCTGGGACTACAGGTGCCCGCCACCACACCCGGCTAATTTTTTTTTTTTTTGTATTTTTACTAGAGACGGGGTTTCACCCTGTTAGCCAGGATGGTCTCGAACTCCTGACCTCATGATCCGCCCACCTTGGCCTCCCAAAGTGCTGGGGTTACAGGCGTGAACCACCACGCCTGGTCTTTTCTTTTGAGACGGAGTTTCACTCTTTTTTGCCCAGGCTGGAGTGCAATGGCGCGATCTTGGCTCACTGCAACCTCCGCCTCCCAGCCTCAGTGACTCTCCTGCCTCAGCCTCCTGAGTGGCTGGGATTACAGGCACCCGCCACCACACCCGGCTAATTTTGTATTTTTAGTAGAGTTGGGCTTTGACCATGTTGGCCAGGCTGGTCTCAAACTCCTGACCTCAGGTGATCCGCCCGCCTCGGCCTCCCAAAGTGCTGGGATTACAGGCGCGAGCCACCGCGCCTGGCCAGGTTGTTGCGTTTTCTAGTTTGTCCAGTGTTGATAGTCACAAAATAAGAAAGATCTTGGACATTGAAAACAATAATTTCAAAGAAGGGATAAAAGTTAAAATGAGATGAATTCCCAGAATGCTGGGAAAAAGAGAGAGAGATGCAAAATCAGACAAGAAAGGTGGGAAACAGGCTCAGGAGGCCCAGTATCTGATTAATCACATCCCAGAAGGAGAGAACAAATTATCCAAGAAAGTTCCCCAAAATTGAGATTTGTGTCTCCAGATTGAAAGGCCCATGGAGTGGTCAGCCTGGCCACGAAGATCCCTACAGCAAGGCCCACAAGGTGTGCAGTTTCAGAGAAGCGCCTCCATGCCCACCAGGAGGAAAACCAGGTTGCATTCAGAGGGTCAAGAATGAGTTTACGGCCGATCTCAAAAGGAACTCTGGAATGACTGAACGTGTTTAAGGGAAAAGCATCTTCTCCCTCAATTGTATGCCTGTCCAAACACAAGGAAGAGTGAGGGCAGCCTAAAGACATTTTCAGACGTGCAAAGTCTCAGATACTACCTTCTTCCATGCACCTTTCTCAGGAATTGAAAAGAGGAGTCAGCTTAAGAGAGGGAAGGATGGAATCCAGCAGTAAGGGAGTGGGGGCCCCAGGGCAACAGTCCTCCCAGTCCAGATGGGAGCAGGACAGAAGGTCTGGAAAGATGCCCCAAAGAAAGTGAAATTCCTGAATGTTTGCAGGTACCGAGAGCAGATTTAGATAGTTGGGGAAAATTACAGTGATGAATTAGTAATAAATGCAGAGAAAACTGAACAAGTAAACAATGAGTAAACAACAAGTAAACATGAGGCAATTTTTTTTTTGAGACAAGAGTCTCACTCCATCACCCAGGCTGGAGTGCAGTTGCACGATCTCAGCTCACTGCAACCTCCGCCTGCCGGGTTCAAGCGATTCTCCTGCCTCAGCCTCCCAAGTATCTGGGACTACAGGCGCCCACCACCATGCCTGGCTAGTTTTTGTATTTTTAGTAGAGATGAGGTTTCACCATGTTGGTCAGGCTGCTCTCAAACTCCTGACCTCAGATGATCCACCTGCCTTGACCTCCCAAAGTGCTGGGATTACAGGCATGAACCATCACGCCTGGTACAATGAGGCAATTTTTAACTCCAGTAGAAACAAAAATTCGTACATGAAGGAAAAATAAACATTGTATACCATATGGTGGTTCAGCTGTGGATGGCGTCTACCTGGTGTCATTTTCTGTTGCTGTAACAGAATACCACAAACTGGGTAATTTATAAAGAAAATAAATGCATTTCTTACAGTTCTGGAGGCTGGGAAGTCCAAGGTTGAGGGGCTGCATCTGGGGAGGGCCTCCTGCTGCGTCATAACCTGGCAGAGGGCATCGCGCAAGCCCGTCAGCTCAGGTGTCTTCCTCTCCTTGTAAGGCCACCAGTACCATCATCAGGGCCCCACCCTGCTGACCCTACCTAATCCTAATTACTTGGCAAAGGCCCCACCTCCAATCAACATACAAACTGGAGGTTTACCTTTCTAACGTGAAGTTTAGCGGACACATTCAAACCATAGCACCTGGTTATGACAGTGTAGAATGGAATATCCATCTAGCTTAAAAAGCAACAAAACTGTACAGGGAGCGTGTGAGTGTGTGTGTTAGAGTTACAGGGGTGAGGTGTGTCAGTGGGTACAGGGAGCGTGTGAGTGTGTGTGTTAGAGTTACAGGGGTGGGGTGTGTCAGTACAGGGAGCGTGTGAGTTTGTGTGTTAGAGTTACGGGGTGGGGTGTGTCAGTGAGTACAGGGAGCGTGTGAGTGTGTGTGTTAGAGTTACAGGGGTGGGGTGTGTCAGTGAGTACAGGGAGCATGTGAGTGTGTGTTAGAGTTACAGGGGTGAGCTGTGTCAGTGGGTACAGGGAGCGTGTGAGTGTGTGTGTTAGAGTTACAGGGGTGGGGTGTGTCAGTGAGTACAGGGAGCATGTGTGTGTGTTAGAGTTACAGGGGTGGGGTGTGTCAGTGAGTACAGGGAGCGTGTGTGTGTGTTAGAGTTACAGGGGTGAGCTGTGTCAGTGGGTGAGTGTGTGTGTTAGAGTTACAGGGTGAGCTGTGTCAGTGGGTACAGGGAGCATGTGAGTGTGTGTTAGAGTTACAGGGGTGGGGTGTGTCAGTGGGTACAGGGTGTGTGAGTGTGTGTGTTTTAGAGTGACGGGGTGGGGTGTGTCAGTGAGTACAGGGTGTGAGTGTGTGTGTTAGAGTTACGGGGTGAGCTGTGTCAGTGGGTACAGGGAGCATGTGAGTGTGTGTTAGAGTTACAGGGGTGGGGTGTGTCAGTGGGTACAGGGTGTGTGAGTGTGTGTGTTTTAGAGTGACGGGGTGGGGTGTGTCAGTGAGTACAGGGTGTGAGTGTGTGTGTTAGAGTTACGGGGTGAGCTGTGTCAGTGGGTACAGGGAGCATGTGAGTGTGTGTTAGAGTTACAGGGGTGGGGTGTGTCAGTGAGTACAGGGAGCGTGTGAGTGTGTGTGTTAGAGTTACAGGGGTGGGGTGTGTCAGTGAGTACAGGGAGCATGTGAGTGTGTGTTAGAGTTACAGGGGTGGGGTGTGTCAGTTAGTACAGGGAGCGTGTGTGTGTTAGAGTTACAGGGTGAAGTGTGTCAGTGAGTACAGGATGTGTGTGAGAGTGTGTGTGTTAGAGTTACAGGGGTGAGGTGTGTCAGTACAGAGAGCGTGTGAGTGTGTTAGAGTTACGGGGTGAAGTGTGTCAGTGAGTACAGGATGTGTGACTGTGTGTGTTAGGGTTACAGGGTTGGGGTGTGTCAGTGAGTACAGGGAGCGTGTGAGTGTGTGTTAGAGTTACGGGGGTGGGGTGTGTCAGTGAGTACAGGATGTGTGTGACTGTGTGTGTTGGAGTTACAGGGGTGGGGTGTGTCAGTGACCGAGAGCTACATTTTCATCTTCTGTAGTGGAAAGTCAGTGGATGCCTAAAACTGAAATGTCAGGAAGTAGGAATGTAAGTATGTTCTTCATCAATCTGGAGATGCATAGCAAAAGAAGTTATTTTAAAGGATTAAAATGGGGAAGGGAGACAGGGGTTCGGGTGGGCCAGGGTCCAACATCGTGGATCGTGACAGCACTTCAGACTGTGAGCATCCATGACTCCATGAAAACAGAAACGAAAGATGGTTTTGAAACTCGTAGGGCGCTTAAAAAGACCATCAGGAAGCCGGGCGCGGTACCTCACACCTGTAATCCCAGCATTTTGGGAGGCCAAGGCGTGCAGATTACAAGGTCAGGAGTTGGAGACCAGCCTGGCCAATATGGTAAAACCCAGTCTCTACTAAAAATACAAAAATGAGCCGGGCGTGGTGGTGGGCGCCTATAATCCCAGCTACTCAGGAGGCTGAGACAGGAGAATCCCTTGAACCCGGGAGGCGGAGGTTACAATGAGCTGAGATCGCGCCACTGCACTCCAGCCTGGGCGACAGAGTAAGACTCCGTCTCAAAAAAAAAAAAAAAAAATCAGGAATTCTTTTACATTTATGAACACATTTTAAAGTTGTTTGGCCCTTGGCTGGGCGTGGTGGCTCATGCCTATAATCCTAGCACTTTGGGAGGCCAAGGCAGGTGGATTACCTGAGGTCAGGAGTTCGCAACCAACCTGGATAACATGGTAAAACCCCGTGTCTACTAAAAGTACACAAATTAGCTTGGCTTGCTGGCGTGTGCCTGTAATTCCAGCTACACGGGACGCTGAGGCACGAGAATTGCTTGAACCCGGTGGGCGGAGGTTGCAGTGAGCGAGATCACGTCACTGCACTCCAGGCTGGGTGAGAGAGCGAGACTCTGTCTCAAAAAAAAAAAAAAAAAAAAAAAAAGATTGTTGGCCCTCAAGGACAGGTCAAGAGGATACTTTCTAAGTCAGAGGACCCAGCCAAGCTCAGGCAGTGGATTAATCTCCGGAAAGACAAATATGAGCCTCTCAGCCCGTGGGGGTGAGTGTCCCTTCGTCTGGAGACAGACATATCAAAGCTGGAGTTATCTCCGCATTCGAAAATAGATTCCCAAGTGTATTCGTTCATTGCCTCGTGCCTGCCAAGGGAAAATAAATATTTCCAAAATTCTCTTTGAGGATTGCTATTATGGAGCAAATATGTATGTTCTTTTTTAATTTATTGTTTGTGTTTCACGCTCAGTGTGTTCATTGCTGACGGCTGCAGGACTTGGCACATGATGGTGCCTTCCCGAGAGCTTAGTAGGGTTTTAAAGGACTGTGAAGAGATTTTTGGTCGTCGCTCAAAGCGTAATTTCACAGGGCCTGAAGCTCCCGCGCTGGGGCTAGTAGAACTATCTAGTTGGAAGGCTCCAGAAAAGTGTTTTTGTCTCCTTTTACATTTTTTTTTAGAGACAGAGTCTCACTCTGTCACCCAGGCTGGAGTGCAGTGGCACGATCATAGTTGACTGCAGTCTCCAACTCCCGGGTTCAAGAGATCCTTCCACCTCAGCCTCCTGAGAAGCTGGGACGACAGGTGTGCACCACCATGATTGGCCAATTTTTTTATTTTTTATTTTTATTTTTTTGAGACAGAGTTTCGCTCTTGTTGCCCAGGCTGGAGTGAAATGGTGTGATCTCGGCTCACCACAACCTCCACCTCCCAGGTTCAAGCAATTCTCCTGCCTCAGCCTCCTGAGTAGCTGGGATTACAGGCACCCGCCACCACGCCCGGCTAATTTCGTATTTTTAGCAGAGACAAGGTTTCTCCATGTTGGTCAGGCTGCTCTCGAACTCCTGACCTCAGGTGATCCACCCCGCTCGGCCTCCCAAAGTGCTGGGATTACAGGCGTGAGCCACCGCGCCCAGGCCCTAATTTTTAAATTTTTTGTAGAGATGAGGTCTCACCATGTTGCCCAGGCTGGTTTCGAATTCCTGGGCTCAAGCGATCCTCTCACCTTAACCTCCCAAAGAACTGGGATTACAGGCGTGAGCCACCGTGCCTGGCTATTTTCCTTTCTGTAAAAGGACTGTTTCCTTGATACTCACTTGGTCACCTGGGAAAACCACAGCAGTGTGGTTTTGGTCTGACAGCAATGGAGGCTACGCCGCGTGCCCCACTGTGGTGAGGTCAAGCTCCTGGTGCTAAGATGCTGATGGTAGCAGTGGCCCATCTAGAGTGGCTGCTGCCAAGATGCCGGCTGCAGCGGAGGCATGGCTGGGCCTCTCGATCCACGGATCAGGCAGCAGCTCCGCCTTCCCTGCGTGCCGCGGCCCGCTGCCCTGGGGCAGCTCTAGACGCGGGCGTCTCTGTGCTCTTGGAGGCCTGGGAAGGCCACCCCTGCCCCCTGCAGGCTTAGAAGTGCCTGCTCCAAATGCCTGGCCTCTCCTCACTCCCCACGCCCGCTCCAGTCGTGGAGCACAGTTGGGGCTGAGCCCAGGTGCTGCTGCAGACCATCCGGGTGGGTCCACACTTGGGGCAGCACGGACACACCAGCCCTTGCCACCTCAGCCCCCTCGGGACTGGGCGCTGTTGAACATGGGAGGGAAGCTGAGGGAGGGCTGAGGGTGGCTCAGTGCTGGCCTGCAGGCGCCCCTTGGCATGAACAAGCTGGGTGCCATGAACAGCAGTGGGAGGCAGACAGACTTCTGGGTGGAAGGGGGCAGGTCCCTGGTGAAGCCACACCTTGAAGCTTCAAGGGGGCCTGGGGCCCGGGCTGCCAGTCCTGCAGACTGGAAGGAGGACTCGGTGCTTTTGTCAGAGGGGGGATGTGCATGCTGGTTGGGGTGGGCTGCCTGTGGACCAATCAGCGTGCACTTCCCCACCCTGAAGACCACAAAAACCCCAGACTCAGAGCAACGCGGACGTCGGGATGACCAGCTGCGGAGAGCTACCCTGTCTGCTGAGAGCTGAACACTTGTCAGGACGACCTGCCTGCAGAGAGAAGCCACCCACTGTGGGTCTCCCCTGAGCTGTTCTAACACTCAGTAAAGCTCCTCCTCGTCTCGCTCACCCTCCACTTGTCTGGGTACCTCATTCTTCCTGGATGCAGGACAATAATTCAGCAGCCACAGAGG
Organism: Homo sapiens; assembly: GCF_000001405.40. Classification (NCBI taxonomy): domain Eukaryota; kingdom Metazoa; phylum Chordata; class Mammalia; order Primates; family Hominidae; genus Homo; species Homo sapiens. The sequence continues at coordinate 82,667,986 of NC_000017.11, read as the reverse complement.
TTTCCAGCCGGAAGAGCAACATCCCAAAGGCCCCATCAGTGCCCCGTCAGCGCCCATGCCAAGAAGAGAGAGACAGACGGTGCACTCAGCGTGCCTGCTGGGCTCGGTGGCAAACGTTTGGCCAGCTCAGGAAAGCCTCGTACTGGGTGGGTCAGGGGACTGCTTGGCCGCTCTGTCTGAGCCTCATCACGGGGCAGGTGGCGTCTGCAAAGCGGGTGCTTCGGGCGTTCTCAGTGCTGCTGTATCTTTTGTCCTCTGAATCACTCTCCTCTGACGGGGGGAGTTTGCTCTGGTGTTGCTTGGTCTAATCTACCTGGTGGCGTGATGGGCAGTCTCTGTGGACAGAGTGTGGAGTTTAGCAGGAGACAGAGGAGGATGCGGGAAGCCTGGACTCCATGTCTCTGGGGCTCTGGTGGCACCACAGAAAGAGCCTCTGGAGTCCAGGAAGGGGGCAGGGCCCGGAGGAGGAAGCAGAGGGCAGGGGACAGGCTGGACACAGCAGCTGTGGGAGGGAGGGGTGCTCGGGATCTCATGGAAGGCGCTGCACAGGTGTGCTCAGATCAGGCAGGTGTGCCATGCACGTGCTCATGGCTGCATCAGTGGAAAGTGGAGGACAGAGGCCCAGAGCTGCTGCAACGCCCAGGCCTGCCTGAAGATGTGGGCGACCAGCTGTCCAAGCCAAGTGGGAGGCCACCGGTGGCACCGCCACTGCACACCTCGCTCTGCCCGACAGGAGACCAGGAACTCGGCACACTGCCTCCTGGGATGCAGGGGGGCTTGTGGCCAAGTCCAAGGGTTCTAGACCCTTCGAGGGGGCAGAAGCTGCTTGAGAACCGTGGCCTCCGCAGCCTCGCATTTTTAGAGGAGCCTGTTTCTGGGCACTCACTGGCTACATCGTGGGCTTCTCTGGAAGGAGAGCTGCAGAGGCCGTGTGCTCCACGACGGTCTCCAGGGTGAGGTCTGGTGCGAGCCTCGGCGCTGCTTCTCCCCTCGGCCTCTCAGCGGCGCGCTTCCCTTTAGAATTCTGATTCCCTATTCAGCCATACTTGTCAAAGCACTCAACATCCGATCACAGCCGAGAGTGAGGCCAGGGCTTGTCTCTTGTAGGTTTAGTGCTTTGAGAGATACTGTCAAGTAAATCCTATACATGAAATAAATCAAGCAAATCCCACAAAGGCTGGTCATGTCTTGTTACTAAGCAGTTTGGGTTCCTGTGATTGTACGTGTCATTGTACCTGGTTTTAGGAAGGCAGTGCTCCTACCCGGCATTCTCCAGCCCCTTAACTCAAACCCTCTCTTTCCATGTTCTCAATGACAGACCTGGTGCTCATCCGGAAGCGCTAGAAGTGAACACAGGAGATGTTTCCTAAAGAAGCAGAACACTGGTGTCTGGGGGGTGATGGGGGCGGGGAAACATATTTTTCCCTTTAAAAATATTTATTGGCCGGGAGCAGCAGCTCATGCCTGTAATCCCAGCACTTTGGGAGGCCGAGACAAGTGGATCACCTGAAGTCAGGAGTTCAAGACCAGCCTGACTGATATGATGAAACCCCATCTCTACTAAAAATACAAAAATTAGCTGGACGTGGCGGTGTATGCCTGTAATTCCAGCTACTCAGGAGGCTGAGGCAGGAGAATCACTTGAACTCAGGAGGCCGAGGTTGCAGTGAGCCAAGATTGCACCACTGCACTCCAGCCTGGGCAACAAGAGCGAAATTCCATCTCAAAAAAAAAAAATGTATTGTGGCCAGGCATGGTGGTTCATGCCTGTAATCCCAGCACTTTGGGAGGCTGAAGTGGGAGGATCACTTGAGTCCAGGAGGTTGACCAGCCTGGGCAACACAGCAATGCCCTGTCAATTAGCCAGGTGCGGTGGCAGGTGTGGTGGCAGGTGCGGTGGCAGGTGTGGTGGCAGGTGCGGTGGCAGGTGCGGTGGCAGGTGTGGTGGCAGGTGCAGTGGTGTGCCTATGAGCCCAGGAGGTAGAGGCTGCAGTCAGCTGTGATTGTGCTACTGTACTAGAGCCTGGGCGAGGGGGAGACCCTGTCTCAAAAAAGATTTTTTTTAAGTGTAGTTTTTTTTTTTTTTTTTTTTTTTTGTTGTTGTTCTTGTTGTTTGTTTTGATACAGAGTCTCCCTCTGTCGCCCAGGCTGGAGCACAGTGGCACAATCTCAGTTCACTGCAACCTCCGCCTCCCGGGTTCAAGCAATTCTCCTGCCTCAGCCTCCCTACTAGCTAGGATTCCAGGAGCCCGCCACCACACCCGGCTAATTTTTGAATTTTTAGTAGAGATGGGGTTTCATCATATTGGTCAGGCTGGTCTTGAATTCCTGACCTCAAGTGATCCACCCGCCTCAGCCTCCCAAAGTGCTGGGATGACAGGCGTCAGCCACCGCATCCAGCCCTTAATTGTAGCTTTTTATTTTAGAAGAAGTGTTCCAGCATGGTGGCTTATGCCTGTAATGCCAGCACTTTGGGAGGCTGAGCCGGGCAGATTGTGTGAACTTAGGCGTTTGAGACCAGCCTGGGAAACATAGCGAAACCCCGTCTCTACAAAAAAATACAAAAATTATCTGGCCCTAGTGGCACATGCCCGTAGTCCCGGCTACTCAGGGGACTGAGGTGGGAGGATCACTTGAGCCTGGGCTGTGGAGGCTGCAGTGAGCTGTGATCACGCCACTGCACTCCAGCCAGGGCGACAGAGAGAAACTCTGTCTCAAAAAAAAAAAAGAAGAAGAAAGGCATTCTCGGGTTTTTTTTTTGTTTGTTTGTTTTTAACTTGAAAAAATAGAAATGTGGAAAGAAGGTTCCAGCCTACCTGTAATCTGCACCCCAGAGGTGGCTGGGACGGGTGTGCAGTCCCGTGTCCCTGCACATGCGTGGTTCACATGCACATGTACACAGCTGAGAGCGGGCATCCCACGCAGCGTCACGTCTGTCTTTACTGTACTTTCCTAGTGTGATACTGGGGGACGCAGTCTCAGTGTCTGCAGAGCCGCTGCCTTAGCCCCGTTCCCTTGGAAACAGAGCTGAGTCGGAGCTCTCAGGCCTGCAGGCTTGGGGAGGAGGTGGGGAGGGAAGGACCAGCCCAGACGGGGGCACACCCAGCGGCCACAGCCCCGCGGCAAACCCACCGGCCTCCAGGTCACATGTAGGCCCTGCAGTGCCTGTCGGGGAGCCCCCTGGGCCAGGGTGATGCGAGCCTGACCCCCACAGAGGCCAAGGCGGCTGAGGACAGGAGGGGCCCGGGTGCGGGAGGGCGCAGGCAGGGCCCCTGTGAGCTTGGGCAGACACAGGGAGGGGGTCCCATCCGCCTGCCTTGTAAACCTGGAAGTTGCACTGATGAGAAACCCTTTTCTTCCCTGAACGTGAGACTTCCAGCGTCCTGTTAGCTGCAGCCTCAGGCCTAAGCCGTCTCTAACCCTTCCGCAGGCATCGACTACAAGACGACCACCATCCTGCTGGACGGGCGGCGGGTGAAGCTGCAGCTCTGGTGAGTCTGGAGGAGGTGCGAGCGTCCCGCACCCCCAGGGAGTAACCCCCCTGGCTGGCATAGCACCCCCTGTCAGCACAGTGCCCCGGGGAGCACCCATCCCCCACCACCATCGGCACAGCGCCCCCGGGAACACCCTCCCACCACCACCGTCGGCACAGCACCCCGGGGAGCACCACCAGCCCCACCACCATCAGCACAGCACCCCGGGGAGCACCCTCCCCCCACCACCATCGGCCCAGCACCCCAGGGAGCAAGCTCCCCCCACCACCATCTGCCCAGCACCCCAGGGAGCACCCTTCCCCCACCACCGTCGGCACAGCGCCCCCGGGGAACACCCTCCCACCACCACCATCGGCACAGCACCCCAGGGAGCACCCTCCCCCCACCAACATCGGCACAGCACCCCGGGGAGCACCCTCCCCCCACCACCGTCGGCACAGCACCCCCGGGAACACCCTTCCCCCACCACCGTTGGCACAGCGCCCCCGGGAACACCCTCCCACCACCACCGTCGGCACAGCGCCCCGGGGAGCACCCCCAGCCCCAGCTGCACCAGGGCTTCTCTGAAGGAGGTGGTGGTCCGGTTGTCTGGGCCCCCGTCATCCAGAGTAGGGGACCCCAGAACGGACATAGCGCTGTGGCTGGGAATCGGCTTTTGGGATCAGAACCTGTGGCCTGGTGTCTGTGGGAAGATGCCAAGAGGGGACCGATGCAGCGTGGTTGAGGCAGCCCGGGGCTCCTGGGTCCCCCACGCCTGGCTCAGTGATGCCACTGAGCACCCGGCAGGGAGCTCGGAGCGTCCTGGTGCCAGCGGGGCTGTGGTCGGGCCTGCGGGTGGAGGACCCAGACGTGGGGAGGTGAGGACTTGCTGGCCAGCCTGGGGCTGCTGGCTCTGCTCTCTCAGCTGTGAGAACCCCAGCTCCTCACCTTGGGGCAAGCCCGGGGCACCTCTCCCTCCCCCAGCACCCCCACCTTGGGGCCAGCTTGGAACACCTCTCCCTCCACCCGCTCTTGGCTTGGGATGGGGGGAGCTCCTGCGGTTCCAGCTCTGGGGCGGTGGGGATGGGGGGCTCCTGCGGTGCCTCATCCTGGGGCTGCCTCCCTCTTGGGCATCCCTCCTGCACTGCTGCCACTCCTGGGTGACCCTCGCCTGAGCCTCCTGGCCCTTCCTGCCTGCTGGGCCACCCCCGAGCCACGTGTGCCTCCAGCAGCTGGGACCCCCTTCTCTTACCTGTCCCCTTCCTACGCCTGCCCCGTCTAGTAGTGGCCAGTCCTGGGGAGCCTGTCTCCACAGTGTCCCCAAGCGCCCCGACCCTTCCTGCTGCACAGCTTCAGGCCTCCCGCCCAGTCTGCTCTCAGGTCCCCACTCCCCCGGGGCCATGCCCTCGCTGGGCTGGCGTTGGGGTTGCCGTCAGCCCCTGTCCTGCTCCCCACCCTCCGCCAGCTGGGCCTTTGCTGCCTCCTCCTGGCCCTGAGCCCTGCAGGTCCAGGACCTTGTTCTCAAGTCTCTCCCTCCCTCCCCGAGACCACTCCTTCCTGAGGGGCCAAGGCCACCCAAAGGCCGCACTCGGCCCCACGCCTGCCCCTGAGCTCAGTGCCTTCCTAAAGATCTGCTTGCATCAGGGCTGGCGCGTGCCCTCTCCCAGCTCCACCCCGGGTCTGGCTGCTCACCTTAGCGAACGCCTCCCTGACCCCAGCTGCCCAGTGGGCCGAACAGTCACCCTCACACTTTTCTCCCTCTCACCTCAGGAGTGAGATCCCAGGGGGCTTCTGCCAAGCTCAGAATCCCCCCAGGCCCCAGCAGGACCCTGAGGCTGCTCTCCTGTGGTGCCGGTGCCAGCTCTGTCCACACTGTCGTCTGAGCAAGGTCACACTCCCACCGTGGACCCCGGAGTGTGGACCCCAGAGTGTGGTCCTTCCTGGTGCCCACAACTGGGTCTTCTGCCTGCCCCCACCTGCCCTCACCTCCCTCCCCACACCCACTGGGGCTGGGGTTGGGCTCTGCTCTGCTCCTTCAGGGTGGCAGCGGCCCAGGAGGCCGGCACGTTGTCCCAGCTGAGGAGGGAGTGCTCCCACTTCACGATGGGGCACTCTGACAGCACGTGCTGGCCCTTCGGCCTCCCTGCGAAGCTGGCAGATTGACCTGGCCCGCTGCCTCCTCGACCATAGCTTTTGGGCAGCTCCCGCTGTGTGCAAAGCCTGAGCACCTGAGGTCCTGCTGAGGCTTGAATTCTAGATCAATTTGCTTCTCAGGAAATGAGGCACTCACTCCTAGGCTTTGGCAATGGCCAGTGTCGCTGGTCCCCTCTGGAGCCCCAGGCCCTTCTCTCTCGTGCTGAGGGTGGTCACCGACCACAGGTGCATGTGACACAAACAGCAAAACCATGCCGCGTCCCACCGCTCATCCGTGAGGTTGTGTCTCGTGTGCGGGGCCAGCCCCTGGCCCACTGGGGAATCTCCCATTGATGTAGGTGTGTTCGTTGCATGTGCAGACTCCGGGAAACAGCGCTGGCTGTCCCAGGGCCGCCTCCTCTGGGAACTGATCCCTGGGGAGCACCCTTTCCACCCTCATTTGTTTCTTCCTTTTTTTTTTTTTTTTTTTTTCTGAGACAGAGTCTCACTCTGTCTCCCAGGCTGGAGTGCAGTGGCACGATATCAGCTCACTGCAACCTCCGCCTGCCGGGCTCAAACAATTCTCCTGCCTCAGCCTTCCGAGTAGCTGGGACTACAGGAGCACACCACCATGTCCAGCTAATTTTTGTATTTTTAGTAGAGACGGGGTTTCACTATGTTGGCCAGGCTGGTCTCCAACTCCTGACCTCGGGTGATCCGCCTGCCTCGGTCTCCCAAAGCGCTGGGATTATCGGTGTGAGCCGCCAAGCCCGGCCTTTCATTTGTTTCTTGGAGCTCCGTTCTGGTCTTTGTGGGTCCCAGTACCTGCTGCGTGTGCCGTCATCTGAGAACTCAAGCCCTGCCTGCAGCTCACGCCAGGCAGTTCCCTGTATCCCTCCCCTCTTAGGGGCACACTGGAAGGGCTGACTCCATGTGAGCTCTTACAGTTGAACTGGAAGAGCAGGGATCCCACCGGCCTCTCTCCCCTGGTGTAGACCCACACTCCTTACTGCATAGATTTATCTTCAGATTCAACAAGTTTTTTAAAGCCTACATTGAATGTATTTAAATATCTGAGAATTATGTTAAAACCGTCACTATTTTTTCTAGTTTGACTTTTTAAATGACAGAGAAGAGCATGAGCCTGGGAGGACATCCCAACACCCGGATCCCTTCAGGGACATTGGAAAGTTTTGTTGGGGTCTCACGCTGGCGGCGTGGTGGCTGCTGACTGGCGGGTGTGTGGTGCACTTGCTGTGGCTCTGAAGTTCCAGAACCTGTTGTCAGGAAGAAGCACTGGTTTCTTCTTAATGGTCTCCAACATCTTTTCCAGGGATACTTCAGGCCAGGGAAGATTTTGTACCATATTCCGCTCCTACTCCCGGGGCGCACAGGTAACACAGCATCCCCCGAGCTGGGAGATCAAACCAACTTTGAATAATAACATTTACAATGCTTAACTTACCATCCTTTAATGGATGATTGGAGGACAAGGCGGTTAAGCTTACGTATAAATTGGTGCTGAGAGTCTAAAAACGTGCTGTAGAGTGGTTGGTTGTTTGAAAGACTTCATCAGTATTACGGATGTAAGCGTGCATTTACGGGACTGTGTGTGCATGTACACGTGTGTGCAGGTACGTGCACTGTGTATGCGTGCATCTGTGCATGAGTGCCTGTGTGTGTGTGTGTGTGTACATGTGTGTGCAGGTACGTGCACTGTGCATACGTCTGCATGAGTGCCTGTGCGTGTGTGTGTGCACGTGTGTGCAGGTATGTGCAGTGTATGTGTGCATCTGGGCATGAGTGCCTGTGCGTGTGTGTGTGTACACGTGTGTGTAGGTATGTGCACTGTGTATGCATCTGTGCATGAGTGCCTGCATGTGCGTGTATGTGTACACGTGTGCAGGTACTTGCACTGTGTATGCGTGCATCTGCATGAGTGCCTGTGCGTGTGTTTACACGTGTGTGAAGGTACATGCCCTGTGTATGCGTGCATCTGTGCATGAGTGCCTGTGCGTGTGTGTGTGTACACGTGCGTGCAGGTACGTGCCCTGTGTATGAGTCTGTGCATGAGTGCCTGCTTGTGTGTGTAATGTGTACGTGTGTGCTTGCCTGTTTATGTGCATGCATGTGCACACATGAACTGCGTGTGTGCACTGTGTGTGCATCTGTGCATGAGTGCCTATGTGTATGTGTATGCAACATGTGTGCAGGTATGCACTGTGTGCGTCTGTGCATGAGTACACGTGTGTACACGTGTGCAGGTATGTGCACTGTGTCTGTGCATGAGTGCCTGCGTGTGTGTATGCAACATGTGTGCAGGTACGTGCACTGTGTGTGCGTGCATCTGTGCACAAGTGCCTGTGTGTGCGTGAGCTCCATGTGTATGTGCACGTGTATGCGTGCAATCCATCCAGGTGAGTGGGCCACACTCCTCGAGAGGTGGCGATTACTGCGGTGCCCCTGCATCCTGTGTTCCTGGAGTGGCTCGTGGGTGTGAGTTCTAGTCCCCAGATCACCGTGACATTTGAGGGTTTATCACTGAGCTTATGAAATATCACTGAAAATGATCATAAAACTGCTACATTCAGTTGATAAATCAAAATTATGTACTTTGTGTTAAAATAAGGAAAGTGGTTATTTAGTTGTATGTCTTTGCGTGCATGGCCACAGCTGTGCCTGCATCTGTGTTCTGCGTGCTGAGCCTGTGACCTCTCCCCCAGGGTGTGATCCTGGTCTATGACATTGCGAACCGCTGGTCTTTTGACGGCATTGATCGATGGATTAAGGAGATCGATGAGGTATGTTGTAGAAATGCCACTGCCCAAGATCCCTGTAGGCTTGGGAGGACGTCAGGCCAGGAATTAGGGCCGGGCCCTCCAGGGCTCATGGGTACCCATGGATCACAGGCCAGGGCACCGGATGGCGCTCCAGCAGGAAGGAGGGTGCCTCACCTCGGCACAACACTGGATAGGGCTTTGGTGATAGCTACAATCACGAAAGCTCAGGAAGCTGGTCCAGACGAAACGAGCGTCCACGGCGTACCTCGGCTATGCGTGGGGTCAGGTTTGGCCTGCTTCACTCCCTGCTGTGGTCGGGCTGGGCTGACCAGCAGTGACCGGCGCTTGTGCCTGCTGGCACGCAGACCAGCCCGCCTGGCAATGGTGACATGGCGTGGTCGACACTAAGCCCACTGTATGAGTGTCCCGGGGCTGCTAGAACCGACGACCACAACCTGGGCGTCCTGAACAACAGAAATGCATTCTCTCACGGTTCTGGAGGCCAGAGCCCAAAACCAAGGTGTCGGCAGGGCCACTTCCCTACAGCCGCCTCTCCCAGCTCTCGGCGGTGCCAGCAACCCTGGGCCCTCCCTGGCTTGTGGCTGCACCGCTCCAGCCTCTGCCTTCGCGTAACATGGCCTCCTCCGAGTGTCTGTGTCTTCTCTTCTCCCAAGGACACCAGTCATTAGATGAGGGCCCTAATTCAGTGCGGCCGCACCGTAACTATTTACGTCTGCAAAGACGGTCTTTCCAAACGAGGTCCCATGCTGAGGTTCTGGGTGGACATGAACTCGTGGGGGGTTCCTCGACCCAGAGCACCCACATTACGACGACAACAAAATCTCACTGAAGTAACCCATGCTCCTCGCCTTTCTCCTGCCCGCTAGCATGCCCCCGGAGTCCCCAAGATCCTGGTGGGGAACCGCCTGCACCTGGCGTTCAAGCGGCAGGTGCCCACGGAGCAGGCCCAGGCCTACGCCGAGCGCCTGGGCGTGACCTTCTTTGAGGTCAGCCCTCTGTGCAATTTCAACATCACAGAGTCGTTCACGGAGCTGGCCAGGATCGTGCTGCTGCGGCATGGGATGGACCGGCTCTGGCGGCCGAGCAAGGGTAGGCCCAGGGGCTATTCCGGGGGCCACCTCTGCCCTCCAGATGCCGAGGTGGGTCAGCGGCCCCCTGGATAAGTGTCTGCCTCCCGGGACCCGTCTCAAGGCCACTGTGTCCGTTCTCAGAGCAAGGCATTTGAGAGAAGTAATGACTACAGCTTTGTCAGAAAGCTCATGAGGGAGCTCCTGGGATCTGTACGTGGGCAGAGGGGACGTCGCGGCAGGGCTTGCTGCATGTACAAGCCAGGGCCACGGGCGTCCGAGCCTTGGGAGGGCGGGAGAACAGGTGTGGGCACCACCCCTCATTCCCAGCCCAGGTGGGGACATCCACTAAGCAAGGTTTATCTTTTCTCTCCCAAGTGCTGAGCTTGCAAGACCTCTGCTGCCGGGCGGTCGTGTCCTGCACGCCGGTGCACCTGGTGGACAAGCTCCCGCTCCCCATTGCCTTAAGAAGCCACCTCAAGTCCTTCTCGATGGCCAACGGCCTGAATGCCAGGATGATGCACGGCGGTTCCTACTCCCTCACCACCAGCTCCACCCACAAAAGGAGCAGCCTCCGCAAAGTGAAGCTCGTCCGCCCCCCCCAGAGCCCCCCCAAAAACTGCACCAGAAACAGCTGCAAAATTTCTTAAGGAAGGCACTGAAAGAAACACGGCGGAATCTCTCCAGGAGAAGCTCGGCGTTACCCCCGGCAGCTGGTGGATGCATCTCAGATCCCGGTTCCTCTCGGCGAATGCTGCTTGCGAATGTGTGCGACGCCTTCCGTGTGATGGAAACACACTACCCCGTCGGACTTCGAATTTCTACGTGGATGTGCATGAAGCTCTTGTTTTCGATGTGTGTTTGTAAAGGGAAAATTAGTACTCTGCTCGACTCTTGGTAACATGAAATTCTGAATGTTACTTTATCATGATTGCACTGCAACTTTTTCCTTAAAATAACTGCTTTTGTAAGAACGGTGATATTGGAGTGATTAGTATAAATTCAATGGAATTTGAGAAGCAATGGCAGCGGGATAATTTAGAGTCACTGATATTACGAGAGGGGTCTTTTTGTAAACCTCCTTTTCAATGTCAAAGCGCCAATTTATAAAACGCTGCAGATGTAGAGGTTATGTGCAACTGATCTGTCCAGTTTGTGTATGAAATGGATTTGATAAAGTTTTTGCTAGTTATTTACTACATTTTGGGATTAATAAGTGATTTATATGCATATTTTTCTGTAAATCTACAGTTTTTTGTACAAGATATTCTACAAGTTATGAAGCTAAGGGAAGAAAATGCCAAAGATACCTCTAGTTATGTTGAACACAGCCAGCACAGTTTCGACATGTCAAGGAAGAGCTGTTTCAGTAAAGAATGAAGTGAAAACACTTATTTAGGAAAATGTTTCTCAACAATAAAATGTATAGTTGTTTCTCTCTTGGTAGAGTTGGCGACCGGTTCTTTCGAATTTTGTATTTATTTATTTATTTATTTTTGAGACAGAGTTTCGCTCTTGTTGCCCAGGGTGGAGTACAATGGCACGATCTGGGCTCACCACAACCTCCGCCTCCCGGGTTCAAGCGATTCTCCTGCCTCAGCCTCCCGAGTAGCTGGGATTACAGAGGTGCACCACCACGCCCGGCTAATTTTTGTATTTTTAGTAGAGATGGGGTTTCACCATGTTGGTCAGGCTGGTGTTGAACTCCTAACCTCAGGTGATCCACCCACCTTGGCCTCCCAAAGTGCTGGGATTACAGGCGTGAGCCACTGCGCCCGGCCAGATTTTGTGTATTTCTTATAGCCCTTTACTTCACTGCGCCACTGCCTGGTGTAGACATCACATATCGGAGCTAATACACGACACTGGCAACAAGGCTGAATCCTTGAACTGTTGTCGCCTGTTGAGAAAGGATTCCTTTTCCGGAACAGAAGTGCAGAGGAGGAGAGAGCGGAGAGTTAAAAGCTGGCACCCAGGCATGTGCCTGTCTGAGAAATCAGAGCCGTGCTCCTGAGCCTCGGTGAGGAGCTCCGAGGGGCTGTCAGGAATTCCGCATGAAGATGTAGCCCCTGACCCCGACTGCCTCAGAGCAGGGCTGACCGCAAAGACCTCCAGGGCCGCTCTCTTCCCTGGTCACACTGTTGAACGTTTCTCTGTGGCTGGGGGTCGCAAATGAGGGACTAAACCAAAAAAACGAAGCGAGAAAATACCCAGATGTTCCTAGTTCCTGCTGATGATCTGTAGATTCTTAGAAACTTAAGGGACCCAGCTGGGTGTGATGGCTCACACCTGTAATCCCAGCACTTCAGGAGGCCGAGGCAGCCGGATCAGAGGTCAGGAGTTCAAGACCAGTCTGGCCAACGTGATGAAACCCCGTCTCTAATAAAATTACAAAAATTGGCTTGGCATGGCAGCGCACACCTGTAATCCCAGCTACTCAGGAGGCTGAAGCAGGAGAATCACTTGAACCTGGGAGGCAGGGGTTGCAGTGAGCCGAGATCGTACCACTGCACCCCAGCCTGGGCGACAAGTGAAACTCCATCTAAAAAAAAAAAAAAAAAAGAAATTTAAGGGACCCTAGAATCAGGGGCAAAGCCTGTATTCAGAGATGGTGGAACCGAGGCCCAGACAGGAGAGAGGAGCACTGGTCCCTGCGGGTGGACCCAGGCTTGGGGGTGTCTGGCCACCTGGGCACGGCAGCCACGGGGACAAAGTCCACGGGGAGGCAGGGGTGTGGTCTGTGGGCAGAAGGTGAACCCTGAGGGGACAGTGTCTGGAGAGGGTGGCCAGCCTCGTGCAGGCACGCTGCAAAGACCTGTGCACCCTTCTCTCTGCTGTGCCACAGGTGGGGTGAGAACGACAGGGCCGACCTCCCAGCTGCAAACACAAGGACACTGAGATGCACAGAAAGGAGAGTCCACGTTGAAGAAACCCACGTTGAGGGGCCTCTTCTCCCTCCGTTCCCAGCTCGCTGATGGTGAAGGGTAAGGAAATGGATCCTCCCATTGCAACATTAAACCAGGCCAAACCTGTATTTTTCTCTTCCTTCCTTTTTCTTGTTTTGTAATTGATGTCTCCTCGGGACTACTGATAATGTCCTAGAAAGAATAAAATAAAGTTTCCCAAGGCTTTGTGACTCAGAGCTCTTTGGAGGTGTTCACCGAATGCACGGGCCGCCCGGAGGCCTTGGCCCTCCAGGGAAACACCACCAGAAGTCCCCAGAAGCGGAACATGTAGCAAGGAGGCTCCCCGAGATCTCCCAGAGGGAGCACAGCCCTGCCAAGTTATTGGTTTTGGACTTCCGGCTTCCAGAGCTACGAGAAAATAAATATTTGTTATTTAAGTCACCAGGTTTGTGGCGATTGTTACGGCAGCCTCAGGAAACTCCTACAAGGAAGTGAGTTACGCTCACGGCAGAAAGTGCTACAGCAAACCAAGGCAGAACAAAAACAGACGAAACCTAATACAGACCGGACTAAGTAGAAGACTGTGTGTTTGGGTGGTGAATATACAAAAAACATAAATATAAATTAAACCTTAGAGAAACTTTGTCATTTTCTTGTCATGTTCAGAGGTGTGGCCTGTTGCTTTAGATCTACAGATTCTTACACACTTTCTTCTCTTAAGAAAGGCTGGCACCTGCCTTTTAAAACCACTGTCCTGGCAGGGCGCGGTGGCTCATGTCTGTAATCCTAACACTTTGGGAGGCTGAGGCAGGCGGATTGCCTGAGCTTAGGAGTTCAAGACCAGCCTGGGCAACATGATGAAACCCCGTCTCTACTAAAAATACAAACCACTAGCCGGGCATGGTGGTGCACGTCTATAGTCCCAGCTACTAAGGAGGCTGAGGCATGAAAATTGCTTGGACCTGGGAGGTGGAGGTTGCAGTCAGCTGAGATTGCACCACTGCACTCCAGCCTGAGTGACAGAGTGAGGCTCCATCTCAAATAAAAATAAAACCACTGTCCCTACCCTGCCGCAGTGCTGAACTCGAGCTGATACTGGTTTTTCTCCTCTACATTCCCATGATGACAGCAAACCCCGCTGGAGCACAGAGGCCCTGAGCCACTGTGGAGAGGGATTCCAAACTCCACCTAGTCCCAAAGCAGTTCTGTTGCTCCAGCCTTCACCCTCTTCTAGGTGAGGTGACCGGCTACTTCCCAGCAGCCCAGAGGTGCTGTCAAGGCTGTTAGCCAAAGGCCACCGTGAACGCCCCTGACTTGCTGCAGCACCAAGCCTCCGACCATCGAGAGGGTGCTGGGGAGTCAGGGAGGATGGGCGGGATTTGGGCAGCCTTGTGGAGGTTTTAGGGAATATTCACGGCAACCGCTGCACCCTGTTCGATGCTGTCAGGAAGCAGGGGTGACTCCGGGACTTACTATCTTAATAATTCTTATCTAGAAGGTGAGAAAAGTGCAGCAAGGTGCAAGGCGTCATTGGTAAAAAGTGGCAGTCACTCACATCCGGCAGGATGGGGAGTGTTGGTCGTCGGGGAGGTGGGCACTGCTCCCACCTGTGTGCAGAGGGGACCCTGCTCTTGTCCTGCCCCCTCGTCACAGGGCGGCCTTGTCCGCAGGGCCAGGTCCAACAGGAGCCTCCCAGGGCCTCGCTGTGCATGCTCAGGGGCTGCCTTGCTCTTTCTTGTCCTGCCCCCTCGTCACAGGGCGGCCTTGTCCGTGGGGCCAGGTCCAACAGGAGCCTTCCAGAGCCTCGCTGGTGCCCAGGGGCTGCCTTGCTCTTCCTTGGTGCCCTTTGAGGTGACAGGAAGATCGCCGTGTGGGCCACGGTGAGAGGCAGGCATACCGGTCTCCATGCCTTTGACCGGGCAGACGCTGACCTTCCAGTTCAGCTGGAGGAAGACTCTGTGTGTTGCTCAAAGCCAATCGCCACCATCTGCTGGTTTCTTGATTCCTTGCCTTGAATGTTTTCCTTTCTTTCTTTTAGAGACAGGGTCTCACTCTGTTGCTCAGGCTGGAGTGCAGCGGCACAATCACAGCTCACTGCAGCCTTGAATCCTGGGCTCAGTGGTCCTCCCACCTCGCCCTCCGGAGTAGCTGACTGCAGGTGTGCACCATCACACCTGGCTTTTTTTTTTTTTTTTTTTTTTTTTGGCAACAGGGTCTTCATAAGTTGCCCAGGCTGGTCTCAAACTCCTGGGCTCAAGTGATCCTCCCACCTCAGCCTCCCAAAGTGCTGGGATTCCAGGCGTGAGGATTAAAGGTTCCAGAGTGTCCAGCAATCTTAACATTGCTCCACGTTCCACTACAGAAAGGGGATAAGGGAGATGGGTTTCTTAAAAGGTCCTCTAATGGTTCTATTTGTGAAATGGATCCTTCATGTAACAGTTCATGTGTGTCTGTTTGAATGAACAGTAGTACTGCTACGAATATCAACACCTGTGTGCCCAACACACAGCAGCTGAAGCAGAAGGAGTAGAGTCTTACCTGCCAAGCCCTCGGCGCGGGTTTCAAGGTCTGTTACTGTTGCTGTAATAAACTACCACAGCCCGGGGGCCTGAAACAACAGAAGTGTGTTCCGTCACTGTTCTGGAGTCCAAGTCCAAAATCAGCATCACTGGGCTGAGATCAAGGCGTGGTACCCTCTGGAGGCTCTGGCAGGGTCCTTCCGGCCTCTTCCAGCTTCTGGGGGCCCCGGGCATTCCTTGGCCTGTGGCCACATCACTGCAGTCTCCGTCTCCGTCCCCATGTGGTGTTTTCTGTTGGTCAATCCTTCCTCTGCCTGAAGAAGCATGTGATGGCACTTGGGGACATCCAGACAATTCGGGACAGTCTTCCTGTCTCAGGGCCTCTTTATCAAATCTGCAGAGACCCTTTTTCCAAAGTAAGAGAATACCTTCTTTATTTATTAATTTTTTTTTTTGAGACGGAGTCTGTCTCTCGCCGAGGCTGGAGTGCAATGGCCCGATCTCTGCTCACTGCAACCTCTGCCTTCCGGGTTCAAGCGATTCTCCTGCCTTAGCCTCCCAAGTAGCTGGGATTACAGGTGTCCGTCTGCCACCACGCCCGGCTAATTTTTGTATTTTTAGCAGAGACAGGTTTTTGCCATGTTGGTCAGGCTGGTCTTGAACTCCTGACCTCATGATCCACCCACCCCAGCCTCCCAAAGTGCTGGGATTACAGGTGTGAGTCACTGTGCCCAGCCAGGAATAACACATTTAAAGGTTCCAGAGATGACAATCTGGTATCTTTGAGGGCCATTCTTCAGTCTAATACAAACTATCACAAAGTTAGTGACTTCAAGGAACACACATTTATTTTCTTACAGTTCTGGAGGAATGGGCTAAAATAAAGGTGTCTGTAGGGCTGGTCCCTTCTGGAATCTCCAGGGAGAGTCAATCTCCGGCCTCCTGAGCCTCTAGACAGCAGCATTCCTGGGCTCCCGGCTGCGTCCCTCCAGTCTGCCTCTGTGGTCACACTACAGCCCTCTCTCTCAGCGACCCCCTTCCCTCTTTCCTGTAAGGACCCTCGTGATTCCGCCTGGATCATCCAGGTTAACCTCCCCATCTCAAGGTCCTTGAGGTAGTCACATCTGCAAAGTCCCTGCTGCCATATACAGCAACACATGCACAAGCTCTGAGCACGGGGATGGGGGTGTCGTTGGGGGCTGTTCTTCAGGGTCAACCACACACCCTTCCCCTGTTGCAGATTCTTTTTTTGTTGTTGTTGAGACAGTCTCGCTCTTGTCACCCAGGCTGGAGTGCGGTGGTGCGATCTCAGCTCACTGCAGCCTCCGCCTCCCGGGTTCAAGCGATTCTCCTGGCTCAGCCTCCCGAGTAACTGAGACTACAGGAGCCTGCCACCACGCCCAGATAATTTTTCTATTTTTAGTAGAGATGGGGTTTCACTGTGTTAGCCAGGCTGGTCTCAAACTGCTGACCTCAGGCAATCAGCCCGCCTTGGCCTCCCAAAGTGCTGGGATTACAGGAGTGAGCCACCGCGCCCGGCCTACTGTAGATTCTTCTCTTGCCCCGAGCGGTAACCACCATCTCCAATTCTGTGCAAACCATCCTCCTGGTTTTCTTTATATGTTTATGTGTGTCCAAATATGTTGTATCTTTAAACAATACATCGTTAGGCCAGGTACAGCGGCTCACGCCTGTAATCCCAGCACTTTGGGAGGCTGAGGCAGGCATATCCTTTGAGCCTAGGAGTTCAAGACCAGCCTGGGCAACATGATGAAACCCTGTCTCCACTAAAAATACAAAAAATTAAGCTGGCATAGTGGTGTGTACCTGTAGTTGCAGCTACTCAGGAGGCTGAGGTGGGAGGATCTCCTGAGCCCAGGAGATATATACATATATATATAAATACATATATATGCGTGTGTGTGTGTGTGTGTGTGTATAATTTCTATTCTCTCCACCCCCAGAGGTGAGACTCTGCTTTCTGCCTGCCTTGGAGAAGGGTGGGCGAGATGAGCCGTGTCCCTCACTCCAAGTCACACTTCAGGTCTTCCACGTGGAGACCTCTGAGCTATCAGTGGACGGCGGGATTCCTGGAGCTGCTGGAACAAAGCCCCACAGGCTGGTGGCTTGGACAACAGCCTGTGTTCCTTCCCAGGCTGGGAGGCTCTGGGGAAGAACCGTTCATGCCTCTCCCGGCTCCTGGTGACCCCACGATTCCTGCACTTGCTGACTTAGGGCTGAGCACTCCAGTCCCACTGGCTGCTGTCCCCTGTATCTCCTCCATTCCTGTCTCCTCCAAGGGTGCCGGTCACCAGCTTTAAGGCCCACCCCAAATCCAGGATGATCTTATCTCGAGATCCTTAATTACTTCTGCAATGATTCTTTACCTAAAGAAGCCCCTATTCTCAGGTTCTGGGTGGACCTATCTTTTTTTTTTTTTTTTTTTGCGACAGAGTCTTGCTGTGTTGCCCAGGCTGGAGTGTAGTGGCACAATCTCAGTTCAGTGCAGCCTCAGCCTCAATCTCCTGGGCTCAAGCCATCCTCCCTCCTCAGCCCCCCAGGACACATCTTTAGAGGGTCACCATTCAACGCACTGTGGTGGGCAAGGCTGCTTTGAGTTTCCTGGTTAGGATACAACCAGCGCTGTGTGTGGATGTCCACACATGCCCCCGCCCCCGGCTGTACAGCCACCGGGAGACTGAGTAAAATGTGAACTGAAGGAGGCCCCAAGGGTGGCAAGCAGAGAAATGAAGGGAAATGTCCCTTACCCACGCCTCTCTCCTTCCCCCACGTGACACTTCTCACAGCAGGTACCGGTACGTGTGCACAGAGGAGAACCCAGTGCCCTTCAGGGAAGAGGGTGCTGAGCCCCTGGACCGCACTTAGGTCTCGCCCCAGCTCTGTGATTTGGACCTGGGCCCCCGAGCCCTAGTCACAGCCGGGGCGGCCCAACTCGCTCCGCCATCGGAAGGCTTCTGGTCGCTCTCAGGGAGGAGCCCCTCTCGTATGGGAATCGAGGTGTTCAATGCCCACGATGCGGAGACCGCCTGGCCCGAGTGGGCCAGTGATCTCAGCTTACAGTCCAGCTCCTTCCTCCCCATGGCTAAGAGGTCAGCACCAGCTCAGGCAAGTGGCGAGGGTGGGATGAGGATGACAGACGGGGTGGAGGCAGGTGGCTGCGAGGGGACAGTGTCAGGACCTCCTAGGAGATCAGGTGTGCTGCAGGGAACAGGGAGAGCCTAGGAGGGGACAGGAAAGTGAGGAGGGGGAGTGGAGAGGACTCCCTGGGCAAGAGACACGAGGGCCAGCACTCAGGCCTCCACAGCCATCCACTGCATGAGCCAAGCCCAGGGACAAAGCTCTGTGACCAGGATGCCCCCAGCAGCCTGACCCTAAGAGTTGAGAACTGTGCCCTGTGAGCAATGTGACCTGAGGGTCCCGGAGTCCTGCGGGGGCTGTGCTGTGTGAGGGCCACCTGTCCTTTAGGTGGGGTACTAAGGGGTTGTGTCCTCTATGGGCTGTGTCGTGGGGGGGCTGTGTGTCCTCTGGGGGGCTATGTGTCCTGGGAAGGTCCCTGTGTCCTGGGAAGGTCTCTGTGACCTGGCGGTCTGTGTGTCCTGGGGGGGCTGTGTGTCTTAGGGGGACCTCTGTGTCTTCTGGGGGAATATGTGCCCTGGAAAGGACTCTGTGTACTGGGGGAGGCTGTGTGTCTTAGGGGGGCTGTGTCCTGGGGGGGTTTCTGTGTCCCGGGGGGGCTGTGTGTCCTGGGAGTGCTGTGTCCTGGGGGACCTCTGTGTCCTGGGGGCACTGTGTGTCCTGGGGGGACCTCTGTGTCCTGGAGACTGCGTGTCTTGGGGGTCCTCTGTGTCCTGGGGGGTCTCTGTCCTGGGGACTGTGTGTCTTGGGCACCCTCTGCGTCCTGCAGGAGCTGCGTGTCCTGGGGGGGCTGAGTGACTTGGGGGCCCTCTGTGTCCTGGGGGTCTCTGTCTCCTGAAGGGGGACCCTAGTATTGTGGCGCTTCTGGGCTTGCCTCTCATGAGGGATGATGCACCGGGCCTCAGTTTTGGGTCAGCCTCCTTTACCGGCTCTCCCCCCTTCCTCCGACCGTCAGGTATCCGTGCCAAGCCCTCAACGGGCCATCCTCCTTCCCGCGGCGACCCCGCGCATGACAAGGCCAGACCCTCCCGCGAACGTGCTCTGCGCTCCCGCCTGGCCCCTCCCCGCCCCGCCCCTCCCCCTCCTCCCCGCCCCGCCTCGCTCCGCCCCTCCCCGCCTCCGCCCCGCCCCGCCCGCCCTGCCTCTCCCCGCCTTTCCTCGCCTCGCCCCGCCCCGCCCCGCCCCCTCCTCCCCGCCCCGCCTCGCTCCGCCTCTCCCCGCCTCATCCCGCCCCGCCCGCCCTGCCTCTCCCCGCCTCATCCCGCCCCGCCCGCCCTGCCTCTCCCCGCCTTTCCTCGCCTCGCCTCGCCTCGCCCCGCCCCGCCCCTCCCCGCCCTGCCTCGCCTCGTCTCGCCTCGCTTCGGTTAGATGCGCTCGGCGCTCCATAGGCTCCCTGGTGGGGCGCGGGCGCGCGCACGGACGTCCAGCACGCACGCACGCACGTCCAGCACACACGCACATCCAGCACGCACGCACGTACGTCCGGCACTTCCGGCCGCGGCGGCCTCAGCGCCGGCCCGAAGGGACCAGGCCGCCGTCCCCAGCGAGAGGCATGCAGCGCTGAGGAGCGGCGACCCAGCACGGCGGCGCCATGAACCTCCTGCCGTGTAACCCTCACGGCAACGGGCTGCTCTACGCCGGCTTCAACCAGGACCACGGTGAGGAGGCGCGGCCCTGTCGCCTTGCCCGGCCGGGCCTTCCCGCAGCCCGGGGTCCCCGGCTCTCAGGCCTCTCCTGGGCGCCCCTTTCCGGCCAGGCCTTCCACCCGGGACCCCGGCCCCGCCCGAGCTCCCCTCCGAAGCCCCCGGCCCCGGCCCTCGCCGCTGCTCCCAGCCCGAGCCGGGGTCCGGACCAGGCCCGAACCGGCTCCCACCTTCCTGGCCTTTCGCGCTCCCCCACCCCCCGGGTTGTGACCGCTCCCAGCCGGCCGTCCCGGGCCGAGGTCGAGGTCGGTGGGAGACGGCACAGAACCCCAGCCTCCTGCGCGGACGCCCCTCCCCGCGCGCCACGCCCACTCGGGTTCCCTGGCTCCCTGCGGGCTCCACGGTTATCGGGATTTTCCCCACAGCGTGATTGACGCCCTGCCCAGAACCCCGTTTTGCCCCCTGTTCCTTTCAGGGTCTTTAGTAGGTAGCCCGTGGCTGAGCTGACTTCGCTTGGGTTTACTGGAGCCGCGGAGCCGGCGTCTCCGACGCCTCTGGTGGCGAGTGGCGCGGGTGGGGTGCAGGTCTCACCTTTCCCGTCGGTTTCCATCGGAAAATGTCACTCTCCCCACCCCCACTCCCCGGGATTTTTCTTCGTGTTTGGTGGAGTCAAAGGACTTAAGGGAGGCCTTTGAGGGAAATCTTACTTCTTTTCCCATGTCGGAATCCAGGTGTAAGCACTGGATGATTTAAAGCGCCCAGGGAAGGTGACCTCCTTCCCCGCAGGTGCTTCGGAGCTGCGGGGGATGCGGCCGGGGCGGCGCGGTCGGATTCCCGCGGGAGGCGGGCGGGACCTGGATTCGGATGGTTGCCTCCTCACCTCCCATTTGAAGGGCGCGCTTCCCAAAGGTCCTGATGGGGAGGAAAAGGAATGTCCGTTATTCCGAGACAGGCTTCTGCGAGGCTTTACATGTTGGCTTTGGAAGTTTTGTTTTTGAAGAGAATCCAGGCAGGTGCTGTATGATCCCGTATATGTGAAGACAATTTTATTTATTTATTTATTTCATTTTGAGACGGAGTCTCATTCTGTCGCCCAGCCTGGTGCGATCTCGACTCACTGCAACCTCCTCCTCCCGGGTTCACGCCATTCTCCTGCCTCAGGCTCCTGAGTAGCTGGGATTACAGGCGCCTGCCTCCACGCCCGGCTACTTTTTGTATTTTTAGTAGAGACGGGGTTTCACCATGTTGGCCAGGCTGGTCTCAATCTGACCTCAGGTGATCCACCCGCCTCGGCCTCCCAAAGTGCTGGGATTACAGGCGTGAGCCACTGCGCCCGGCCGGATTACACATATTTGAAAGAACTCCCTCTCAGTGATTTTGATGCCTGATGCCCTGGGACCAGTCAGGCTTCCTGGGCGCTGCCAGCTTCCCCAGGGTTGTGTGCTGGGGTTTCTCCGGAAGAAAGTTTTGCTGAGATGGTAAGGGAGATGCCTAGCCTTCTCAGAGGGTGGTTTCCAACCATCTGGTGTTTGTAATGCCTTCTTTTTAGTGAAGTGTGCTATACCTGTAGAAGGGTGGATATATCATAAGTGTTCAGGTGATGAATTTTCCAAACTACACACCTGTCACTAACAATTAAGAAATTGAATATACCTGGCCACGCTTGATTCCAATAAATGCTCCCTACCTGACTTGTGACATCATAGATTAGTTTTGCCTACTTCTGTACTTTATTTTTGTACTTATTTTTGTTTCTAGCTGTTTTTTTGTTTTGGGTTTTTTTTTTTTTTTTTTTTTTTTGAGACGGAGTTTTCGCTCTTGTTGCCCAGGCTGGAGTGCAATGGCGCGTTCTAGGCTCACTGCAAACTCCGCCTCTCAGGTTCAAGCAATTCTCCTGTCTCAGCCTCCCGAGTAGCTGAGATTACAGGCATGCACCACCATGCCTGGCTAATTTTGTATTTTTAGTAGAGACTGGGTTTCTCCGTGTTGAGTCTGGTCTTGAACTCCTGACCTCAGGTGATCCGCCCACCTCGGCCTCTCAAAGTGCTGGGGTTACAGGCGTGAGCCACGGCGCCAGGCTGTTTCTAGGTTTCTTACTCAACATCATGTTTGTGATTTTTTTTTTCCGTATTGTTGAGTATAGTTGTAGATCTTTTTTTTTTTCTTTTTCCGAGACGGATCTTGCTCTTGCCCAGGCTGGAGTGCTGTGGCGTGATCTCAGCTCACTGCAACCTCTGCCTCCTGGGTTCAAGCGATTCTCCTGCCTCAGGCTCCCGAGTAGTTGGGATTACAGGTGCCCGCCACCGCTCCCGGCTAATTTTTGTATTTTGAATAGAGATGGGGTTTCACCGTGTTAGCCAGGATGGTCTTGATCTCCTGACCCTGTGATCCACCCACCTCGGCTGCCCAAAATGCTGGGATTACAGGTGTGAGCCACCGTGCCCGGCCAGATCATTCTTGATGTACAATGTTCTTTTGTGCAGACATACAACAATTCATATATCCAGTCTACCATGGTTGGGCATTTGGGTACGTTCCAGTTTTTGGCTACCATAAGCATAATATGAGTAATAAGAGTAATGATTAATCTAGAAGATGTCTCTCAGTGACCATATGTTCACATTTCCACAGGCATGTACTTCTATATACCTAGGAGTAGAATTGAGAGTATAGTAGATAGTACAAATAGTTTTCCAAAGTGGTTGTACCACTTTGCCCTCAACTAGCAGGTCTAAGAGTTCCCATGGCTCTACACCCAGCTCACATTTGATGTTTTCTCTTATTTTTGGTCATTTTGGTGGCTGTGTACATCTCTCTGTTGTTTATTTGCATTTTCCTGATTTTGTGTTTCTTGACCACTTGGATATCCTCTTGTGACATGTCTAAGTCTTTTGCCCATTTTTCTATTGAGGATTTTGCCTTTTTCTTGTGGATTTCTAGGAGGTGGTTTGGGTATTTCTATTTTTATTTTTTATTTTTGTTTTTTTTTTTGAGACGGAGTCTTGCTGTGTTGCCCAGGTTGGAGTGCAGTGGCGTGATCTGAGCTCGCTGCAACCTCCCCCTCCTGGGTTCAAGTGATTCTCCTGTCTCAGCCTCCTGAGTAGCTGGGATTACAGGCGCTCACCACCACGACTGGCTAATTTTTTGGTATTTCTAGTAGAGACGGGGTTTCATCGTGTTGGTCAGGCTGGTCTCGAACTCCTGATCTCAGGTGATCCACCTGCCTTGGCCTCCCAAAGTGCTGGGATTACAGGCACATGCCACCATGCCTGGCTAATTTTTGTATTTTTAGTGGAGGGTAGGTTTCACCATGTTGGCCAGGGTGGTCTCGAACTCCTGACCTCAGGTGATCCGCCCACCTCGGTCTCCCAAAGTGCTGGGATTGCAGGCGTGAGCTGCTGCGTCCGGCCTCAAATGGGAGTTTTAGAGGCCTTTGTGTTGGGCTTTCACACCACTTGTGCAGTCATTGGAAAGATCCAGACTTTGCAACATTTCATGTGAAAAATAATTGAGGGGTTTGTTTTTTTCTCTTTCCAGCCACAGCTTCATAGAGCCAACAGTTGGACATGGCATTTAAGGAGATGGATGTAGTCCCTGGGTCACACACGAGCATTAACACACGATCATCTACGCACTTAAGTGCTTTATTCAGTTTCTAACAGTGCTGTTTATTTGGACCATTAACAGCCTGCTGTGTGACTTGGAGGCAGTGACCAGGATGAGTGACCTGGGTAACTCATTGAGACTCTGACAGGATTTTAAGGAGTTAGGATGATTTATAGGTGGGAGCAAAGTCACGGGAGACCACCCTGTAAATGGGAAAGAGCATCCTTTCCTCACCTTCCCGGTTCCTGGAGTCTAGGACTACCTCTTGTCTCCCCAGCACCCTGCCCTTCCCTTCACCTGGTGTCCACAGTGGGCGGGATTGCCTGCTTGGTGGCTTTCCTCTAGAAGTGTCCTTCACGTTTGTCACTGATCGTCCTCCAAGCCTGGGCCATGGGGATGCCACAGAAGGCCCCTGCAGTGGGGAAGTTGTGTGAACAACTCCAAGACTCCTTTGCTAAAGGACAAACAAAATGCCCTGCATGGATGTGCTTGTCACTTAGTAACATTTGTACAAGGACAGGAGTTGTGACTTAGCACCTATCGTGTCTGTGTGGTTTGAGCATCTGCAAGAGTTCTCAGTAGTTGTCATTTCTCCAGACCTCTTTCTTTTAACCACTCCAGGCCTGGGGATTAATGTCTCTTTTACACTTCTGCTTTAGGATGCTTTGCGTGTGGGATGGAAAATGGATTCCGAGTCTATAACACTGATCCACTAAAAGAAAAAGAGAAACAAGGTAAGAATTAACGGGACATTTTCTGGTTTCTCCCCTTTCCAACCCTCGGAGTCTTAAATTTAACCTTGCAGGTGGAGCAGGGAAGGGATGGCTGTTTTCGAGAAGTAAATAGGGTTCATGGCCCCTCATAAACTTGGAGGGAGCTGTCCTCTTTCTTTCGTTGAGCTTCTACAGGTGCTGAGGGATACAGGTGTTGAGCAGGTTTGTTCACTGGCCTGATTTCTCTAGTGAATTATCGATCAGCATGAACTTCTTGTGCCTTTTCCTGTCACATCAGGGATTTTTGGCAGCAGAAACCTCTTTTCAAGTAAAGTCTTACCTGTAACCCTGGGATGTAGAACAGTAAGTGGTGCTTTATGTCTGGGAGTTTATTTTGTAAGTCAGGGTGCATTTCCTCAGCCTGCATCCATGCTGTGTACGTTTGAGTCCTGGTTCTGCCCTTTACCAGGTTGCTGTGCGACCTTGGGCAAATTTCTCAGCCTCTTTGGGCCTCTATTTTTTTTTTTTCCTTCTTCCGAGACGGGATCTTGCTCTGTCGCCCAGGCTGGAGTGCAATGGCATGACCTCGGCTCATTGCAACCTCCGCCTCCCGGGTTCAAGCGGTTCTCCTGCCTCGGCCTCCCGAGTAGCTGGGATTACAGGCACCCACCACCACAACCGGCTAATTTTTGTATTTTTAGTAGAGACGGGGTTTCACCATTTTGGCCAGGCTGGTCTCTAACTCCTGACCTCATGATCCATGCACCTCGGCCTCTCAAAGTGCTGGGATTACAGACGTGAGCCACCGTCCCCGGCCACCTCACTTTCTTTGTACGTGAAATAAGGTTGATAACAATGCCTGCCTCAGAGTTATTGTAAAAATGAGTCAGGGTGCGTAAGACACGCAGATTAATGCCTGCGCGCACATTAGGTGCTGTGGAGTGTATGATGCCACATACACTGTATGATGGGATTTATGCAGATAAATGTATGATGGGATAATGATGGGATTTATGCAGATAAGTAGTTGCAAAACATTTTAAAACAGCTTGACTTGCAAATCTCAGGATACTTTTTACTGAATTGACCCAGAAGCTTACAGGAGAGTTGTAGACGTTGGTGTCCAAGTTGAATCATTAGCAGCTGTGTGGGAAAAACCCCCCAGCCATGTTTTCTCTCCACTCTTAACAGCACGACAGTTGTCAGCACAGAAGACTTCTGTGACTGAATGTGGGGAATTTCTCCCCACACACCAAGCAGTGGACACCAGCTGGGTGTCCTTTCAGTTCTGACGCCATCTACCTAGAGATAGAGTCAGATCCCACAGGTTGAGGGCTCAGTCCCCAAGACTGCCCCAGTCCCCACCATGCATGAGTCTGGGCCTCCTAAACTTCAGACTGACTGGCTTCAAGTTGGGGTTCCCACAGCCCCCTCCTTGGATTCAATTAATGTGCTGGAGCGGCTCCCAGAACTTGGGGAAGCACATTTACCAGTTTATTATAAAGCAGCGGTCTGCAGCCTTTTCGGCACCGGGGACTGGTTTCATGGAAGACAGTTTTTTTCATAGGGGGATGGTTTCGGGATGAAACTGTTCCCACTCAGATCATCAGGCATTAGAGTCTCAGGAGGAGCGTGCAGCCTCCATCCCTCGCGTGTGCCGTTCACAGTGGGGTTCATGCTTCTGTGAGAATCGTATGCTGCCGCTGATCTGTCGGGGCAGAGCTTGGTGGGGATGCTTGTTCGCCTGCTGCTTGCGTCCTGCTGTGCAGCCTGGTTCCTAACAGGCCACGGACCAGTACTGCCCCGGGGTTGCAGACCCATTGTAAAGGATAATTGCCAAGAATACAGATGAGGGCAAGCACGGAACAAGGTGTGGGGGGACAGGCTATGGAGTTTCCAAGCCCTCCCTCGGCTGCCACCCTCCAGAACCTTCCATGTGTTCAGCTGACCTCTTGGATTTTTATGTTTTTTATTTTTTTACTTCAAAATTCATTTTTCTTTGATTTTTTTTTTCTCTTTTTTCCCACATGTGTTACAGAAAATACCTCTTGGAGATATATACATATCTATCTCTGACGTTGTCTCGCTCTGTTGCCCAGGCTGGAGTGCAGTGGTGTGATCTCGGCTCACTGCAAGCTCCGCCTCCCGGGTTCAGGCCTTTCTCCTGCCTCAGCCTCCCGAGTAGCTGGGATTGCAGGCACCTGCCACCACGCCTGGCTAATTTTTTTTGTATGTTTGGTAGAGACGGTGTTTCACTGTGTTAGCCAGGATGGTCTTGATCTCCTGACCTCGTGATCCGCCCACCTTGTCCTCCCAAAGTGCTGGGATTACAGGCATGAGCCACCGCACCCCGGCCACCTCTTGGATTTTTAAGGAAGCTTCATAGTATCTGCATTGCTTCTCCTAGTGTGCAGGGTGGGAGCTTCTCTATGGAGGTTCTTCAGACCCACAATCAGGTGGAGAAGATTTGAGTTCTGCCTTAGCAGGTGAAAGGGCAGGAGAGAGATTCTGGTTCCTGAGGGCCTAACACACCCAATATTATAACAAAAGATTGTAACAAGGTCTGGGAGTTATGAGCCAGGAACCGTGGGTGAAAACCTGTATGTGTCTCTCTCATAACACCACAACAGCATATTAACAACTGCTTCCTAATTAATGAAGTGTTTACAGTAAATTCAACATTTCTTATAAAAATGAGTTTGACGGCCCGCACGGTGGCTCACGCCTGTAATCCCAGCACTTTGGGAGGCTGAGGCGAGCAGATTGCCTGAGCTCAGGAGTTCGAGACCAGCCTGGGCAACACGGTGAAACCCCATCTCTACTACAAATACAAAAAGTTAGCCAGGCGTGGTGGCGCATACCTGTAATTCAAATTACTGGGGAGGTTGAGGCACGAGAATCACTTAAACCCGGGAGGCCGAGGTTGCAGTGAGCCGAGATTGCGCCACTGCACTCCATCCTGGGCGACAGAGCAAGACTCCGTCTCAAAAAAAAAAAAAACCCAGACAAGAAACATCTAAAACTTCTAAATTCCAGAAAAGTATACCATTGTCATGGTTTAGCTCATCACACACATATACCCGGTCTTGTGCGTCTGCCAGCTCGGCTGTGTCTGGGGCAGGCTGTCCCTGAGCTTAGCATGCAGTGAGTTCTCACATGTGCATGTGTGGTGTGCTCCCGTTTCCAGCTTATGTGAGTAGATAGGCCCTAATGTGAAATGGATACAGTAGGGCCACACTGTCTTTTTGATGGCACATTTAAACAGTTTGGCTCTGCACTTACAGACTCATCTGCTGCTCTGCGTCTGGCAGCTTACAGTTTAACAATGAAGAGCAGGCCAGGCCTCTAATCCCAGCACTTTGGGAGGCCAAGGTGGGCAGATCACGAGGTCAGGAGATCGAAACCATCCTGGCCGGCACAGTGAAACCCCATCTCTACTAAAAATACAAAAATTAGCTGGACCTGGTGGTGCGTGCCTTTAATCCCAGCTACTCGGGAGGCTGAGGCAGGAGAATTGCTTGAACCAGGGAGTCGGAGGTTGCAGTGAGCCGAGATCTCGCCACTGCACTGCAGCCTGATGGCAGAGTGAGACTCTGTCTTAAAAAAAAAAAAAAAAGAAAAAAATCCCAGTGAAGAGCAGCACCAGACTTGCCCTTGTTCCTTTTTAATTGTAGCAGTTTGCTTTCCTGAGTGGTGGGGAAGGAAGCCTGCATGACAGTGTGTCCTGGATCTGGGCTTGTGGCATGGTTCTCTCCAGGGTGACTGTGCATTGAGTAAGGAGACTGTGGGCTCTGAGCAGGCTGCTGTTTCCAGATACGCCTTCTGCCACTTGGCAGGAACGGGAAGCTGGTAGTTCAGGGAAGCCTTCTTGGGGATCCCTGCTCCTTCAGTCTTGGGGGGCAGTGTTGTCCAACCCTGCTCCCCGACATAGGTCCTGCATCCATTGTACACCCAGGTTTGTTCTTTCCACACACACAGCCCAGCCACCCTCCCGACCCACACACAGCCCAGCAGCCCACCTGACCCGACACACACACAGCCCAGCAGCCCACCTGACCCGACACACACACAACCCAGCAGCCCTCCCGACCCACACACAGCTCGGCAGCCCACCTGACCCGACACACAGCCCGGCAGCCCTCCCGACCTGACACACACACAGCCCAGCAGCCCTCCCGACCCCACACACACACAGCCCAGCAGCCCGCCCCACCTACACACAGCCCAGCAGCCTACCTGACCTGACACACAGCCTGGCAGCCCTCTCGACCTGACACAGCCCAGCAGCCCGCCAGACCCGACACACACACAGCCCGGCAGCCTCAGCACATCTAGCTTCACAACAGGTCCTGCAGGCTTCGTGCTGTGTGCTCACCCAGCGTGCCAGGTGAAGGTGCTAGAGAAATGGGAGGCCTGCAATGTGTAGGTAGCAGGTGGTTCCTGCGGGTGGGGAGGACACAGAGGTGGTGGGTAGCTTTGGGAAGGAGGTGGAAAGGGGAAGTTTGGTAACCTGGTGGTAGAAGGTTAAATTGGTAGAGCCTTGTGGAGTAATTTGGCAAGCTGTGTTCATTATAGATGTACTGTTTGGTGCCTGTATACCAATATTACTTGCAACGCTGTTTCCAAGAGTGGAAAATTGGAGAACCCGAATGACTTTCATGAAAGGGGTGATTACTGTGGTTGTGGCACATCCTCAAAATGGTGCTTCATGCGGTAAGAATGCCGAGACCAATCTGAATCCTCATTTGGAGAGATGGCCATGGCATTGTTAAAGGAAAAAGAAAGTAGAGAATAGCATAGATGGTGTTATAGGAACAAAATATCTATGCACAAAGTTTAGAACATACGTGGCCAGGCAGAGTGGCTCATGCCTGTAATCCCAGCACTTTAGGAGGCCGAGGCAGGTGGATCACGAGGTCAGGAGATCGAGACCATCCTGGCCAACATGGTGAAACCCCATCTCTACTAAAAATAAAAAAATTAGCCGGGCATGGTGGTGGGTGCCTGTAGTCCCAGCTACTTGGAAGGCTGAGGCAGGAGAATCACTTGAACCCAGGAGGCGGAGGTTACAGTGAGCCGAGATCGTGCCACTGCACTCCAGCCTGGTGACAGAGCGAGACTCTGTCTCAAAAAAAGTACATAAATGATGTTGTTTCACAGTGTTTTCTACTTTATGCTTTTCTGTGTTGTTTTATAGAAATGATGCATAATTTTTATAATGGGAAATAAGGTTTTCTTTAAAAATAAAACTCCACAGAAATAGGAACGAGAAACAGGGACTGCACGACATGACAGAGGCAAAAATAAAAAGGTTATTAGCCTCAAGTGCTAGAATGGTTGATTTTCACTCATTTGTATAAAGTGATTCATTTTTCAAGCATCTCTTAGTGGAATAGAAGTTATGCCAGTATTCAGACATCCCCTTTCCCCATTTTCTTTTATTAGTTTCTTGTGTTTTGCAGCAGGCTCTGTTGGGAGAGTCTGGGCCTGTCAAGATGTGGTGTAATTATATATTTTGGTTTTCACCCTGGCCGGTAACTCCCACAGACCTGGTTAGTCTTTTTGTTACAATATTGGCCCTCAGGGGAGGCCTCTGACCTTCTCCTACCCCCCTTTCACCCTAACGTGTCCTGTCTCCCCACCACCACCCCACCTTCCTTCCTTTCTTTTCTTTTTTCTTTCTTTCTTTCCTCCTCCCCCCTCCCCTCCCCTCCCCTCCCCTCCCCTCCCCTCCCCTCCTCTCCCCTCCCCTCCCTTTCCCTCCCCTCCCTTTCCCTCGCCTCCCCTCTTCTTTGACAGAATCTCTCCCAGGCTGGAGTGCAGTGGCTCCATCTTGGCTCACTGCAACCTCCACCTCATGGGTTCAAGCGATTCTCGTGCCTCAGCCTTCCAAGTAGCTGGGATTACAGGCACATGCCACCACACCTGGCTACGTTTTTTTGTTTGTTTTGTATTTTTAGTAGAGATGGGGTTTCACCACGTTGACCAGGCTGGTCTCGAACTCTTGACTTCAAGTTATTTGTCTGCCTCGGCCTCCCAGAGTGCTGGGATTACAGGCATTAACCACCACACCCCCACCCTTTCTAATTGTGGGTCTCAGGACCCTCCCCAGAGAAGGCCGTACCCTCTGCCCCTGGGAAAGGAATGCTGATATCATGAAGCTTCCATAAAATCCCAAGGAGACGGGGTTCAGAGAGCTTCACGGAAGCTTTGTGTCCTTCCCCT
Source organism: Homo sapiens (assembly GCF_000001405.40). Classification (NCBI taxonomy): domain Eukaryota; kingdom Metazoa; phylum Chordata; class Mammalia; order Primates; family Hominidae; genus Homo; species Homo sapiens. The sequence goes on along the minus strand of NC_000017.11, from coordinate 82,637,744 downwards.
AATACCTTGCCCTATGCATCTCTTCATCTGTATCCTTTGTAATATTCTTTGTTATAAACTGGTAAACATAAGGAAGTGTTTCCCTGAGTTCGGTGAGCCGTGCCAGCAAATTGAACCCAAAGAAGGGGTCACGGGAACCCCAACTTGAAGCTGGTCAGTCAGAAGTTTTGAAGGTTCTAACTTGTGACTGGTGTGTGGTGCAGTCGGTCTTGGGGACTGAGCCTTCAACCTGTGGGATCTAATACTCTCTCCAGGTAGATGGTGTCAGAACTGAGTTAGAGGAAGACCAGCTGGGGTTTGCTGTGCGGTTTCTGCTTTAGTCACAGAAGTCTTCTGTGTTGGTGATTGTGTGAGAATAGAGACCATGATTAGAGGAGAGGGTTTTTCTCTGTACCACAAGGACTGGGGTGTACCTCAAGTTTTCCTCAGCTGATGTTTAGTAGGAGCCTGTTTTGTGTCCTACGCAACCTATTGCTGCAATTTTAGTTGCTGTTACAGACAAGTCCGACCGCCAGGGACCCTTAGAGATGTAGACGCTGACATCCTGGGCAGGCTTGGGCATTTCTTCTTTTTGTGGGTATAAAATGTTCCAGGAATAAATAAATGCTCAGTGCTGTGAAGTAAAACCAGCACTCAGGCAAAAGTTTAATTCTCTCAGTAAGGCAATTTACTTCTGCAGAAGGGTGCCCCTTGCATCAGTCAAGATGGCAAGAGCACAGAGAACAAAGGAGACCGGGGGTTTTTATCCTGAACGCAGTCCCTATCTCTGTGTCACTCCCCTATGGGCTGGGGTCGGACTGCACAATCTGAGCTGACCCAATAGGCTACTTGTACATATTTTTCTAAATATAGAAGGGGAGGGGGATGTGAGGTACAGAGGTGGAGCGTGTGAGACGTGCAGTTTCAGGGGAACAATGTGTACAGGTAACCAAGGGAACAGGTGTGAGTTATTGATTAGAGTTGACGGGAAGCGGGTAGGCTGTTTACAGTAACTAGGGGCAAGGAAGAACAAGAAAGTCGAGTTCGAGAACAAAGGATAAGGAAGTTAACAGGCTAAATAAACCCTTTGAAGAGAAACTCAGAAAGATTTATTGTATCTTACATTTTTCTGTAACAACGAATATCCTTTGTAATATTTCAGTACCAGCCCTTGGGATCTGGAACATAGAAAGCTCTGAATGTAACCCTGGTCTTTCTGTGGGGAGACCCTTTCCCCCTCTTCAGCTGCAGGAGGTGGGGGTCAGGTATTATGGGAGAATCTCTTTGGCGGGGTTTAGAAGTCCTCTCTAATTCCTGAAGTTTGGCTCTTACCTTTGATTACTTCTCATTCCAGGAAAGGCCTTAACTCTCCTTCTCTGCCTCTTCACTTGATTCTGAAAAATCTGTTTTTCTTTTTTTTCTTTCCATTTTTAAAACCCAGAGACCGCATAGCTAACTGTGCCTGTGACTGACTGTGTTTGTCTTCTTTTTTTTTTTTTTTTTTTGAGACGGAGTCTTGCTCTGTCACCCAGGCTGGAGTGCAGTGGCGTGATCTCGGCTCACTGCAACCTCCACCTGCCGGGTTCAAGTGATTCTCCTGCCTCAGCCTCCCGAGTAGCTGGGACTACACAGCTGGCTGATTTTTGTATTTTTATTTTTTATTTATGTATTTATTTGAGAGACGAAGTTTCACTCTTGTTGCCCAGGCTAGAGTGCAGTGACGCGATCTCGGCTCACCGCACCCTCTGCCTCCCGGGTTCAAGTGATTCTCCTGCCCCAACTTCTCGAGTAGCTGGGATTATAGGCATGCGCCACCACACCTGGCAAGTTTTGTATTTTTAGTAGAGACGGGGGTTTTCCATGTTGGTCGCGCTGGTCTTGAACTCCCGACCTGAGGGATCCACCTGCCTCGGCCTGGCCTCCCAGAGTGCTGAGATTATAGGTGTCAGCCCCTGCACCCAGCCAACATTTCTTTACTTAACCATTAGCTAGAATCACATCTTGCTAAGGGAATGACTTGTTGCTTTTAGAACTTGAAAAGACGGCTGCGCACAGTGGCTAATGCCTGTAATCCCAGCACTTTGGGAGGCCGAGGTGGGTGGATCTCCTGAGGTCAGGAGTTCGAGACCAGCCTGGCCAACATGGTGAAACGCCGTCTCTACTAAAAATACAAAAATTAGCTGGGTGTGATGGGCGCCTGTAATCCCAGCTACTTGGGAGGCTGAGGCAGGAGAATCACTTGAACCCAGGAGGTGGAGGTTGCAGTGAGCCAAGATCGCACCACTGCACTCCATCCTGGGCGACAAGAGCAAAACTCCATCTCAAAAAAAAAAAAAAAACCTGAAAAGACTTATGATATAATCAAGCATTAATAACTTTATTAATAAGCCTAAGATCATGTAGTTTATAAAAGGGCTAAACATTGTCTCTCGGTTAAATAGTGTTTGAAGAGTACATTAGTGACCTTGACATAATTCTCAGGTCACTCAGATGTGTTTCTAAAACTTACTGAACCTACATTGAGGAAATAGTTACACTTCTGACACCTGGGGCAAAGAAGGTCTTCAGTGGCAGCATTTTTTAAAAAAAAAATTATGGTAAAAAATTATGTAAAATAAAATTTACCATCTTAACCATTTTTAAGCGCATAGATCAGTAATGTTGAATATATTCACATTGTTGTTAAACGGACCTCTAGAATTTCATCTTGGGAAGCCAAAGTCTACATCCATCAATTCTGCCTCCCCTGTCTCCTAGTAACCACCGTGCTACTTTTCTGTCTCCATGAACTTGACTGCTGTAGGGACTTCCCGTGAATGCCATCATATATGCCTGGCTTATTTCACTTAGTGTAGTGTTCTCTAGGTTGATCTCTGTTGCAGCCTGGGTCAGAACTTCAGGCCGGGTACCGCAGCTCACCCCTGTAATCCCAGTGTTTTCAGAGTCTGAGGCAGGAGGATTGCTTGAGGCCAGGAGTTTGAGACCAGTCTGGGCAACATAGTGAGACCTTATCTTGACAAAATCATAAATGAGAAATATTGTTTCTGTTTAAGGCTGAATAATAAATCACTGCACGTATGGAGCACGTGCTGTTTGTTCATTTCTCCATCTGTGGACACTCGGGTCCTTCTGCATCTTTGCTATTGTGAATGATGCTGCTACAAGCGTGGGTGTGCGGGTATCTCTTCCAGACCCTGCCTTGAGTTCTTTTGCTTGTATGACTAGAAGTGGGATTGCTGGATCATATGGTAACTTTGTTTTTTTCTTTTTTTTTGAGACAGAGTCTCGCCCTGTCGCCCAGGCTGGATGGAGTGCACTGGCGAGATCTCGGCTCACTGCAGCCTCCGCCTCCCGGGTTCAAGCAGTTCTCCTGCCTCAGCCTCCCGAGTAGCTGGGATTACAGATGTGCACTGCCGCTCCTGGCTAATTTTTGTATTTTTAGTAGAGACAGGGTTTCACCATGTTGGCCAGGATGGTCTTGATCGCCCGACCTCATGATTCGCCTGCCTCGGCCTCCCAAGGTGTTGGGTTTATGGGTATGAGCCACTGCATCTGGTCATTTGGTAACTTTTTGATTTATAAAAATCAGCCTTTTTTTTTTTTTTTTTTTTTTTTGAGATGGAGTCTCACTGTGTCACCCAGGCTGGCGTGCAGTGTCACAATCTCGGCTCACTGCAACGTCCGCTTCCCGGGTTCAAGCGATTCTCCTGCCTCAGCCTCCCAAGTAGCTGGGATTACAGGCACCTGCCACCACGCCTGGCTAATTTTTTTGAATTTTTAGTAGAGACGAGGTTTCACCATGTTGGCCAAGCTGGTTTCAAACTCCTGACCTCAAGTGATCCACCTGCCTTGCCTCCCGAAGTGCTGAGATAACAGGCATGAGCCACCACGCCTGGCCTTTTTATTATTTTTTAATTGAGGGAGCGTCTCACTGTGTTGCCCAGGCTGATCTTAAACTCCTGGCCTCAAGTCATCATCCTGCCTTGGCCTCCCAGGGTGCTGGGATTATAGGTGTGAGTGAGCTGCTGTGCCCAGCCTCTTTTTAATTTTTTGAGGACCTGTCCTACTTTTTTCCAGAGCAGCTGCATCAGACAGTGCATGAGAGTTCCCATAGCTTCATATCTTGGCCAGTACTTGTTATTTCCTGGGTTAAAAAACAATATTAGCCATCCTCTGCAGTGAGCCCTGTTCTCATCACTGCACTTGCCTGAGCAACACTGTCTCAAAAAAAGAAAAAAAATTAGTCATCTTCATGGGTATGAGGTGGTGGGATCTCATTGTGGTTTGGTTTTGATGTCTCTGATGCCTAATGAAGTTGAGCATCTTTCTTTGTACTTGTTGGCCATTTGTAAATTATCTTTGAAGAAACACTACTCAAATCCTTTGCCAATTTTAAAATCAGATTATTAATTTTTTTATTGTTGAGTTGTAAAAGTCCTTCATATATTCTGGATATTACGCACTGTATCAGATGTGTGGTTTGTAAATATGCTCTGCCGTTCCATAGGTTGTGTTTTCATTCTGTTGATTGTGTCCTTTGGTGCACAAAAGTTTGATGTCCCAAAAGCACATTGCCCGTGCTGGTTTTTTTTTTTTTTTTTTTGAGATGGAGTCTCCCTCCTTCGCCCAGGCTGGAGTGCAGTGGTGCAATCCTTGCTCACTGCAACCTCTGCCTCCCGGGCTCAAGCGATTCTCCTGCCACAGACTCCTATATAGCTGGGATTACAGGCGCCTGCCACCACAGCCAGCTAATTTTTGTATTTTTAGTAGAGACGGAGTTTCACTATGTTGGCCAGGTCGAACTCCTGACCTCAAGTAATCCACCTGCCTCAGCCTCCCAAAGTGCTGAGATTACAGGCGTGAGCCACTGCGGCCGGCGAATTTTTTAATTTTTATTTTTGGTAGAGAAGGGATTTCCTTATGTTGCCCAGGATGGCCTTGAACTCTTGGGCTCAAGCAGTCCTCCCACCTCTGCCTGCCAAAGTGCTGGGATTACAGATGTGAGCCACTGTGCCCGGCTGCCTTGAATTTTAAATATCTCGAAGATCGAGCTGAGGAACTTTTGAGTCATTTCGTGCAGCTGTGACTGGAGAGATAGAGCTCATGGTCATTGCAGACACAGAAGTGGGTGGGTGGATGGTCCTCCTGAGTTACGTGAACCATGCAGAACGTGGGAGTTTCTCATCAGTGTGCCCCTGTTGCTCCCCTCAGAGAGCATTGGTCATCCTTTTGTCATGGAAGACCTCTGAAAATTTGTGGACATTTTCCTCTTACGTAATTCATGAACAGTTGGGAGCATTTCAGACTTCGGTGGCTCACACTTACAATCCCAGCATTTTGGGAGGCTGAGATGGCAGGATTGTTTGAGACCAGGAGTTCACGACCAGCCTGGGCAATACAGTATGACCTCGCCTCTACAAAAACTTTTCTGAAAAAATTAACCAGGCGCGGTGATGTGTGCCTGTAGTCCCAGCTACTCGGGAGGCTGAAGCAGGAGGAGTCCTTGAGCCCGGGAGTTTGAGGCTGTAGTGAGCTGTGATCACTTCACTGCACTCAAGCCTGAGCAACACAGCAAGACCCTGTTTCTTAAAAAAAAAGGAAATGATAAAAGTCACTCAGCTTTTGCATTAAAGTTTTGTGGGGTTTTTTTGGTTTGTTTTTATTTTTGTTTTTATTTATTTATCTTGAGATAGAGTCTCGCTCTGTCACCAGGCTGGAGTGCAGTGGTGTGATCTCGGCTCACTGCAGCCTCAGCCTCCGGGGTTCAAGTGATTCTCCTGCCTCAGCTCCTGAGTGGCTGGGACTACAGGTGCCTGCCACCACGCCGGCTAATTTTTGTATTTGTAGTAAAGACAGCGTTTCACCATGTTGGCCCAGATGGTCTCAGTCTCTTGACCTCATCATCTGCCCGCCTCAGCCTCCCAAGCATTAAAGCTTTTAGTATGCTGTCTTGGAGTTGACAGGTTTTGCCACCTCTTGAAATGTGAATTCAAGTATTTCATACATTTTGCTGAGTTAGCTTCCTAGGGTGTTGTGTGCTCAGCCTTTATGAAACAGTGAACATGATGACAGTAAACTGAGAGAATTTGGAAACCTAGCACTCACTATTTTTTTAGCCAGTCACCTTTCTCATTTCTGACGATAGTTAGATATAAATTGCTGATTAAAAATGAGTCCTGTAGGCCGGGCACAGTGGCTCATGTCTGTAGTCCCAGCATTTTGGGAGGCCGAGGCAGACTGATCGCCTGAGTTCAGGAGTTTGAGATCAGCCTGGCCAGCATAGTGAAACCCCATCTCTACTAAAAATACAAAAATTAGCTGGGCATGGTGGCACATGCTTGTAATCCCAACTACCTGGGGAGGCTGAGGCAGGAGAGTGGCTTGAACCCAGGAGGTGGAGGTTGCAGTAAGCCGAGATCGCGCGACTGCACTCTAGCCTGGGTGACAGAGCAAGACTCCTTCTCAAAAAAAAAAAAAAAAAAAAAAAATGAGTCCTGTATTCCCAGCTACTTGGGAAGCTGAGGCAGGAGGATCATGTGAGCCCAGGAGTTCAAGGCTGCAGTGAGCTGTGATTGTACCTGTGAATAGCTACTGCATTCCAGCCTGGGCAACACAGTGAGATCTTGTCTCTTACAAAAAATAGAAAATTGCTGCGTTACCTGTCTTGACTTTCTCTTTTCTTTTTTATTGTAAAATATACATATTAACTTGTAACATTGGTCTTTTTAAAACTATCATTTCAGAATTTCTAGAAGGAGGAGTTGGCCATGTTGAAATGTTATTTCGCTGCAACTATTTAGCTTTAGTTGGTGGTGGAAAAAAGCCGAAATACCCTCCCAACAAAGGTACTGTAATTGTGTATTGAAGAATCATGCCTCACGTGTCCCACCCAGTCTTTTTTTGAATGCGTTTATGTTTGTGGCCATGTGTGATTTTCCCTAGTAGTTCTGTGAAATATCCAGGACTGGTCACTGGGGAGGAAGCAGGCGAAGAGGGCACCAGGTCTCTATTCCCAGATGGAGCACCTAAAGAGCATCACTCGCTTGCATTGTCATAGAACACGTGCGTTTCAGTCAGTAAACGGAAAACGGGCCTGCTGCACCTTAGGTTGACGTCGTAAATGTCATGAATTCATTTTAAAGCAAGGTAGAAGGATTTTTTTTCTTACAGAGAGCCATTGACTTAAAGGAACATTAGTTTCATAGCCACGTGGAACAAAACACCACTTGGGCTCTGGGTTTCGGGATATGTTTGTCGGAGTGGGAGTACGTGTGTGTATGCAGATGATGTGGCGTAAGAGCTCTGGCCCTTTTAAGTAGAGGGAGGAGTAGATAGCTTTCCTGACAGCCGTGTGCCTCGTGCCAGCTTAACCTCGCTGTTGGTTGAGGAAAGAGGGCTCAAGGCGAAAGATCCAGGAATGGAGGGCAGAACACAGGGAAGAGGTGGGAGGCGGGAGGTAGGCTGGGTGGGGGAGGTGGGAGGCAGATCTGGGGGAGGCTTGAATGCCAGGTAACGTGTGGCCAGGAAGGAGATGCCGTCAGATCTGTGTTTTGGGAAAGTTCTGGTCTAGATGCAGTGCATGAGGTGAGTGAAGAGACACCAGAGGATGGGGCAGGTGTGGGAAGCCCCCGTTTATGGGGAGAGGCAGGAAAAGTGGAGCAAGCATCCTCGTCTGAGCCCAGTGCCAGGCGGGAGGAGGCCTGAGAAAAGCCATCTGGTTCTGGTGACATTGAAGGCCACCGGTGGTCTCAGAGGATGACTGAGTGGGAGCCCAGTGGTGGGTGGGTAGGGTGGGAGGAGGTGAGGAGGGAAGGAGAGGCTCAGTGAGGGAGGCAGTTCAGAATCAAGACCAGGATGGGGCTCTGGGGGCGCCGCATGCCAAATGGGAAGTGAGTGGGTGAACTAGGATCTGGGTGATATCACGTACTTAGGAATAGAATAGCCCAGGTCAGATCAGGCACAAAAGGATTGTGTGGAAAGGCAGAAGGTTCCAGATGACTCGTGACAAGCTTTGGGGCCCAGCTCACAGTTCTCAGCAGAGCCCCGTGAACTGCGTGAACGTGAATGTGCGGAAGAGAGACCACACTCGGGTGAGGACTGGCCCTGCCTGATACATTTATTTTTGTTTTGGAATTAGGAACAGAGAAATGAAATGGGAAGAGATTATCGGTAGGAAAAACAGTGGAAGACAGGGCTTGAGATCTTGGCCTTTGAGCGGTTCTGTAATCTCACAAGGTTTGTCTGTGCCAGCTTTAAAGCAGAGTTGAGAGTGGCTGCTAGCATAGCCCAGAGGGGCAGAGGCCTGTGGCTTGTGAGTCCTCTGGAGGAGCCCACCCAGAAGGGACAGCGGAGGTTCCACAGAGAGAGCAGGGCAGGATTTGCAGGAGAATGACTTTGCCCTGGCTAATTGGGGATGGGCAGAAATCCTGCTGGTGAATTGGTCTGTGTCTTGTCATGGAGAACTTCATTGACCATTAAGGAGGAAAGGAAGCTTATAGATGGAAGTCAGGAGGCCTAGAGGGCCGCCTCCCTTGCCCTACCTCTGGCACTGCTGGGGGACCCCAGGTGCTAACAAGGGAGCCATTTGTATGAGATAATCTCAGGTCTCATTCTCATTATAAAGTTTCTAAGAGGTGAAAAAGCCTTAGAAACTTCACAGACTTAGAAGAAAGCAGTATTCAGCAGGTTTTTGAGTAAATGTACTTTTTGTAGCGTTTAAAGGTACTTTTTTTTACTAGTAAACTTGATTTTTATTTATTTAGTTTTGAGACAGGGTCTCACTGTGTTGCCCAGGCTGGAATGCAGTTGCGCAGTCCTGGCTCACTGCAGCTTCTACCTCCCCAGGCTCAGGTGATCCTTCCGCCTCAGCCTCCCGAGTAGCTGGGAGTACCGGAGCACCCACCACACCCGGCTACCTTTTGTGTTTTTAGTAGAGACGGCGTTTCCACATGTTGCCCACGCTGGTCTCAAACTCCTGAGCTCCATTGATCCGCCTGCCTCTGCCTCCCAAAGCGCTGGGATTACAGGTGTGAGCCATCACACCCAGCTGTGTTTTTTGTGTGTTTTTTTGAGACAGGGTCTCCCTCTGTTGCCCAGCTTGGAGTGCAGTGGGGTGATCATAGCTCACTGCAGCCTCAGACTCCTGGACTCTACCTGAGTAGCTGTGACTAATTTTTAATAACTTTTTTTTTCAGAAATGGGAGTCTCACTATGTTGCCCAGGCTGGTCTTGAACTCTTGGCCTCAAGCGATCTCACACCCCAGCCTCCCAAAGTGCTGGGATTACAGGCGTGAGCCACCGCACCCATCCCTCCTGTGGTTCTTCAAAAGCACGGTGCTGGTTGGCATTCTCATCCCTAAAGCTTGTCGGTACATTAGCCCTTAGAACACAAACTGCTAATTTATGCTAATAGAATGTTGCAATGTTAGCAGGCAAACAAGACAGAAGAAATTTTGAACTTAAAAAGGAGCAGGGGCTGGGTGCAGTGGCTCACACGTGCAGTCCTAGCACTTTGGGAAGTTGAGGTGGGCAGATCACTTCAGCCCAGAAGTTCGAGACCAGCCTGGACAACATGGTAAAACCCCATCTCTACCAAAAATACAAAACTTAGCTGGGCATGGTAGTGCATGCCTGTAGTCCCAGCCATTTGGGAAGCTGACGTGGGAGAATCTCTTGAGCCTGGGAGGTCAAGGCTGTAGTGAGCCAAGATTGCGCCACCGCACTCCAGCCTGGGCGAGAGAATGAGACCCTGTCTCAAAAAGAAAAACAGAAAAAGAGGAAGAACAACCCAGGACCTTGAGTGGAGTGAGGAACTTGTTGGCCCTGATTTGTGTCCCTCTGATTTCACTTTAAAACTGAAACCTCCCTTCCTGATGCAGGTTTATTTGCAGCACTTTTAACATCAGTACCTATGGTCAGGCTTGCCTATGGGCTCAGTCGGGTGGAATCAAGGAAGGTCAGGGAGAGGAACGTAACCAGGCAAGGGCAAGGGTTGGCAGAGAGAGATGAACGCGCTCAGCGCGCCTGTGTGCGAGGCCAGTGGGTCGCCTGAGACCGGGACCGGGCTGTGCGCACTGAGAGAGGAACGGACGGGGAGGGAGCAATGGTTGGCAGAGAGAGATGAATGCGCTTAGCGTGCCTGTGTGTGAGGCCAGTGAGTGGGTCACCTGAGAACAGGACCGGGCTGTGCACACTGAGAGAGGAATGGGCGGGGAGGGAGCAAGTGGGCAGCCAGCTACCAAGAAGGGGAGACGCTTTGAGTGGGGAAGGTGCCCGAGGGCGGATCCCTGGCACAGCTCACGGTTTGAGTTACACCCCAAGGCCTCCCAGGTGCGGGTGTGTGTCTGAGGCCTGAGGGTGGGCGCAGCTGTGCCAGTGGGAAGAGAAAACACCTTAGGCGCCAAGCTGGCATCGCTGCATCCCAGCGCCATGGCCTGCTGATGACTGCATTCATCTTTTCTTTCTGATATTTCAGTAATGATCTGGGATGACCTGAAGAAGAAGACTGTTATTGAAATAGAATTTTCTACAGAAGTCAAGGCAGTCAAGCTGCGGCGAGATAGGTGGGTTTGGTGTCAGTAATTTTTTAAAGTGGTATTTCACTTTCTCAAAAGATGGCTGAAATACTTTTCTATTTTTGGCAGAAAAATGTTTAGGAAATGATGTATTAAAATGTTGGTCCTGGTTTTTATGACCATAAGGATATAAGGATTATTTATATTGCTGCAAGAAAGGCAGCGAATTGTGTTTGTTTCCAGGGCTCCGCTGGAGGTAAGTAGGTGGTGGCGTGGATGACGTGCGCCACAGTGGACCAGCCAGTGGGTCTCACCGTGGTGAGTTATGTCCCATTCCGACATGTGCAGAGCTGAGGACATGAGTTTTGAGCCTTGAATTACCCTGGGCTTTTAGCCCCTGCTTTGCCAAATGCTGCCTCTCAATAAAGGTTTTCGGTTTGAAGGTAAAGGAAAATTGAATTTTCTGTGTTGAAAGTAGCAGGTGGTTCTGTCAGCCATGGTCTCAGGGGCGTTTAGGGGGAATATGGAAGTTTGTCCTAGTACGTTGAGCAAGATAGCGCAGAGTTCGTTCATTTGGGTTTTTATTTAATATGATTTGCATATTTTACTCTAAGATTTCCATCTCTGTCGGCTGTGGGAGGACAGCAGCCGAGCAAGTTGGATGTAAACAGAGGTCATTTCACCTCCCTGCCCTTTTTTTTTTTTTTTTTTTTTTTTTGGGAGATAGAGTCTTGCTCTGTTGCCAGACTGGAGTGCAGTGGCACAATCTCAGTTCACTGTAACCTCTGCCTCCCGGGTTCAAGCAATTCCTGCCTCAGCCTCCGGAGTAGCTGGGACTACAGGCGCACACCACCAAGCCTGGCTGATTTTGTATCTTTAGTAGAGACAGGGTTTCACCATGTTGGCCAGGATGGTCTTGATCCCTTGACCTCATGATCCACCCGCCTCAGCCTCCCAAAGTGCTGGGATTACAGGTGTGAGCCACTGCGCCCGGCCAACTTTCCTGCATTTTTGTGTGGGTTTGTCATTTTAATAACGTCAATATTTAAAGGCCCTTAGTAATGCAAATGTGGCCGGGCACCGTGGCTCATGCCTGTAATCCCAGCACTTTGGGAGGCTGAGGCAGGCGGATCACAAGGTCAGGAGTTAGAGACCAGCCTGGCCAACCTAGTGAAACCCCATCTCTACTAAAAATACAAAAATTAGCTGGGCATGGTGGTGCACGCCTGTAATCCCACCTACTCAGGAGGCTGAGGCAGGAGAATCGCTTGAACTGGAGGTGGAGGTTGCAGTGAGCTGAGGTTGTGCCACTGCACTCCAGCCTGAGCGACAGAGTGAGACTCCATCTATAAAAAAAAAGTAATAATAATAATAATGCAAACGCTTGAGCCAGATCGAGGATATTCTACTTTCAGACTTTTCTTATTTTTTCCAGACACAGTAGCATAAAAATATCACTTCTGTCTGTTTTGCTCGGTTCTGAACCTAGATGGAGTGTTTGATGATGTCTCTCTGAACCTCAGAGACGTCTCTTAGGCTGACCTTCACCCAGGCGAGAAGCACTCCCTCAGCAGAGCCAGCCCACGTGCACTCGCCGAGCTCCAGGCCTGGCGCTGGCTACCTGCCTCCAGAGCTTTTTCTTCAGGAACACTCCTTTTCTGTGTGGTATTTTCAGTGTTTCTCAGTTTCAGTATGATAAGAACAGGAGCATAAAATGTTTGGGTTTGACTCTTGAGGAAAGCAACTCTGATCATGTTTTTCTTTCCAGAATTGTGGTGGTTTTGGACTCCATGATTAAGGTGTTCACATTCACACACAATCCCCATCAGTTGCACGTCTTCGAAACCTGCTATAACCCCAAAGGTGAGAGATTGAGCAGACGGGTGGCGATGGGAAATGGGTCCACATGGAGATGCCTGTGCTGGGCACTCCCTTCTCCAAGCAGGTCTCTGAGCAAAGTGCTTGGCGAGAGCAATCCTGAGCACAGAGGGGCCTCCAGAGGAGATGGACCTTCCAGGACCCACAGCTCAGCATCCCCAAACTACCTTCTGACCAGAGTCACAGAGTGGGGGCCCCTGTCCCCTCCCACCCAGTGACTATGGGCTCTCAGAACCTCCACAGTGAACCAGGAACCTATGTTTTCACCACTTCGGGAGCCACTGAGTTCTGGACTCAAGCCTTTCCTTCCCTTGTCTTCTGAATTGGAGGATTGATTGTGTTTGACTTTGTCATTTATTGTACCATCTTCATATCTTTTTATATTGGGGGTTTTGCCTCTGGCTTTGTTAGGGTAAAATTTACAAAAAACTGACTCGTTTTAAGAATACCATTTGTGGCCGGGCGCGGTGGCTCACTCCTGTAATCCCAGCACTTTGGGAGGCCGAGGCGGGCGGATCACAAGGTCAGGAGATTAAGACCATCCTGGCTAACACGGTGAAACCCTGTCTCTACTAAAAATACAAAAAATTAGCCGGGCGTGGTGGCGGGCACCTGTAGTCCCAGCTACTTGGGAGGCTGAGGCAGGAGAATCACTTGAACCCAGGAGGTAGAGGTCGCAGTGAGCCGAGATCACACCATTGCACTCCAGCCTGGGCGATAGAGCAAGACTCTATCTCAAAAAAAAAAAACTTCAATAAATTTCCGTCATTGTAAACAGTTGTGTAGCCACCGTCACAGTCAAGACAGAACAGTCGGCCGGGCGCAGTGGCTCACGCCTGTAATCCCAGCACTTTAGGAGGCCAAGGCGGGCGGATCACGAGGTCAGGAGATAGAGAGCATCCTGGTCAACGTGGTGAAACCTCATCTCTACTAAACATACAAAACTTAGCTGGATGTGGTGGCGGGTGCCCATAGTCCCAGCTACTTGGGAGGCTGAGGCAGGAGAATTGCTTGAACCCGGGAGGCGGAGCTTGCGGTGAGCCGAGATTGTGCCACTGCACTCCCGCCTGGGCGACAGAGTGAGACTAAAGAAAAAAAGAACAGTCTCTTCTCCTGGAAAACTTTCTTGGGACAGTCCCCTCCCCACTCAACCCTCAGGTTTTGTTTTTTTACATGTATTTGTCCTCTGTGTGTGTGTATGTGTGTTACTTTGTTGGTCCCTTCGGCCGTGTTTTGGCTATTAGGAAGGAGGAGTGTCGTGCATGTTCCCATAGCAGCCTTTGTGTGGGTAGTTTCATGTCTCTTGGGTCGATCCTGAGGGTTCGACTGCCCGGTCACAACCATGTTGTGGTTGTGTCTGACTATAAAATGCGGCCGTTTATTTTCCAGAGTGGCTGTGTCCCCTTGCGTCTCATCCATGATTTATGAGTGTTCCAGCATTGTCGGTCTTTCTAGCTGTAGCCGTTCCGTGCGTGTGTGATGATATCTCACTGGTAACGGCATCTCCTTGTGGTTTTGGTTTGCATTTCTCTGAGGACTGGCGGTGGCGACATCTTTCCCTGTGGTTCTTCCCTTTCGAGATCTTTTGGGAAGTGCCCCAGATGTTTTGCCCATTTTTTAGCCGGTTGTTTATCTTATAATGAGATGTAAGAATTTTTTTTTTTTTTTTTTAATATGAGATGGGGTCTTCCTCTGTTGCCCAAGCTGGAGTGCAGTGGCATGATCTCGGCTCACTGCAGCCTCTGCCTCCCAGGTTCAAGCAGTTCTCCCACCTCAGCCTCCTGAGTAGCTGGGACTACAGGCACACCACCATGCCTGGCTAATTTTTGTATTTTTAGTAGAGACGGGGTTTTACCATGTTGGCCAGGCTGGTCTTGATCTCCTGACCTCGTGATCCACCTGCCTCGGCCTCCCAAAGTGCTGGGATTACAGGCGTGAGCCACCGCGCCCAGCCCCATTTTTTTTGTTTGTTTTTTTTTTTTTTTTGGAGATAGAGTCTCGCTCTGTTGCCCAGGCTGGAGTGCAGTGGTGCGATCTCAGCTTACTGCAACCTCCGCCTCCTGGGTTCAAGCGATTCTCCTGCCTCAGTCCCCCAAGTAGCTGGGATTACAGGCACCCGCCACCACGCCTGGATAATTTCTGTATTTTTAGTAGAGACGGGGTTTCATTATGTTGGCTGGTCTCAAACTCCTGACCTCAGGTGATCCGCCTTCCTTGGCCTCCCAAAGTGCTGGGATTACAGGCGTGAGCCACTGTGCCCGGCCGTAAGAATTCTTTATATGTTGTAGATTTAGCCTTTTCCCTGGCACACTTTTGCAAGTATTGCTAAAAGATTTCTTTTATGTTTTCTTCTACACATTTGGTAGCTTTTCATCTAAAGTTAAATCTTCGATCCATTTCAAGTACATTTTGTATTCAGAGTGAGGCACACGCCTGGGTTCCTTTCTGTTCTATGTGGATATCTAAGCTTGGTACCTTTGTTTTGATTAAATAAATACAAGGTTTTTTTTCTGGACTTTTTGTTCTCTTCCATTGATCTGTGTTTCTGTCTTTATCCCAGTACCATCCTGCCTTGATAAGAGGTTTAAAGTAAATCTGAAATTAGGTAATATAAGTCTTGCAATCTTCTTACTTTACAAAAAAAAAAAAAATTTTTGGTCATGCCTGTAATCGCAGCACTGTGGGAGGCCAAGGCAGGTGGATCACAAGGTCAGGAGATTGAGACCATCCTGGCTAATATGGTGAAATCCCATCTCTACTAAAAATACAAAAAATTAGCTGGACATGGTGGCAGGTGGCTGTAGTCCCAGCTACTCGGGAGGCTGAGGCAGGAGAACGGCGTGAACCTGGGAGGCGGAGCTTGCAGTGAGCCGAGATCACGCCACTGTACACTCCAGCCTGGGTGACAGGGCCAGGCTCCGTCTCAAAAAAATAAAAAATTTGGGCTGTTCCAGTGCCTTTATTTTTCCTTATAATTCTTAGTATCAGCTTGTCTTTCTTCAAGAACCCTTTCTGAGAGGTTAGCTGTGATCACACTGACTGTAGATGAGTTAGATAGTAATAGCCAATCTTCCAGCCCACGATCACAAGACCAGCTCTCTCTCAGATCTTCTGTGGTCTTCCTTTGCAAGATGTTACAGTCCATGGATAGGTCTTGTACATCTGTTAACTTATTCCTCCGTTTTTTAATATTTTTACGCTGTTGCTGATGGAGCAGCTTTTAAATTTTATAATTTTGCATTGCATTTTCGGTGGCGTGTACCCTGACGGACGGACAGTTGGTAAAGTCGTTAATTTTGCATTGCATTTTCGGTAGCGCGTACCATGATGGATGGACAGTTGGTAAAGTTGTTCAGCAGATGTCTTGATTATGAGGAGGTCTCATGCGAGGTAGCTTTGCTTAGCCCTCTCATACTCTTTATTTACAATGAAAAATCTTTAAATTGAATTTGTGGTTCTGATATTTATAAATGATATACATCTATTTTTTCGGAGAACTTTGGGGGCAGAAAGTGGACTTTGGCTGTGAGAAATCAAAGGCAGTTCTTGATTGGTGTCCTCTGTCTCCACGCAGGCCTCTGTGTCCTTTGTCCCAATAGTAACAACTCCCTCCTGGCCTTTCCGGGCACGCACACGGGCCATGTGCAGCTTGTGGACCTGGCCAGCACGGAGAAGCCACCCGTGGACATTCCTGCACACGAGGGTGTCCTGAGCTGCATTGCACTCAACCTGCAGGGAACAAGAATTGCAACTGCATCCGAGAAAGTAAGTGTGCCACTCACCTTGTTGGTGTTGTGCCTCCTGGAGCAGCAGGCTCAGCAAAATGGCCATTCCCTGTATCAAGACTCAAAAGGCAGTGGGCCTGCCCCAACCTGGAGCCCCTCAGGGGCCTGTGGACCTGGCTGGTCATGTCATCAGACAGGTTGAAGTCTTCACAGGTCGTCTTGTGCCCAGGGACTGGTTTTATTTCTAATTATTTACAAAGCAGTGTCTTGTAAAATATGATAAGCCAAAGAAACAGGGCCAGGGGCAGTGGCTAAACCTGTAATCCCAGCAATTTGGGAGGCCAAGGCAGGCGGATCACTTGAGGTCAGATGTTCGAAACCAGCCTGGCCAAGATGGTGAAACCCCGTCTCTACTAAAAATACAAAAATTAGCCAGGCATGGTGGTGTGTACCTGTAATCCCAGCTACTCGGAAGGCTAAGGCAGGAGAATCACTTGAACCCAGGAGGTGGAGATTGCAGTGAGCTGAGATCATGCCACTACACTGCAGCCCGGGTGACAGAGTGAGACTCCGTCTCAAAAAAAAAAAAAAAAAGAAACAAAAATACGTCCACATCCAAGTTGATTACAGTGATCAGATATGACAGCTTTGTCATATTCTCATAGATTTTGCAGAACCACTCAACTTCTGTGCTCCTGTCTTCACAGCCTGATAACACACAGCTCAAAACCCTTTTTTACCTGCTTAGTAACGTGTCTTCATTGAATTACCACCAGATTGTAACTGAAAATATTGACGTATTGGACACATTGTCCTTTGATTTGCGAGGTCAGAAGAACTGTTAATTTTTTAAAATAATTTTAAATCTGGGGTTCTTTATACTTCTTTTTGCCTGAATTCAGATTTTTACAAAGAAAATTGGTATCTTGTACTATAGTTTTCATTGAAGACTGCAAACCCGGTGTTACTTTGTAGGAAATTATAAATTGTTAAGGAGGTGAGACCGCAAGCCGGTGA
The DNA here is from genome assembly GCF_000001405.40 of Homo sapiens. Taxonomy (NCBI): domain Eukaryota; kingdom Metazoa; phylum Chordata; class Mammalia; order Primates; family Hominidae; genus Homo; species Homo sapiens. The sequence goes on along the minus strand of NC_000017.11, from coordinate 82,620,631 downwards.
TGGTATCCGTTTGTGGGCACAGTGCACTGAGGTTCAGTGCGGCCCTGCTCCTACCCTTTCACGCGGTGCCAGTGCCAGGGTCACTCCTCAGCACGTGGGGACACGCGGTTTGGGGCGTGTCCCGCTCACTCCTGGGACTCAGCTGAGAACAGGTTTAGTTATTTCTAGGTAGTTTTTGTTTTGTTTTGTTTTGTTTTTTGAGATTGAGTTTTGCTCTGTCACCCAGGCTGGAGTGCAGTGGCGTGATCTCAGCTCACTGCCACCTCCGCCTCCTGGGTGCCAGCGATTCTCCTGCCTCCACCTCCCGAGTAGCTGGGTGACAGGCACCCACCGCCATGCCTGGCTAATGTTTGTATTTTTAGTAGAGACGAGGTTTCACCATGTTGGTCAGGCTGGCTTGGAACTCCCGACCTCAGGTGATCCACCCGCCTCAGCCTCCCAAAGTGCTGGGATTACAGGCGTGAGCCACCGCACCCAGCCCTTTAGGTAGTATTTTTTAGAATGGTATCATATTAGCAACAAAATAGATATAATTTTGTATGAATTAGAAATGCGGTTCCTCTGTATTTTTGGTACATTTTTTCTTACCCTTTTTATCTTTAGATTCTCCATCCCCACTCCCTGCAACTTTTCTTCTTTAGATAGAATCCCCGTTACAAATGTGGATGCTTCTCTGCTTCCTGCTTTCTTAGCCGCAGCGGTGCCCTCCGGGTTAGCCAGGTAGATGGGATTACGCAGAGCCTTGCAACATCTGTGACCCATCCCGTGCTGTCGGCAGTCACCCCGTGAGGCTGCTCCTGCCTTGTCCCCCACAAGCTGGCTCCTTACTGCACCCCCAGGAGTAGGGGCTGCTGGGTTGAAGGATATAAAGATTTTTTGTTGGATGTTGTCAGAGTGTTTGACAAAAGATGCAGCAGTTCTCGTTTTCCCAGCTGTCAGAATCAGCTGAAGAGTCCTCCTCGTTCTGGAGGAGATGTTAAAAACTTCCCTGAGGTCTTGGGCACCTCTTTCTTGGGAAAGCCAGCATAGCTGACATGGATGGGTTTAAGTCCTTTTATTTTTTTTTTTTTGCCTCACCTTTTTGATGGCCGGATTCCCGTGCTGCTTTTCCTAGCTATCTGAGGGACTTAGGATTCGGACAGTGCTTCTCAGATGAGCTCCCTGTGTAGCAGGAGCAGGGAGCCTGGGCCTGGGTGTTCCTCCTGGGTCTCAGCCAGGGATGCGGGCATCCAGGGTCAGTCCACCCTGCCCGGTCAGGAGGTTGTCTCTGGAAGCCTCTCTTGACTTGTGCCCAGTGCCGTGGGACCAGGAGCCACCAACCAACTCGTTCTCAGGGGCACAACTGTGTGCTGGCAGTTGGAGGAGAAAGTTAAGTAGTAGATGATGTGGGTGAGTTTGAGAAAGGCTTGTGTGGACTAATGGATTTGTGAATGTGAGTCATTTCAAAAACTAACGAAAAAGTTTTGAATCTTTGATAATGAAACACTTCACTGTTTTTCAAAGGGGACGCTTATAAGAATATTTGATACTTCATCAGGGCATTTAATCCAGGAACTGCGAAGAGGATCTCAAGCAGCCAATATTTACTGGTAAGGGCACCTCCAACTTCACCGGAGAAGAACTTCGGGCTGACAGCACGGAAGTGGGCCTTTGGGATTTGGGAGAGGGGGTAGGAGCAGCCACCCTCCCCCGAATAAGGCCAGAGGAGGGAGAAGCTTGGGCTGCTAGGGGGTTGGGTTTCAGCTTTTTAAATTGTGATTAACTTTAAGTTTTTATCGTGGGAAATTACACAGAAGTAGAAAGAATGTCATAATTAACCCTGCTTCAGCATTTATTAGTATTTGATGGTTTTTGTTGTTGGTGGGTTTTTTTTGTTGTTTTTTTGGGGTTTTTATTTTGAGGGAAGGTCTTGCTCTGTCGCCCAGGCTGGAGTGCAGTGACGCTATCACAGCTCACTACAGCCTCGACCTGGGCCCAAGCGATTCTCCTGCCTCAGCCTCCTGAGCAGCTGGGACCACAGTTGTGCACCACCACGCCCGGCTAATTGTTGTGTTTTTGTAGAGGGGTCTCGCTGCTGCCCTGGCTGGCGGGCTTGGGTTCATCCCTGTTTATTTTTAGTCTTTCTGGTGTTTTTGCCAGTTTCATCTCGTCACCAGCGCTCTGGCTTGTGTTTAAGGCAATGCTGGAGACCATGTTGGTTTGTCTGATTCCAGCCTGTTACAGTCTGAGAGGCCACACTGCCGCCCCACAGTGGTGTCCCTACAGCCCCCCGGGTGTCTAGTGCTGAAGCCCTACTTGGGTAGCATCTCATGCCCTGTGGCCACGGCCAGGAGGCCTGGTGCCTCCCCCTTGGCTAGTATTGAGCAGCATTTGGGTCTTTGAGATGAAAATGTAATTAATATAGCCGGGCGCAGTGGCTCCCGCCTGTAATCCCAGCATTTTGGGAGGCTGAGGCAGGTGGATCACCTGAGGTCAGGAGTTCGAGACCAGCCTGGCCAGCATGGCGAAACCCCATCTCTACTAAAAATACAAAAATTAGCTGGGCGTGGTGGCGTGTGCCTGTAATCCCAGCTACTAGGCAGGGCTGAGGCAGGAGGATCGCTTGAACCTGGGAGGTGGAGGTTGCAGTGAGCCAAGGTCGTGCTACTGCGCTCTATCCTGGGCAAGAGAGCGAGACTCTGTCTCAAAAAAAAAAAAAAGAAAGAAAATGTAATTAATTTATAAATACGGCAGCTTTATCTGTGAGGTCCTGGGCCTTGTGGTGTGCATAGCACATCCCTGTCTGCTCCTAGAACAGACAGCACACGGCCAATGCCTGCCCCAGCCCAGCTGACCTCCATAGGGGCAGCCTGCACCTTCCTGAGGCCAGGATCATTGGAGAGAATGTGTGTTTCTCACCCGAGTCTTGTGAGAGCAGCCCTGAGCGGCATGTTGGGGGTGTGGTCTGCAAGAAGTCCCTTCCCTCTCCCAGACACACAGCTCATCAGCTGCATTTGTGGGGCACCCAAGGAAAACTTGCCGTGATACACTGGATTGTGGCTGTGGCTTTGTGGCTTCAACCTGTGGTGCTGTGGGGATGGTTGTCGGCTTGTTAAAGAAAGGGCAGTATTCAGAATTGGCACCTCCAGAGTGGGAATGTTGAGGTGTTCCACAGTGTCGACAAGTGCTGTGGGTTAAGTCTCTGGACTCCTCCACATCCACACAAGGCCTGAGCTGTGCTGGTTTTCTCTGCAGCATCAACTTCAATCAGGATGCGTCCCTCATCTGCGTATCCAGCGACCACGGCACAGTGCATATTTTTGCAGCTGAAGATCCAAAAAGGAATAAACAGTCCAGGTAGGTGTTAGGATGCCTGCTGGGGAAAAGCCGGGGGATGAGAGGAGTCCCCAGTGTTTCAGTGTGGACGGGACAGGCCCCCCACCCCAGCAGGGTGGTGTGGACAGACCTCATATGCTATCAGCGCTGAAATCTTTTTCATTTAATTTTATATTTGTTGGGGTTTAAAAATCAGTGCAGGCTGGGCACAGTGGCTCATGCCTGTAATCCCAGCACTTTGGGAGGCCGAGGTGGGCAGATCACCTGAGGTCAGGAGTTCGAGACCATCCTGGCTAACATGGTGAAACCCCATCTCTACTAAAAAACAAAAACTAGCCGGGCGTGGTGGCGGGTGCCTGTAGTCCCAGCTACTCGGGAGGCTGAGGCAGGAGAATCGCTTGAAGCCGGGAGGTGGAGGCTGCAGTGAGCCGAGATTGCGCCCCTGCACTCCAGCCTGGGCTACAGAGCGAGACTCCGTCTCAAAAAAAAAAATTTTTTTTTTAAATAAAATTGTACAACAGGCTTTGTCATGCATGGCAAAAAAAAAATTCATTAAAGCTCAAACCATATGAAGGAGCATTTTCGTATTTTCAGCAGCGTATTCTGAGCTTACGCAGGTGATTTTTTTTCCTGTAAACTTTGAACCACCCTTTCTTTTCTTGTCTTCACAGTTTGGCCTCAGCCAGTTTCCTTCCAAAATACTTCAGTTCCAAGTGGAGTTTCTCCAAGTTTCAGGTTCCCTCAGGCTCTCCGTGCATTTGTGCCTTTGGAACAGAGCCAAACGCCGTCATTGGTGAGTGGTCCTTCCTGGAGAGAACGTCCCCACCCGCCCCACCTGGGCTCCATCCACTGAGCGTCAGACCTAACTTCCCATGGACGTCCCAGCACCGCGCTGTGGCACCGATGGCCGCCCAGTTCCCCTTATTTCTCCTGTGGGCTCAGTGTGTCCCGCTTACGGTCTGCACGGCCATTTGGGATGTCTTCAGCCCCCATCCCTCCAGTTTCCCCCAGGAAATCACAGGGACAGGTCTTCCAATGTTTGTATAGATGACCAAGAATGTTTCTTAACCCTGTAGCCAACACCGGGTGATTAGATGCTCACACCAAGACAGTCAGGATTCCCGGCCACGGTGCCGACCGAACGCATTCAGTGGGGACCCTGGGGCCTTTCAGGGCTTTCAGAGCAGCTGCCTGGCTCCAAGAGGCCCTTTGCAGTTCAGCTCAGTGGGACTCGTTGCTTTTAACTTGAGGGAAAGAAACACACAGGTAAAATGGTCTCCTTCTATCCCAGCAATTTGTGCAGACGGCAGCTACTACAAATTCCTGTTCAACCCCAAGGGGGAGTGCATCCGAGATGTCTACGCGCAGTTTCTAGAGATGACCGATGACAAGCTGTGACTCCAGCTGGGGGCGCCACAGCACCCACCACCTGCCGCCTTCAGACTCTCGGGGCTGGTGCCAGTGCCCCAGGGGCCTCCTGGGCCACGGGCTGGAGGGGCTGCCCAGGGACCTTGGTCTCGAAGCCATACGTGGTTGTCTGCTTTCCTAAGGACTCCCATTTCCAGTATTAAAGAGAGAATCATCATCAAGGCACCGTAGGTAACTCAGTGGCTGTGACCAGCTCGACTGGCGGCCACTGGCTGTTCCCATGAGTTCAGCTGTGACGTTAGCTTCAGTGGCTCCGCCGCATCCTCACACTGACGGGGGCTCCATACGGACCTGGGGACTGGGCTGAGAGGGTGGACGAGTTCAGGTTTGTTTTTGCAGCAGATTCCGTCGTTCTTACTGAGTCTGCAGCGGGGGAGTGAACAAGTGTGCAGATGTAAGTTCTTACATGATAAGCAGATTGAATACAACACCAGCAGCTTGCCTTAGAAAAGGAGAAAGGAATTCCTTTTCCCGCCCGAACATGAAGAAAAATGACCTGACCCTGTAGAGAGAACACAGTGTGAATGTTTCCCCTCGTGTGAGCCCAGCCTGTGGTCTTCTCCGTACCCGCAACGTGGTCATCTGTGCCCGTGACGTCACCTGTGCCCGTGCGTGGCGTCCCCGTCTCCGTTGGGGCCATTAGAATGAGGCAGACACCAGGCCACTCTAGAAGCCGAGCCGTCACACCTCAGGCGTGTGCGGGGCGGGGACGGGGGGTCTCCTGGTTACATTTTGGATTAAACCTGTTTCCCGGTTATGTGTAGGGAACAGCAGAGTGATGCACGAACTTTGAACATTCGTTATGGGGAAAACATCCTTTAACTTCGGGGTCGTCTGCCAGAGCAGGGTCTGGGAGGGTCCATGCAGTTCCCGCTGGTGTGGAGGGAAATGCCCTGGTCTGGCCTCCGAGCCCCCAGGTCCACCGTCTCCCCTCCCCTCATTTGTAAGAATAGCTACACACTAACATTTTGGGAAGGAGAGGCACATAACTTTTTTTAACATTTGGTAACTAGGTTATGGGCTCTACATTGTCAGCTACTTGGGATATATATTTAATTTTCTTAAATTCCCGTTAAACTCTATTTTATGGTTTTGATTTCAGATTGCAAACATGTAAAACCTGCATAGCAGCGAGTTCTCGGTTTTGCCGGTTTCTTTAGTTCTTTACTGTCACTGTCATGTAATCAGCTAATTCTCTGTGGATGTTGCTGTAAAGTATGCATGTTCCTTTCATGTGTATTTAATCATGATGTTTAATTTTGCACACTTATTTGTAATGTTTCTTTTAAATAAAAGTGACTAATTTTGTTGTAGTCTGGACCTGTAATGGGAAGTAGAATTGTGTGTTATGAAGCCAAACACTCTTCCCCTTGCTGTGAGAATCTGGTTGGAGTGTAGGCTTCAGAACAGCCTGTGGGCCTGAAGAGGCGCCGGCCTGTGACAGGACAAGGTGGAAGCCAGGGTCACTGGGTGCGGAGCCTGGAGCTTCACTCCCTGTGTCGGGACAGGACAGCCTGCCCTCCTCATTCCCTGTGTCGGGACAGGACAGCCTGCCCTCCTCACTCCCTGTGTCGGGACGGGGCGGCCTGCCCTCCTCACTCCCTGTGGCGGGACGGGGCGGCCTGCCCTCCTCACTCCCTGTGGCGGGACGGGGCGGCCTGCCCTCCTCACTCCCTGTGGCGGGACGGGGCGGCCTGCCCTCCTCTCTCCCTGTGTCGGGGATGGGACGGCCTGCCCTCCTCTCTCCCTGTGTCGGGACGGGGCGGCCTGCCCTCCTCTCTCCCTGTGCCCCAAGGGCACCTCTGGAGGAGGGAGGGAGGAAATGCATCTGTAGGAGGCCTGTGTGGCTCTGGGAGGTCTGAGGCTCCTGCTGGCCTGTGGAGGTGGAGGGTGGCTGGCAGCAGCAATGTCCCTGCATGTTGAAGTGGCAGCTTCAAGTGAGCCGGCGTCACCCTGGCTTGTCTAACACTTGAGATCTGACTCTGGGTGGGGGAGTAGGAGCGTAATTACCAGTTGATAAACATGAATCTGGGGGAAATGCATGCAAGAAGGGTGGGTTTTCTCGCAGTGCACGTGAACAGCCTCAGAACTGATGCGGACGGCGGGGCTGTGTCACAGGCCCGTTCACCAGGAACGTGGCGAGGGCCTGCACGGACGTGCCTCATGTGAGGCCCTGGCGGCACCGGCCCTCCCCAGGCATGTGCTTTTTAAAAATCACTGTAGAGCGGCAAGGACACGGTGTCCCTAGGCCGGCGGACTCGGGAGCGCAGCTGCTTTTCAAGTGGAACTGATGGGAAGCGCAGTGTATGGGAAACAAGGCCGGGCTGCTGCCTCCCCCACGAACCTCCTGTGCCCCGGACGTGGGTGCGAAGGGACTCCAGAGTGACTGCCTCAGACGGTGCCTACTCAGCAGCTTTCCTGTCTGATCGTACAGGTGCGTGGGCATGGATGACTCCGGCTGCGTTTCTGGTCTGTCCTCCCTCCCCTGTGGCCCTGGGATGTCTTGCGGGGACAGGCGGCTTGTGCCCTGTGGAACGCAGCCCTGACCCATACCCACCCTGTGTTTGGCGTTGATGCCTGTGTGAACCCCTGGCCACCTCCCGCTCCCACCACTGTAGTCGGGGGCGCTGGCCATCTGCAGCCTTCTGTGATCAAAGAGTTTTATATTTGTGTTTTCTTTCTGCAACCAAACCAAGCCCCTGAATGCCAGAGCTCTTTCACGTGACTTAGTCCTCATCTCTCTTCTGTTGTGTCAGAGGCATTTGGTTGATGACATTGTTGAAACTTGTACCAAAATTTTTCTCTTCCAGATGGATCAGAGAATACAATGAAAAAAAAGTTCCTTATAAAATAATAGAAAAATATAAATTTGTAAGCAAAATTGCCCCGTGTTTCTACCTCCAGAGAAGATCACTCTCAGACAACCCCACACCTGAACGTAACATCTATTTTTATTTAAAAAATTGTTTTGGTAGAGACGGGGTTTCTCCTCCACCTCCTGGGCTCAAGCGATCTTCCCACCTTGGCCTCCCAAAGTGCTCGGATTACAGCCACCACGCCTGGCCGCCTTTTTTATTTCAGATACATTTGTCAGTTCTAAAGTTGGTTTCTAATTCGTGGCTGATGACTTGTGTCTGCCCATTTGTACGCGCTCTGTGCGCTTTCAAGTCCTTGTCTGCCGATTCCAGCATCTGGGTCTTCTTGGAGGATGCCTCCTGATTTTCCTTTATTGAGTGGGGACTTGGGGGTGACCCTGCCTGCCGCTAGGAATGGCTGTTGAATTTTGTTAAGTGACTTTTCTGCATCTGTTGTGATGATCACACCTATCTTTTACGCCGTGAACGTGGAGCATCACGTTGATTTTTGAATGTTGAGCCAACCTTGCTGTCCTGTGGGAAAGCCCACTTGGTCACAGTGTGTTATCCTTAAATACTGCTGAATTCGCCAGGCGCGGTGGCTCACGCCTGTAATCCCAGCACTTTGGGAGCCTGAGGTGGGTGGATCACCTGAGGTCAGGAGCTCGAGACCAGCCTGGCCAACATGGTGAAACCCTGTCTCTACTAAAAATACAAAAATTAACCAGGCGTGGTGGCGCGTGCCTGTAGTCCCAGCTACTTGGGAGCGTGAGGCAGGAGAATCAGTTGAACCGGGCAGATGGAGGCTGCAGTGAGCCGAGATCGCAGCACTGCACGCCTGCCTGGGTGACAGAGACTCTATCTCAGGAAAAAAAAAAAAGAATTCTACTAATACTTGGGGATTTTTTTTTTTTTTGGATGTATATGTATAGAGGATTCTTATTTCTAATTTAGCTTGTAATATTCTTGCCGCATTCTGGAATTTCGTATCAGGTTAGTGATTTTGTGGTTTTGGCATTAATTTTAAAATGATTTGTCTTACGCAACATCCACCAAAATGTAGACATACAATGGGTTTTAACAAAAGCAAATGTAGACTTGAGACTGAGGTGGCATCTAGTGAAATGTCATTTCTTTTGTAGCTCTGTTCAAGAGAGACGCCACCGTCTGTAGAGGCCGTGAATCCCCCGACATTTGCTCTGAGCCTCCCACAGACACCTGCGGCCCCATCTTGAGTTGTCCATGCTGGCTGCCAGCCAGAAGCCTGTCATCTGTGTAAGATGTTTCAGATGGTGAGTCTGACGACGCTTCTGGGGCATGCGAGCTGAGGGCTAATTATCTCCTAATCTCTCTCGGGTATGTGGAAAAAACAGGCAAGGATCTGGCCAGATACTGTGGAAAAGGGTGTCCTCCTGACCTTGATAGCAGAGTGTAACTCCAGAAAATCAGCATTTTTCTACCTCAGTTTCAGTATTTGCACAAGGGACTTGAACTTATGTCTCACATTATTTTTACCATTATCAGCATATACGACAGCTGCCTATCCTTTTTTTTTTTGAGACAGGGTCTCACTCCAGGCTGGAGTGTGGTGATGCAATCTCAGCTCACTGCAACCTCTGTCTCCTGGATTCACGTGATCCTCCCACCTCAGCCTCCTGAGTAGCCGGGACTACAGGCGTGCACCACCACGCCCGGCTAATTTTTGTTATTGTTTTGTAGAGACGGTGTCTGTGTTCTCCAGGCTGGTCTTGAACACCTGGCCTGAAGCAGTCCTCCCACCTCAGCCTCCCAAAGTATTGGGATTACAGGTGTGAGCCACCGTGCCCAGCCGTGCTTCTTTTTTTCTTTTTTTTTTTGGCTCTGTCACCCAGGCTGGAGTGCCGGGGTGCAATCAAGGCTCACTGCAGCCTCGCCCTCCTGGGCTCAAGTGATCCTTCTGCTCCAGTTTCCCAAATAGCTAGGACCATAGGCATGCACCACCATGCCTGGCTAATTTCTTTATGTTTTGTTTGTTTGTTTTTGAAACGGAGTTTCGCTTTGTCTCCCAGGCTGGAGTGCAGTGGCTCAACCTCGGCTCACTGCAACTTCCACCTCCCGGGTTCAAGAAATTCTCCTGCCTCCACCTCTCAAGTAGCTGGGATTACAGGTGTGCACCACCACGCCCGGCTAATTTTTTGTATTTTTAGAAGAGATGGGGTTTCACCATGTTGGCCAGGCTGGTCCCAAACTCCTGACCTCAGGTGATCCGCCTGCCTCTGCCTCCCAAAGTGCTGGGATTACAGGTGTGGGCTACTGCACTCAGCCTACCTAGCTAATTCTTAATTTTATGATTTTGTTTTAGAGGTGGGGGTCACCCTGTGTTGTTGCCCAGTTTCGTCTCAAACTCCTGGGCGGAGCTGGGCATGGTGGCTCACGCCTGTAATGCCAGCACTTTGGGAAGCCGAGGTGGGCGGATGACCCGAGGTCAGGAGTTCGGGACTAGCCTGACCGACATGGAGAAACCCCGTCTCTACTAAAAAAATACAAAATGAGCCGGGCGTGGTGGTGCATGACTGCAATCCCAGCTACTTGGGAAGCTGAGGCAGGAGAAGTCGATCGAACCCAGGGGGCGCAGGTTGCAGTGAGCCGAGATTGCGCCATTGCACTCCAGCCTGGGCAACACGAGCGAAACTCCCATCTCAAAAAAAAAAACAAAAAAAACACAAAACACACACACAAAAAAAACTCCTGGGCGGAAGCGATCCTCCTGCCTTGCTCTCCCAAACTGTTACAGGCGGAGTCACCACGCCTGGCCTTAATTTCCTTTTTGATTGTTTATTGCTGGTGCATATAAATACAACTTATTTTTATCTTGATCTCGTACACTACCACACTGCTGAATTCATGTGTCAGGCTCTAGTAGGTTGAGTGTGTGTGTATTCTGTGGAAGTTTCTACACATAATCATTCCATCTGCAAGGAGAGTTTTCACCCCTTCCAATGTAGATGCCTGCGTTTCTTGGTCAATGGCTCTAGCTAAGACTTCCAGTACAGTGCTGACCAGCAGTAGTGAAGGCAGGTATTCTTGTTCCTGATCTGAAAGGAAAAGCTTTCAGTCTTTTACTGCTGAGTATGTATACGGTTAGCTCTGGGTCTCTTTGCATTTTTCCTGCTTGGATTTCGTTGAGCTTATTGGATGTGTAGATTCATGTCTTTATCAGATCAGGGAAGTTTTCATTGATTATTTCCTGAAGTGTGTCTTCTTCTCTTTCTCTGCTTCTGAAATTTCATAATGCTTATGTTGTTATGCTCGATGGTATCCCATAGGCCCCTTATTGTTCACTTTCCCTGCATTCTTCTTCTCTGCTGCTTAGACTGGGTAATTTCACTGACCTACCTTCAAGTTCACGGCTGCTTTCTGATGCCTGCTGAAATCCAAATTCCTTTAGTGAATTTCTTATGTTAGCTATTTTACTTTTCAGGCCTAGACTTTCTTTTTAGTCTCTTTTTATAATTTCTATTTTCTGCTATTTCCAAATGTTTCACACTGTTCATATTTCTTTCTTTTTGGGGCAGAGGGAGGGGCAGTGTCTGGCTCTACTGTTCAGGCTAAACTGCAGTGGTGTGATCACGGTGTACTGAGGCCTTAACTTCCCAGGTTCAAGCAATCTTCCCACCTGAACCTTCGGAGTAGCTGGGACCTCAGACACATGCCACCATGCCTAGCTGATTTTTTTTTTTTTTTGGTAGAGACAGAGTCCCACTATGTTGCCCAGCCTGGTCTTGAGCTCTTGGGCTCAAGCTGTCTCCCCATTTTAGCCTCCCAAAGTGCTGAGACTGTAGGCGTGAGCCACCACACCTGGCTTTGTTCTTATTTTACTTCTTTGTCCTGGTTCCCTTCAGCCCCTTGAGCATATTTAAGACAAAGTGTTTGTCTAGTAAGTCCAATTTCCAGGCTTCTTCAAGGATGGTTTCTGTCACTATGTCCCCTGCCCCAACCTCATGAATGGCTCATTGTTCTTATTCCTTTGTGTGTTTCGTTCTGTTCTGTTTTGAGACAGAGTTTCACTCTTGTCACCCAGGCTGGAGTGCAATGGCGAGGTCTCGGCTCACTGCAACCTCTGCCTCCTGGCTTCAAAGTGATTCTCCTGCCTCAGCCTCCTGAGTAGCTGGGATCACAGATGCGTGCCATCACACCTGGCTAGTTTTTGTATTTTTGGTAGAGATGGGGTTTCACCTTCTTGGCCAGGCTGGTCTTCAACTCCTGACCTCAGGTAATCCACCCACCTTGGCCTCCGAAAGTGCTGGGATTTCAGGCGTGAGCCACCACACCCAGCCTGTTTTCTATTTTTTTTTTTTTTTTTTTAATTAGAAGTGGCCAAGCATGGTGGCTCATGCTTGTAATCCCAGTACTTTGGGAGGCCAAGGCAGGAGAATAGCTTGAGTCCAGGAGTTCGAGACCATCCTGGGCAACATAGCAAGACCCGTCTCTACAAATAAAAAAAAGTTTTATTTTTTCCCCTCAATTTTGATTTCTTTTTTCAATTTTGTTGCCTGCTTGCTTTACATTTACTTTGTTGTTGTTGTTTTTGAGACGGAGTCTCGCTCTGTCACCCAGGCTGGAGTGCAGTGGTGCGATCTCAGCTCACTGCAAGCTACGCCTCCCGGGTTCACGCCATTCTCCTGCCTCAGCCTCCCAAGTAGCTGGGACTACAGGCACCCGCCACCACGCCCGGCTAATTTTTTGTATTTTTAGTAGAGACGGGGTTTCACCGTGTTAGCCAGGATGGTCTCGATCTCCTGACCTCGTGATCTGCCCACCTCGGCCTCCCCAAGTGCTGGGATTACGGGCGTGAGCCACTGCGCCCGGCCTCAGAATGCAATTTTTTTAATCTTTATTTTTGAATATTTGCAGTGTACTTTCCATTTCAGCATCCTTGTTTGTCTGTTTTTTGAGACAAGGTCTCACTCCCATTGCCCAAGCTGGAGTGTGGTGGTGCAGTCACGGCTCAGTCCAGTTTCAGCTTCCTGGGTTCAGGCGATCCTCCCGCCTGGGCCTCCTGAGTGGCTGGGACTACAGGTGCACACCACCACACTTGGTTTATTTTTAGTAGAGACAGGATTTTGCCAAGTTGCCTAGGCTGGTCTCCAACTCCTGGGCTCAAGTGAGCCTCCCACTTCGACCCCCCAAAGTGTTGGGATGAGACACTGTGCCCCGCCCTGCATTCCTAATTCAAAAATTTGAAGTCCAAAATGCTCCAATGAATATTTCCTTTGAGCATCGTGTCAACACTCAAAGTTTCGGATTTTAGATTACTGAGTTTTCAGATTAGGAATACTCAACCTGGATAAGTCAGTTTTCTTTGGCTGCTTTCCAGGTTAAAAAAAAAATGTCTTTTCTTTAGTTTATTGCCTCAACATGGTTTTCCTTGAGATGATCTTATTGGAATTCACTCACCTTCGTGAATCTTTAAAGTATTTATTAAAAAAAAAAAAAAAATATATATATATATATATACACACACACACATATATAGGCCAGGCGCGGTGGCTCACGCCTGTAATCACAGCACTTGGGGAGGCCGAGGCGGGCGGATCATGAGGTCAGGAGATCAAGACCATCCTGGCTAAGACGGTGAAACCCCGTCTCTACTAAAAATACAAAAAATTAGCCGGGCGTGGTGGTGGGTGCCTGTAGTCCCAGCTACTCCGGAGGCTGAGGCAGGAGAATCGCTTGAACCTGGGAGGCAGAGCTTGCAGTGAGCCGAGATCGTGCCACTGCACTCCAGCCTGGGCAACAGAGCGAGACTCCGTCTCAAAAAAATAAATAAATAAAAATAAATTAAAAAAATATATATATATGTATTTTTTTTTTTAAATGAGACAGTCTCGCTGTCGCCCAGGCTGGAGTGCAGTGGCGCAATCTGCGCTCACTGCAACCTCCGCCTCCTGGGCTCAAGCGATTCTCCTGCCTCAGTCTCCCGAGTAGCTGAGATTACAGGTGTGTGCCACCATGCCCGGCTAATTTTTGTATTTTTAGTAGAGATGCGGTTTCACCATGTAGGCCGGGCTGGTCTTGATCTCCTGACCTCGTGATCCACCCACCTCGGCCGCCCAAAGTGCTGGGATTACAGTCATGAGCCACCGCGCCCACCCGGACTAAAATATTTCTTTAAAAAAAATTGTATACGTTGTTTCTCTGTTTTATAGGAATCTAGTGACATACACAGTAGACCCTTCAATCTTGTCCTACAAGTCCCAGTTCATTTTTGTTTCCAAATGTTTTTCTGTTTATTCACTGAATTTTTTCATTTCTTTGATTCAAGAGCATTTGCCCTTATTTCACAGAGCATGGTTATAATAACTGTTCTTTATCTGATATTCCCAATATTTGGGTCATGTGAGAGTTGGCATTCGGTCTTTTCACTTTAGGGCAGAGATTTTTCTGGCTCTTTTTACGTTTAGTAATTTTGTATTCTAGACATTCGGCATACCTTGAGACTCCCAAGTCCATGAAACCCTCTGCAGGATGCTGAGTTGTGTCTCAGCAGGCAAGTAACCCAGTTATGTTCTGATTGCATGTGCCAGCCTGCCTCCTGGAGCTGTGACTCTGGTGTCAGGCTAGTCTTCCAAGTCTGTGTCGTGCTGTTCACCCAGGGGCCAGTCTACACAGGAGTTGAGCTCAAATAGCCTTTGCTGTTTTCCCCACGTCAGTGCCATTCATGTGGAGCTTTAGGGGGTCTCTTAACTCCTCTGCTGTGTCCTTTGACTTAAAAGCCCAGGTTTCAGCCTCTCTGTGCTGTTCCCATTCCTATGACTAGGTCCAGCTTGGGGCCAAAGTGGAGCAGGGATTTCCCTCATGCTCTTTGGACTACAGGGGCCTGTTTTCCAATTCCTCTCGTCAGCGTGAAGGGTTCTGTGGGAGTCGCCAGCGTGAAGGGCTCTGTGGGAGTCGCCAGTGTCTGCAGGGCTGCTGCTTGCAGGAGTTTCCCACGACCGTCTCTGCCCAGGATGAGAGGGAAGCGGGCTTCTCTTGGAGATTTTAATGTTCATCCCTAATGTGCAGTTCGGATAGACCGCCCCCGACTAGGCCCAGCAACGGACTAGGCTCAGCAATGGGAGGGGAAAACCCAGGAAAAACCCATCACACCGGTCCTTGTTCTGGCTCTAGTCTGCCTGCTGTTCTGTATTATATACGACTGACTTTCCATAGGACTGAGATAGTTGCTCTGTTTGTTAGGTCCACAGTTAGTCATAACCCCTAGGAGACACAGGTGGAGGAGTCCACTGGAATCTTTGTAGCCAGTTTAGTCATCAGAGGTCACTTGAGACCCACTCTGAATTGTAATTTTGTGTTGCTGTGGACATAGCTCAGAAAGGGGGCAACAAACAGTGACAATTTCCCAGCACCCATCAACGCAGCCCGGGTGCACTGCAGACGCAGACCTGGCAGAAACAAATTACAAATGACTGCTTCACTTTGCTGGAAGAGGCAGTCTCGCAGGGCGTGATAAACAGTTCTTTTATGCCAGTATGAACTGTTTTAAATTAGGGGATCAGTGTAAGGAATAAAACAAACACTCCGTTATGAACTCTCTGTCCGTGAACATCATTTAGCTCCCAAAGGCCTCTGTGTCATTTTCAGCACGGTTTCTTCCCTCTGCTACCCTGGGGTGAGTACTGATAATGTCATCACGATTCCAGACATTAGCGATCCACACCAGATTTTCAGGGCCTGAAGATCAAAGTGTTCCTGTGTGGGAACTTGAATACCCAAGTACCTCTTCAGAAGAGCTGCTTTTTCTTTTTTTCTGAGACGGAGTCTCGCTCTGCCGCCCAGGCTGGAGTGCAGTGGCGCAATCTCGGCTCACTGCAAACTCCACCTCCCAGGTTCACGCCATTCTCCTGCCTCAGCCTCCCGAGTAGCTGGGACTACAAGCGCCCGCCACTGCGCCCGGCTAATTTTTTTTGTATTTTTAGTAGAGATGGGATTTCACCATGTTAGCCAGGATGTTCTCAATCTCCTGACCTCATGATCTGCCCGTCTCGGCCTCCCAAAGTGCTGGGATGACAGGCATGAGCCACCGCGCCGGCCAAGAGCTGCTTTTTCATTTTCTGAGAAAATGTCCCTCAAGATGCTTTGCAGTGATCTTCATTCTCAGGTTGGAGAGAAAGTCTGCAGAAGAAATAGTGGCAGCCACAATCTCCAAGTAACTTTAAAACTCCGACATCATAGATCAATCAATCAAGACCCTGTTACCACTGCCTGTGACACGGCGCCTTTTCTACCTGCACGCTCAACCCGCTGTCCCACTGGCAGGGCCTGCAGTGCTGGTCCTCAGTGCAGCTCCCTGGTTAAGTTCTTGCCAATGCGCTAGGCCTCCGGTGTGCTCAGAAGAGAGCATGAAGTAAAAAGTCAGTCAATCAAAATGAAAATGATACTCTGCATTCCATTAAAATTAATAAAAATATTTTATTGAATTTCAGGAACTTGGTACTTTTTTAAAACTTCAAATCTTTGCACACAAATCACCACTATACTTTCTAGAATAGTGGAAGTTAGGACTTCAAGATTGTCACTTATCTCCTTGTGTCACACAGCACAGAAACCCCAAGTCCTCACACTGCCCCCACCCCCCTTCTGGCCATGACTACCAACTACTCTGTTATTCTAGCGGAGGACAATGACGGAAGTGGGTAGACGACTGAAGGAGATCAGCTGTCCACCGCGTACTCTACTAAAGTGAGAGGAGGAGCAACCGAGGATCATGCCGCACACACTCTGAGTGCACCACGTGACGTGGGTCATACGGGAGTTCCCTTTTGTTTTCTCGTTTGGTTCAGGGCAAAGCTACTGAAATTGTTCCTAGTCCCTGAGGAGCTCAGAAGTTGGGCAAAGGTCACAGCAGACTTCCTGAAAAGCAGACACTGAGGAACACAGTGGAGAGCGGGAGTTCACAGCGACGCAGCTGAGGACGACGCAGGACCTCTCCCAAAGGTGCTGCAGCTCCAGCACCAGGGGCCAGGGCTGCGGCGACAGCAGCTCAGCAACCCTTGCTGTGCTCAAGTTCTTGGGGATTCAGAGCTAAGTTCAAAATTTAGAAACAGTGCCTTAAAGACGGGCAAGAAAACCCGGTGTGGGAGTCTGCTCATCTATGGTTTGTTACTGCTCTCGCTTCGATATTCTTAAATTCCTAGGTACCAATGAAAAAGCCAAGTGAACGTGGCAGAGTGAGGAGGAGACAGGAGCGTGTGCACCTTCCATCTGTGAGAGGCACACTTCAGTCTGGGTTCAAGATGCAGAATGGTGCCTACGGCAAAAAAAAAAAAAAAAAACACCCTCCTCCCTTCTTTACCATTTGAATGGACATTTTCCTTACCTGTGATCCCAACAGAAACAGATCCAGACCTATCATGTGAAGTCCACGTTCCAGGATCAGAAGTAACCAGTTTATGGACTGAGCTTACACGGGAAAGTCTACCCCCGACTCCTTCTGGATAGTAACATACACAGCTGCATAAAAACGTCTCCAAGGGGACATACGATGCATTTGCTTGGTGTCCCAGCCAAGCTCCCCACCGGCGACCTCACTGTTCCTTAGAGCTCAAGAGCTCGTCTCCTATCAATCAGAGAACCCCATCAGCTGTGACCAACAGAGCTGGAGCCCTCTGTGGAGGGAGCTGACCCCACACACAGGACAGAGCAGAATCCTGATTATTTTACAAACTGCAAACCTTCTGAGTAAGAAGACAAAAATATACATTCCAAGGTATCTGTAAAGTGCTTGGAAGATGCAGACAGCTGCACCGAGGGGCTCTGATCCATCCACACGCTGCGCTTTGCTGCGGTCACACACACGGTCTCAGTCACGTGATGGTTTTGCTTTTATTTCTTAAACGGCTGAGTGATAATCCAGCTAGTGTGCAGTCATTTCATACCTTTCAATGGGCGTCACCGCAGTGACGCTGCCCCAGCCCCATGCTGAGGGCCGACACAATTCACGGAACAGATTCATCATATTTGGTCTTTATGTAAATAATAAATGTTTTAAAATTGCCTAAATATACCATTCTGAGCCATTTCATCCCTATTTCATCCCACCAGGAAAATACAGGTTTTTTCCTCTCTAAAAAAAAATTAAATACCAAAATAACTACATTTAAATAAATAATGTTATGATGATGACATTTAAAAGCTCAGCCATCAGGCTGACGCCCTCTCCCCATGTGCACGGCCCTCGGCCCTCGGCCGGCACACTCGGGAAGGGCCAGCGGTTTTCTTCCTGAGGAGCCGGGCGAGGAGGTGCAGGGACCTCCCACTCTCATTCCCTCACCCCCGTCCTGTCCTCATTTTCCGTAGAGGAGTCAGCCTCAGGATTGGGTTCGGTTCTGAAAGGTCAGGGACATTTCCTACCACAAAACAGGAAATGCCCCAGACGTGCCCTGCAGGACGTGGCTCGGACCCTGCTCCACCATGGCGGCCGCTCACCGAAGGTGGGGAGTAGACAGCAGGTCAGAGGCCGCCTAGAGCCGGAGGGACACCCCAAATACAAACATACCACGGAGAGACCTGGGATCTGAGTTTCAAAAGGGCCTGTGATAAAAGACTGAATCTTTTTCCAAATGAAGTAGAAATGGTTCTGTCGTTTTAAACATACACAATACTTAGGAGACTTGTTTTACTCAGAGTGGAAAATTTTGCCAGGGACAAAGTCAACACAAAGAAACAAACAACAAAAAATAGCCAGAAAGAGAACAGTTAAGTGCAGCTCGGTGAGTCCCGGCAGTTCCTTCCCGGCACTGGCTCGTCCCTGGGTTCTCAAGGTTCCATGCGGCCACAGCGTCCGTCCACCTGTCCACGCGAGCCACATGCTGAAATGGAGGTGGATAAAATTCATCAGGCAGCTGCTGTAACACGGAAATGTGCAGATGCCAGAGTAGCTTCGTCTGAACTTGAACAAGACAGACAAAAGGAAATCATTCCATAGGCTGAAAACAAAAACAAAACTACGTTGTTTCTTTGCCCCAAATGAAATCCACGGAAAGGGCCTGTGTGATTCTGAAAGTCTCAGTAGAAATGGAGTGATGTGAAATGCCCAAGACCCCATTATTTTGTAAAGAAAGGACACCTCAAAATACTCTAATTCCACATGTCTCCGCTGCCTGGTGGGTCCTGTGAGGGCGGCGGGGATGGCTCCCCCCGCGTCCTGAGGCCTAGTCTTGGGAGACCCACTCACAGCAGGCGCTGGCCGTGCCGTCCTCACACAGCGATGCCTGGTCCTCGCGGGAGGACAGAGTTTCACTCGTAGGTAGAAGCTCAGCCCAGCAGGTGCTCAGTGGAGACACCGTCTCCCAAATCAGGTTTTGTTGTGTGTGGGTTTTGTTCAAGTGTGACTTCTGTCTTTAAGGAGTGTTAAGGCCAGCTGGGTTTTGGGTTTTCAGTGCTGAGAGGTGAAGTCCAACCACAGGGCCCTGCACCCCCGAGTGCTGGCGGGAGGCCGCGTCTCCTTTTGGCACCACAGAGTTGATATCGTTAAAGAAAAGCTCTCCCGGTCGCTAGTTCTGGACACCCTTTTCCCTTACGGCTGCCGGTGGCGTGTCCACGCTCAGGGCAATGACGATGCCCTCGCCGTCTTCTGTCTTGATCCGCTTCAGCTCCGGCTGCTCCGGCTGGTCACCGTTGTGGCGCTTTGTGGGCAGGGAGGCCGATGCGGATGCGTGTGTTGCCAACATGTGCAAAGGACTCGCCGCGGCTGAAATGACACGAGGGAGTCAGAACCCCACGCTCTCACGTGAACCCTCGCGACTCAGAACCCCACGCTCTCACGTGAACCCTCGCGAGTCAGAACCCCACGCTCTCATGTGAACTCTCGCCCTCTAAGGGTCCTGCCACTCCCAGGCCCGCGGAGGCTCCCACAAGACCCCAGGGACTGGCCCACGGTGGCCAAGGGCACAGGAGCCTGGGCTGGGCCCTTGGGACCCCAAAAAACTGCAGCAAGTGAACTGCCTGATTAGCGGACATTTTTATTAACAGCTGGCATCATCTTTGTTATGTCCTATAAATAGGCTATTTTGATGTCACTGCTGGGGGAGAAAGGCTGAGTCCAGTAGTGGTTGAGGCAGACAGGAGATGGCCCTGCTGGCTCGGCGAAGGAGTGGCTGCCGCTCGCTGCTCTCCCTCATGCGGAGGCCCTGCCCTCGCCCCCCCACCACCCGCACAAGATGCTCCTGGACCATTTCCACACAGAAGGGAGCGGGGCTCCATCTGTCCCATAGGAGAGAAGCACCACAGTTTCTCATGGATGCTGCTCACCTGTGTCCTGGGTCAGTCCACAGAGGTGTGTGGGCAGAACAGAGACTGCTGGCTGCTAACGGCTGACCAGGCTGAGTTAATTCCAAAGGCCAAGCTTCCAACTAACATGCGATGGGTAATGTTATGTGCCAGCCTGGCTGAGCCACAGTGCCCAGATTTTGGTCAACCATTAATCTGGATGTTTCTGTATAGTTACTTCTTTAGATGAAATTAACATTTAAATCAGTCAGCTCTGAGTAAATCAGCTGATCGCCATGAGTGGGTGGGCCTCATCCAATCAGGTGAAGGACTAAGAAAAGACTGAGGTCCTCTGAGGGGAGCACTCTGCCCTGGATGGCCTCTGGACTCTTGAGAATCCAGCACTGACTCTTTCCCCGGGGTTCGGTCCACCCTGCAGATGCTGAGCTTGGCAGGCCCCACAACAGAGTGGGCAGATTCCACAGAATCTGTCTCCAGGCCGCCGCCTTGGCTCTGTTTCTCTGGGGCACCCTCACCTACCAGGTGCCATCAGGACCCCACCATCTCCAGCTTCCGGCACAGGCCAGTCCTCCTTGTGGGCGGCGGCATTTCTGGAAGACGCTGTCACCTCCCCAGGGGGCACTTCTTGGTGGGCCCCGTGATGCTCTGAGAAGCAGGTCCTAGGCCCCTAGGCTGCGCACACACCAGCCACTGCACTTCTCTAACCCAAGACCAACTCAGAGCACCCCAGGGTGGGAGCAGGAACACACCCCTGGGAGGCCCCAAAGCAGCTGTGCAGCAACCACTTCAGGCTGTCCCAGGAGGCTCAGAGCAGACACGCCTACAGGGCAGTACCTGAACCCAACCACAAACACAGCACACATGGTACGCTACGCCCTGGTGCCTAGAGATGTGGGAGGGGGACTTGCCCACCTGTCCGTCAAGGGCCAGCCCTCTCAGACCACAGGCCCTGGCGTGGGCAATACCCGCCTCCTACTCGCAGTCCCCTGCAGGGACGCTGGCTGGTCAGAGACCGACCTCCGCCCCCAGGTCTTCCCTAGCGGAGCGGATGTGAGTCCGGCCAGGTGCGTGGTCAGCTCCTCATGGCCAGATAGCCGGGGCAGCCACGAAGAGCGGGAGTCAACACTGGGCTCCGAAGAGACTCAAGCAGCAAACGGGGACCCAGTGACATCGGGTCAGCCGTGAGAGCCCCGTTTTAGAATTCAGGACATAGCCCTGAGGCCACAGAGGTGTGTTCCCTGGAAGCCAAACCCCTGTCAACAGTGTGGATGTGTGACTTTATCGTGTTCCCTTCTCCTTTCCACCTCTGAGCAACAGAAATAGCAGAGGACCAATTTACACATAAAACATGAACAAGAGGCCAGGTGCGGTGGCTCACGCCTGTAATCCCAGCACTTTGGAAGGCTGAGGCGAGAGGATCACCTGAGGTTACGAGTTCAAGACCAGTCTCGAACTGGCCAGCATGGTGAAACACCATCTCTACTAAAAATACAAAAACATTAGCCGGGCAAGGTGGTGGGGGCCTATAGTCCCAACTACTCGGGAGGCTGAGGCAGGAGAATCACTTGAACCCAGGAGGCGGAGGCTGCAGTGAACTGAGATCGTGCCATTGCACTCCAGTCTGGGGGACAAAGAAATTCCGTCTCAAAAAAAAAAAAAAAAAAAAGAAGCTGCTCAGCTTCCAGAAAGCACGGCTGCCACAAAGCAGGAAGCTGGGCTGAGGAAGAGGCTTGGAGCCCAACGAGAGGGCAGGGGAGACTCCAGACCTAGGGGAGGCACGGGAGGCCGCTGAGCCCACCCACGTGACCCGGAGGAGCCGTGTTAGGTCGGCACCCTCTCAGGGAGACCCCCACATTCCCTGACGTCGGTTTCCTGGCGCCTGACGGCAGGGTGGCCCCCACAGAGAGAGGCACACGCACCCAGATGCGAGTCACAGCCAGTGTCTGACAAGCACCAATACCCTGAATGAGATGAGGTCACTGCTATGGTGTGGGCATCTGTCTCCTGAAATGCTGAAACTCACTTGCCCACGCAGCCTAATTAGGAGGTGGCATCTTCAGAAGGTGACTTGACCATGAAGGCTTTGCCCTCACTAACAGCTTAATGCTGTCACCAAGGGACAGGCTCATGATTCCAGGAGTGAGTTCATTCTAAAAGGGTGAATATGCCTTCACCCCATCACCACGTGAGCACACAGGAAGAAGGCCCTTGCCAGCCTCCAGAACTGCAAGCCAATCCGTTTCTGTTCATGCTAAAGTCTTCCATCTTGGGTGTTCTGTTACGGCAGCACAACACGGCTGACTCACCCAACCCAACAGCCTCACCCTCACCAGGGCTCAAGTTGACTGGATGACCCAGAGAATACAAGAGGCGTAGGCCAGGCACAGTGGTCCACGCCTGCAACCCCAAGAGAGGCTGAGGCAGGCGGGTCCCTTGAGGCCAGGAGGCTGAGACCAGCCTGGACAACATAGCAAGACCCCGTCTCTATAAAAAATAAATAATTTTTAAAAGGACATAAAACTAGAAATGACAGACAGGAGGAATAATTTTTAAAAAGACGTAAAACTAGAAACGACAGCTAGACAGAAGGAATAAGTTTAGTGTTCTGCAGCACTGCGAGATGATGGGAGTCAACAATACGGTTTCAAACAGCCAGAAGGTTCCCAACACCTAGAAATGGTCAATGAGATGACGGATGTGCCGATCACGAGTCACATGCTTCTCAACATCACTGTGCACCCCATACACTTGCACAATTATTCTGTGTCAATTAGAGAACAGTAGTGAGAGGCCTGGAGTGAAAAGAAACTGGGAGGCCGGGCGCGGTGGCTCACGCCTGTAATCCCAGCACTTGGGGAGGTCAAGGTGGGCGGATCACCTGAGGTCAGGAGTTTGAGACCAGCCTGGCCAACGTGGTGCAACCCCGTCTCTACTAAAAATACAAAATTAGCCAGGTGTGGTGGCGGGCACCTGTAATCTCAGTTACTCAGGAGGCTGAGGCAGGAGAATTGCTTGAACCCAGGAGGCAGAGGTTGCAGTAAGCCAAGGTCATGCCACTGCATTCCAGCCTGGGCAACAAAAGCAAAACTCTGTCTCAAAAAAAAAAGAAAGAAAAGAAATGGTGACACTTAAATACTCTCATCCACCCAGCCCTGCCCTCACAGAGCCTCTGTCGCGAGGTACTCCGCCACGTGGAGACCCCACATGGAGCCCTGTAACAGCAGAGGGGCTGTGCTAACACGCCCGGCCCTGAAGCAGAGGTCTCAGCAGAGGCTCGGAGGGAGGTGGAGGGCACGCAAGGAAGACTAAAGGCAGCAGAGCCCTGGAGGTGCCGGAGCTGGGGAGGGAGCAGCCATCAGCCCTGCAGCCCCGGGGTGGGCCACAAGAGAGGGCGACCCCTCTCCTCCAGGGCAGAGAAGGAACACACACACGAGTTGGGCACATGCTCCTGATGAGGCCCACACGTGCTCTCTTGGGAAGGCACTGACTCTGTTGATCTAAAGATGCTGAATAAGGCAGAAGGGTCTGTGCAGCGAGCACTGCAAACTCTGGTTTGCACCGAGGACCACATGGTGCCAGGAAGGACCATCCTGGACAAGGAGTGTGATGTATGAGCACCTCGGGCCCACGTGACCTGTGTCGACACGGGTGTGTTACAGGGAGTCACGGCTTAGCGCGTGGGGCCTGGAGGCGACCCTGCCCCTGGGCACACCCAGAGGCGCCGCCGCCTTCACCAGCCCCTGCCCCTCACCGGCTGAACTCGTAGACAGGCTTGCTCTGTGTTCCGTGAGAGCTCTGAGCACAAGGGGCTCTCGCCACGCCTGACAACCCGGGGACTGTAACTTGGAGCAGCACTTCAGCAAGCCCGGGAGGACTACAGGAATTTCCTACCATGAAATGGAACCTGAAGTAGGTGAGAAGATGGGGAGGGGGTGGTCTGTGGAATAAAACAAACGTGAAATCAAGGAGATCGGCAGAGATCAAAGAAAGAGGGGCTCCGCCAGCTCTGCCACACACTCTGGATTCAACACCGTCCCAATCAAGACGCCAGCAGGCTTGGTGTAGGAATCCTACAGTTCACGCGGAAATGCCAAGGACCTAGAATGGCTGAAGCGATTTTTAAAAAGAACAAAGTTGGAGGAGCGACACCTCCTTAGTGGGAGACTTGATGAGGCTGCAGGAGCTGGGCAGGGAGCCCTGCCACACAGACTGCCCGCAGAAAGTGCGTCTGGAAACAGTCCCCACGTGTGCGCGGTCCCGGGGCGTGACGAGGGCACCAGGGCAACCGGTGGGGCAGGCACGTCCTGACGCCACCTCTGAGGCTCCCCCTACACCAAGCTCTGAGGCTCCCCCTACACCAAGCTCTGAGGCTCCCCCTACACCAAGCTCTGAGGGTCCCCCTACACCAAGCATGGAAAACACAGCAGGAACGATGAGAAGGGAACAAGCAGCCACCAAGAATCTGGGCAAGGAACGTGTTCCAGAATTAAGGCGTCAGCGAACAACTGCCCTAGTAACGTGAAAGAAAAAGAAGAAGGGACTCAGGCTACTGAAGGCGAAGCAGGAACTGACCTGCAGTTGGTGTGAGCTGGGCAAACCCCGTGACCACCTCAGATGCTCCTCCCTGCAATCGCGGTCGCAGTCTGTGGCCGCAGGTGTGGCCTCAACCGACTCTAATGTGTCTACAAAAAATGTGCAGACAGCCGGGGCCACTGCGGTAGGCCAGAGATGCACAGACGCGCAGTGTGACTCTGGTTTCCAGTGGCCTTTCTCCTACGCTGACTCGGAACAGCATCCACGCTGTAGGTGTCTCTGGACAACCTTCCACCTGTCGTTTCTCATCCCAGGTTCCGGGCTGCCGGAAAAGGCTTTGCTCTTGTCTCCAGAAGCACCTGCTGGTCTGTCTGGATGGGGCCTGCTGTGTCAACTGAGGCAACTCCAGTCTGAGCTGGCACATGGGGGCCTTCTGAGGCCAAGGGGCCCTGGGGAGAGGAGTGGGAAAGGACCCCAAGTCACAGGAGCCAGGTGCACTTTTAGGGCCCAGGGAATAGTGACACAGGCTTAATAACAGGGACCGACCCCACTGTTAGAGCTTTCAACGAAGAAAAACCGTGACCACATGTATAGCACTCTGTCCTCTCCAGTTCAAACACAAGGAGAAGGCTGGGCGCGGTGGCTCACACCTGTAGTCCCAGCATTTGGGGAGGCAGAGGCGAGAGAATCACTTGAACCTAGGAGTTTGAGACCAGCCTGAGCAGCACGGTAAGACCCCATCTCTACAAAAGAAAAAAAATATTAGCTGGACATGTTTGTACGTGCCTGTAGTCCTGGCTACTCAGGAGGCTGAGGCAGGAGAATCACTTGAGCCCACGAGTTCAAGGCTGCACTGAGCTGTGATCACGCCACTGCACTCCAGTCTGAGTGACAGACCCTTTCTCAAAAAACAAGACAAAAGCCGTAGAACCTGAAAACCAGGCAAGACAGGCCACTTACCTTGTGACACCTCCACTATTACCTGTCACAAGGAAAGGACGACCTAATGGGAATCTGTTTACAGAGCTGTACAAAGTCTTAGAGAAACAAGCAAATTACCCCTGCCCCACGGCACACCAAACCCTGCTGCATCCCACGTTGCCCCCATGGTTAGAACTTGCCTATCCACAAAATGCTGTCAAAGACAATGTATGCCGGCTTGCGTTTCTATTCCTCCATTTACTTACTATGTGGAGAGGGTCTCACCCTGTCTCCCAGGATGGAGTGCAGTGGGGCGATCACGGTTCACTGCAGCCTCAACCTCCCTGGCTCAAACGATCTCCCTGCCTTAGCCTCTTGGTGGCTGGGACTACAGGTGCTGCCGCCACAGCCACTTTTGTGATTTTTTGTAGACACAGAGATTCACCATGTTGTCCAGGCTGGTCTTGAACTCCTGGGCACAAGCAGTCTGCCCACCCTGGTCTTCCAAAGTGCTGGGATTGCAGGCGTGAGCCACGGCGCCCAGCTGTTCCTACTCCTTTAGGGAAAGAACTAAGTTCCTCTGCGAGTCCATCTACAGAGACGGGCTCCGCTGCTGCCTACTCCAATCTGCAGACACTCACAAGGGGACGTTCCCCACCCTGAGGGTCCTCACTGATTCAGAGGGCGGCTTTTGGAAAGATGACTGCGGAGATGCATTCACATTTTTGGCCTTCCATGCACACTAATCCTCCCCACATAAATTCCAATATTTTCAAACTGAAGTGTCTGGAGCATTTTTTTTTTTTTTTTTTTTGAGACAGTCTCGCTCTGTCGCCCAGGCGGGAGTGCAGTGGCGCGATCTCAGCTCACTGCAAGCTCCACCTCCCGGGTTCATGCCATTCTCCTGCCTCAGCCTCCCGAATAGCTGGGACTACAGGCGCCCGCCACCATGTCCAGCTAATTTTTTGTATTTTTGGTGGAGACAGGGTTTCACCGTGTTAGCCAGGATGGTCTCAATCTCCTGACCTCGTGATCCGCCCGCCTCGGCCTCCCAAAGTGCTGGGATGACAGGTGTGAGCCGCCGTGCCCGGCCTGTCTAGAGCATTTCTTAGCGGCCAACTTTTACTCCACAGGCAACCTACGTCATAACACTTGACAACACCCCAGTTGTGGGCTGTGTGGGTACTACACGCAGCAAGCCCCTCCGAGACCTCCAGGAAGCATCAGAAGACCCTATACTGTGGACAGAGACGCCGGAGCAGCTCAGACACGAGAGCAGCTGCTCCACTGCCACCGCCACAGCGATGATGGGTGCGGCTCCCGCAGAACACAGGCCCCGACCCGAGGCCTCGCACCTCCTCGTCCGCGTGGCCTGATCCCGCTGCTCTGGGGCTGTCAATCCAGTGGCGGCAGCTGCTGCTCTGCCTGGAAAGGCTCCGCTTTGAGGCTGGGTGTGAAAGACGTCCAGGGACCCTCAGACGTCACTGCCGTTTTACATGCTCACAACGCAACACCCATCGTCACTGTGGGACCAGCTAGGGATACCCACATCATCAAATCCTCACCCCAAATCTGGCTGCCAGATCCCCACCGAGGCACGCGTGAGCACCTGGCGGCCACAAGGGACCCGCAGCCTCAGCCCGGCTCCCCTGTGTCCTGCTCTGTGCCGATGCACTGCTCCCTCTGCAAGGGTCCTTGTGAGGGACATGGGACCGTAATTCCTCTGTGGGGCCGGGAGCCAGAAGGCTCGGAAGGCCCACACTCTCCCAGGTATGTGGCCTGCAGGCGTGGGGCTATAGCCGTCCAGCCAGCTGATCCTGGCACAGGCACCCGCACAGCACGCGGTGAACAGGGCTGGGCTCCGCCAGGGGGGCGCGGGGCTTCATCTACCTTCCTCTGTGCCTATCGCTCTCCTTTCCTTCCTTCCTCTTTCCCTCCCTCCCTCCCTCCCTCCTTCCTTCCTTCCAGAAACTGCTGCGTACCCTTTCAGAATAAGAGCCTGTGCCCGGTACAGGGAGACCTTCACAGGGTCTGCTTTCAGAATAAGAGCCTCTGCCTGGCACAGGGAGACCTTCACTGGGTCTGCTTTCAGAATAAGAGCCTCTGCCTGGCACAGGGAGACCTTCACTGGGTCTGCTTTCAGAATAAGAGCCTGTGCCCGGTGCAGGGAGACCTTCACGGGGTCTGCTTTCAGAATAAGAGCCTGTGCCCGGCGCAGGGAGACCTTCACTGGGTCTTTCAGAATAAGAGCCTGTGCCCGGTACAGGAAGACCTTCACGGGGTCTGCTTTCAGAATAAGAGCCTCTGCCCGGTACAGGGAGACCTTCACTGGGTCTGCTTTCAGAATAAGAGCCTGTGCCCGGCGCAGGGAGACCTTCACAGGGTCTACTTTCAGAATAAGAGCCTGTGCCCGGCACAGGGAGACCTTCACGGGGTCTGCTTTCAGAATAAGAGCCTGTGCCTGGCACAGGGAGACCTTCACAGGGTCTCCCTCTGCCAGCGCGAACTGGGCATTTCACTCTCACTGCGAAGCGTGCGCCCTCACACCAGGCGCCACAGCTGAGATGCAGAGAACCCCAGCCAGCTTGAGGAGATGCCCCAGGAAACACTGGAGTCAACAAATGATATTTGAGGACCACGTAACTGCTACACAAGGAAGAAGAGCAGAGTTAGGCAGGAGGGAGCAAACGATCAAGGCAGGAACAATGTTAACGAAAGAAGCGAAAGGCAGGGCCTGAGGAGAATGTCGCAGGGTGAAGCAGCAGCAAAGCCCAGGCTTCCCAGCAGGGCTGGTCAGGCAGGCCTGTCCAGACAGGGAGTGGCCCCGTGAAGGGCCTCATGAGGTTCCTCCACTGTGAGGCTTGAGCTGTGGCAACACCTTCCACTGACAGTGATCTGTGAACCCTTAAGAAGGTGACAGAAAGAAAACAAGAGGACACACATGTGAGCCCCATGAAGGACCAGGACAGTAGAGAGGCCGGAGGAGTCAATATGTGAGCCAAGAGATGCTCCAGGACCGCAGCTCAGCCCAGGAGCACACTGAGCAGGCGAGGCCCTGGCCAAACACAGCTCAGCCCCGAACTCCCAAATCAAAACGACAACACTGGCTGGGTATGCTGGCTCGTACCTGTAATCCCAGCACTTTGGGAGGCCAAGGCTAGAGGATCACCAGAGTCCAGGAGTTTGAAACCAGCCTGGGCAACATAGTGAGACCCTGTCTCTACAAAAAATACAAAAACTTAGCTGGATGTGGTGCTGCACACCTGTAGTCCCAGCTACTTGGGAGGCTGAGGCAGGAGGATGGCTTGAGACCAGTAGGTCGGGGCTGCAGTGAGTTGAGATCTCGGCACTGCACTCCAGCCTGGGTGACAGAGCAAGACAGTATCTCAAAACAACAGCAGCAAAGATGAAGTCATTGACAAAAACACAACCACAGTTGTGCCAGTAAACCAGAAACAGCGCCTGCAGCCCAGAGACAGGAGATGAGCTTTGGAAACAGGAAGCAGAAGGGCCTGTGGTGTGGACGGCGGCACCCGCAGCCCTGAGGCAGGGGTCTCCCAAAGCGAGCTCTGAGGGTGCTTGTACACAGCACGTGTGATGGGAGGAAGTGAATATGCAAGAGCTTGGGCGCCTGGACTCTTCCCACATCTCCCTGCCAGGGAGACTTGGGAGCGTTTCCAGAAAATGCCAGGCTTTCCTTTCCATGTACTCAAAAAGGGGAGGCCTCAAGCCCTCCCCACACTCTGGAACAAGCTTGGAGCAGTTTCTTGGTGCCAGGCACATTTCTGGGGCTTCCCTTCCTGTAAGAGGAAGCCTCCCGGCTTCCATCTCCTCCAGGCCTTCTCCATGGGGCGGCAGCATGATGCACCCCAGCTCTGCACAGGGTTTGGGGCCCTGGAGCAGAGCAGGGGACACAGGAGCATTGGCAGGTGGGCAGGGTGTGGACAACGGCGACAACGGGACCAGGGGCCACCCTGGTGAACCTGACAGGCCAGGGATGGGCTCGCCTGTGTTTGAATGAGGCCTCCATGGAGACCCCTATGGAAGCAGGAATGAGGGTACACTCCAGCTGGAGCGACAACCCCAGAGTCACCTTCCAGGAAGACACTGGCAGCTCATGCCCTGCGCCTGCCCACGGAACTCACCTATCATCCCACCAAGCCACCTGCTGTCCTGCAAGGCCAGGGCTACAGTGCATGGCCGGAACATCCTGACCCCTCGTCCTGTCAGCCCCACCTCCCATCTGTCAGCACTGTCTTCACGACACACGCAGGGGCCAAGCCCTGAGCCCCGGGTCCCACAGCAGCTGGTGGCAGAGGCAGAACCGGCCCAGGCTGCCCTTGGGGCCAGGGTGAGGATGGAACCCCCTTAGGGCAGGCAGCCCAGCCTCGGCCTATCTGCTCGTGGTGCTGAGCCCTCTGGTACCCCTGGGAGAGTCTCAGGCAGCCTGTGCAGTCCCTCCCTGCACAGGACATTCTAACCCCATGCTTGGGTCAGAAAACTCGGCCACATCCACATAATTCCTCAGTAAAAATACTACATTTTCCTTGGGGTAATACACTACACTACAATTTAGTATAAACATAATTGCTTAATATAGTAGGAACCCAAAAATTTCATGTGACTGGCAGCTCTACTGCAATATTCATTTTTTTGCAGTGGTCTGGAACCAACCCTGCAATGTCTCTGAGTTACACCTACATGTCTGAAAAGGCCTGAAATCTCTACATATGAATAAAGAACTACAAATTTCACAACAAAAAGACAACCCAATTAAATGATGGGCAAAGGACTTAAAAAAAATTTCTTCAAAGAAGATACACAAATAACCATAAAGTACATGAAAAGACGTGCTGGCCAGAGGCGGTGGCTCACCCTGTCATCTCAGCACGTTGGGAGGCCGAGGTGGGCAGACTGCTTGAGCCCCGGAGCTTGAGACCAGCATGGGCAACATGGTGAGACACTACCTCCCAAATAAAAAATAAAAGACTACAAGAGGCCAAAATTATGAGCACCTGTGCAGTGGTTCTCATCCTAGGTGTTCAGCATCCAGGCTGTAGCCGACACTGTTTTAAGGAAAATCATTTCCAGAATCTCCTCTTGGTCCTGAAGTCTTTTCTTAAAGCCCATCTGCCACCTCCTCTCTCTGAACAGCCTCTCTCATCTGCTCAACTGGGCACTGGCTTTGGGGATGAAAACTATGGGATGGAGCATGAAAGCAATAATAGGAAATACTGGTGCTGACAAGACTTTTTTTTTTTTTTGAGATGGAGTCTCGCTGTGTTGCCCAGGCTGGAGTGCAGTGGTCTGAACTCGGCTCACTGCAACCTCCATCTCCCAGGTTCAAGCGATTCTCCTGCCTCAGCGTCCAGAGTAGCAGGGATTACAGGAATGTGCCACCACACCCGGCTAATCTTTGTAGTTTTAGTAGAGACGGAGTTTCACCATGTTGGCCAGGCTGGTCTCCAACTCCTGATCTCAAGTGATCCGCCCACCTCCACCTCCCAAAGTGCTGGGATTACAGGCGTGAGCCACCACACCCAGCCAAGATCACTGACAGACTTTCACGTTCATCTGGAAACAGGCCCTCAGTGCTGACACTGTCCTCTCCTTCCTGAGTGGAAACAGGCCCTCAGTGCTGACACTGTCCTCTCCTTCCTGAGTGGAAACAGGCCCTCAGTGCTGACACTGTCCTCTCCTTCCTGAGTGGAAACAGGCCCTCAGTGTTGACACTAGGACTGTGCAACCATCAGTGAATACAGAACGAATCAGGTGGTTTCCTTTAAAGCTAAATACACTAAGAAAGGCATCTTCAGTAACATTTTAATTTTTGGTTTTATAAGAATTTGTTATATTTTTGGGTTTTATCAATTTTGTTACTCATAGACAAACTTTAATATTTATATCTATATTTTATTGCTGCAGAGAAAAGATATGACTAATAAATGACATTTAAGCCTAAAGTATGTGACTCGTACAAAACCTGTTAGGGAATGTGAGATGGAAAGACCAGGCCACAGACAAGGGAGGATCTGGGCCGCTCCTGCCTGTGTGTCCACACGTGGGCAAGTGGACATCTCATGATGTCTGTATTTGGAGTCCAGTAGTACACTGAAAATAATCCCGTAAAAGCTTTATTTTAAAACATCAATATTTTCAATAGTGAAAAATTAAAACACTTGCTTAAATTTATAATGAAAAATTCCAGATAACTTAAATACATAAAAAGGATACCGTTTTTCTTTTTTTGTTGAGACAGAGTCTCGCACGGTCGCCCGGGCTGGAGTGCAGTGGCATGATCTCATCTCACTGGAACCTCCACACTCGGGTTCAAGCGATTCTCCTGCCTCAGCCTCCCGAGAAGCTACAACTACAGGCACCCGCCACCAGACCCGGCTAATTTGTTTTTTTTTTTTTTTTTTTAGTAGAAATGGTGTTTCACCATGTTGGCCAGGCTGGTCTTGAACTCCTGACCTCGTGATCCACCCACCTCGACCTCCCAAAGTGCTGGGATTACAGGCGTGAGGCACTATACCAGGCAGGGATACGGTTTTTCAAACTGCTTCTAAGAGAGGTGGACCCAGAAAGCCTCTGACCTGCACCGGAGGCTCTTGGCAGACCTGGACTGTTTCAGAAATGCATTCTTGGGCCCCACACCAGACAGGCCTAGTCGGGAACTCTGGGGAACGCAGCACTCTGGCCTCTAACAGCCAAGCCTTCTGGGTGATTCTGACACATATCGAATCTGGGAATCACTAGGCCTCTGCCTTGTCTTCAGACTGGGAGTGACTAAGACCAGAAAGCCAACCGCCTGCCCTCCAACCGCCTGCCCTCCAACCGCCAGCCCTCCAACCGCCAGCCCTCCAACCGCCTGCCCTCCAATAGCCAGCCCTCCAACCGCCTGCCCTCCAATCGCCAGCCCTCCCGGCTTCCATCTCCTCCCAGCTACCTGCAGTGCCACCAGGTTTATCACCTTAGAGCATCCACAGCCACAGTTACCCAGAGAGAAGAGAAGGAGGAGACACAGGGCTTGGGGACGAAGGCATTCAAACAGGTAACTGATGACTGCAAACTCTGCGATCTATCTACAGGCAGCAAGTGTTGCTATTACTTAAAAACAAAAAAAACCCCAGGTAGTCAGTCTTCCCTAGAAAAGGTTCCAGACCTTGTTCTTCCATAAATTTGGGGAGAGGCAGGGTGGTGCTGAGTCAGAGTAGGAGGTACCTGCAGGTTTCAAGGTCTCTGTTCGTAGCGTTCGGTAAGGATTCAAACGTCGTGATAAAGCCTTCTGACCTGTACCCTCTTTCAAAGAAAGCGTGTCGTGGGCACAGAGACAGTTTTAGTCGGTAGCTTCGGATTTGCCTGCTTGAGATCCCGCAAGCGCCAGGATCAGCCACACAGCCGGCAACAGCCCACATGTACCCAACCCAGAGCAGCGGGAGCCCACACCTGAGCCAGGCCCCAATGCCAGAGTTGACTCGGCAGCCAGCAGGGACTCCCACCCTTTCCACACTCCACAGGGCAGGGCGAAGGTAGATAACCCGGTGTCGGCGCGGAGGTTCTGGTGTCTCCACTTGTCAATGTCAGAACATCCGTGCGGTTTTCTGTGCACCGGCCTCGGACGGACTCTGAGAGCAAAGCGCACAGAAAAGCAGCCTCTCTCCCACCCTCAGCAGCATAGCACCGCCACAGGCCACAGGGCGCGCGAGGCCAAGGGAAAAGACACGCGGCGGCTCCCGCCGTTTCAGGCCGCTTCCAGGCCACACCCAGGAAATCTACAAGAGGCGAGAGTATTTTTCCCTCTCAATGTATTAGAAACTCTCATCTCTTTTCAGGCAGGTCCTCCCACGGGAATCCCATGACGGCCGACTCCACGACCACTTCCCCAGCATGACTAGATTTCCTGCAGCTTCGAAATGCAAACATTGCCTCAGACAAAAGCTAAAATTGTTACAGTCAGAACCGAAACCACGAGTGAGAAGGGGCTCTGCTCCCAGTACCCACAGCCACGGGGAGCCACCGACCAGCATGTCTTACCATTGTTCACCTGGCCGTGGACCGCAGTGGGGACTGATGCCACGTGAGTGCCGTTTTGTGTTACAGTTTTTATTGGTAGCTGGTGTTGACCTAGAGGTGCCTGTTGTACTATGGTCACCGTCTGGACCGGGGTGGTCTGTGCCGTCTGAATGATCCGGCTGGCAGTGCCGAGCGTGGCGTGGCCAATGGCGGGAATAGGCTCTACTTTCACTGAAATTAAAGGAAAAGAAACGACATTAATATTACTGGAAAGCAAATAAAAATCTTGCCAGTTTAAAACATAATAACCAGATAGCTATCACACCTGCTAGAAAATGTCTCTAAAACAAACAGCAAATTAGAAAAAGATGAGCAAATCTTTTTTTTGTTTTTTGAGATGGAGTTTCGCTCGTTACCCAAGCTGGAGTCCAATGGCGCAATCTCAGCTCACTGCAACCTCCACCTTCCGGGTTCAAGTGATTCTCCCGCCTCAGCCTCCCGAGTAGCTGGGATTACAGGCACCCGCCACCATGCCCAGCTGATTTTGTATTTTTAGTAGAGACAGGGTTTCTCCGTGTTGGTCAGGCTGGTCTCCAACTCCTAACCTCAGGTGATCCGACCGTCTCAGCCCCCCATAGTGCTGGGATTACAGGTGTGAGCCACTGTACCTGGCCAAGGATGAGCAAATCTTATGGACTTCCCAGAGTGTGAGGCTGATGGGGCAGCCTCTCCTCCTTTCCCCTCCGCCTACCTTTGACCTCCCTGTGGTCTCCCCTCTCCTCCTTTCCCCCCCGGCCCACCTTTGACCTCCCTGTGGTCTCCCCTCTCCTCCTTTCCCCCCCCGGCCCACCTTTGACCTCCCTGTGGTCTCCCCTCTCCTCCTTTCCCCCCCGCCCACCTTTCACCTCCCTGTGGTCTCCCCTCTCCTCCTTTCCCCTCCGCCTACCTTTGACCTCCCTGTGGTCTCCCCTCTCCTCCTTTCCCCCCCGGCCCACCTTTGACCTCCCTGTGGTCTCCCCTCTCCTCCTTTCCCCCCCCGGCCCACCTTTCACCTCCCTGTGGTCTCCCCTCTCCTCCTTTCCCCTCCGCCTACCTTTGACTTCCCTGTGGTCTCCATTCTCCTGGGCCTCTGCCTTAGGAGGGGCCAGCACGGCTGCCGGGGTGACCACAGCTTGTCCAGAGACAGTGTACGTGTTCGCTGGGGCCAGTCCGGCCACACTGGTGACCGACACCGCTGGGATCTGGTGGACGACGTGAACCGTCTGCACGACGGGTGGCTGGGAGGTCGAGGTGGTCACTGGGGTGGCCACAGTGTAGGTGACAGGCTTGATGGCCTGTGGTAGCTGCCGCTGGACGGTGATTAAGACTGGCTGACTGGACAGAGGTGACCCTGGTGAAAGACACAGCAGGACTGACACTTACAGATACTGACTTCTACAAACAAAGGTTCTCACACTCAGCACTGACAAGCAACATACAAACTTTAATTTAAAATATAGGATATGGCCCTATTTCACCTCACAATAGTAAAGTTACTAATAATGAGGGAGGTGTAGTATTTTAAAAGGGGTATTTAATTCCTATCTCTAACTGCTAAAAATGCAATTTTGGCTCTATTTAGATATCTGGTAACCCCTCTTCCCACAGTTCTTTATAAAAAAGAAAATGTCAATACTCAATAAAAGAGGAAACTGGGCCGGGCGCAGTGGCTCACGCCTGTAATCCCAGCACTTTGGGAGGCTGAGGTGGGAGGAGTTTGAGATCAGCCTGGGCATAGGGAGACCCTGTCTCTACGACAAATATTAACCGGGCATGTTACTGTGCGCCTACAGCCCCAGCTATTTAGGAGACTGAGGAGGGCGGATTGCTTGAGCCTGGAAGGTGGAGACTGCAGTGAGCCAAGAACACGTCACTGTACTCCAGCATGAGTGACAGAGCAAGACCTTGTCTCAAGACAAACGAACAAAAAAAAAAAAAGAAGAAACTGCCCCTGTAGGCCAGAAAGACGAGGGCCACACTCACCTAGGATCAACATCTTCCTCCTGTAACGAGTGGAAGGGAAGCAGAAAGTTCAAAAACAGAGTGGGGCTGTCACAGAGCCTCTGGCACCCAGCCTCTGCCCTTTGTGGTTTGGGGGCTTAGAGCAGAGAGAGAGACACGGCTGTCAGGGGCCTCTGCCATGGTTTGGGGGCTTAGAGCAAAGAGAGGGAGACATGGCTGTCAGGGGCCACCGCCAGTGGGCAGGGGAGGGCTGTTCTCTGGCCCGGCAGGGCCAGGAATCCCAAATGACCCAATTCACTTTCTGTCAACTGTAACAGACAGTTTGGACACATTTCCACACTATGTTTGTTTGTTTAATTCCCCAGGGCACACATTTTTATTCCACATTATGACTAAGTAAACTGCAAACTGTTTTACCTATTCCTTAAAATGGACATGTTAGGCTGGGCGTGGTGGCTCACGCCTGTACGCCCAGCACTTTGGGAGGCCAAGGCAGGTGGATCATGAGGTCACGAGGTCAAGAGATTGAGACCATCCTGGCCAACATGGTGAAACCCTGTCTCTACTAAAAATACAAAAATTAGCAGCTGGGTGTGGTGGTGTGTGCCTGTAGTCCCAGCTACTCGGGAAGCTGAGGCAGGAGAATTCTTTGAACCTGGGAGGCAGAGGTTGCAACGAGCCAAGATTCCAGCCTGGTGACAAAGTGAGACTCTGTCTCAAAAAAAAAAAAAAAAAAAAAAAAAGGACATGTTTTTGCTTCCAGTGTCTAGTTTGTCTACTTCATGGGTTTTTGTTTTGTTTTGATTTTTTTGCGGGGGGTGGGGGTGCGGGGGCTGTTTCATGGATTTTTGAATGACAAACTAAGAAACAGGTTAATTCTAAGTTATTTCAGGCATCTACTCAGTGTCGTTTAAAGAACCTTCATTGATTTTTAAAAAACACTCCCAGTGCTATTAGTTTTCCAAGGCCTATAAAATCAGGTACTAGTATAAGGTACAGAGGGACAGGCAGGCCTCCAGTCCGGCTGTTTCTTCTCTGTGGAGCCCAGGCGTCCGCGTCTGGCTCACGCTGTTGGGGCCCTCGCTTCCTCTCCCGCTGTCTCACCTGGGGCGCTCTGGGCAAACCGGGCTTCCTGGATGACAGCGAGTTTGGGCTGTGCAGCGCCAGGCTCAGGCTCCAGGGGGGCCGGCGAACCTTCCCTCGACAGGCTCTCAGGGGTCTGGGCGCCACTAGAGTGAGCAGACAGCACTCCCGCGTGATTGGGAGAGGCTGGGGCACTCCTGTGTCACCGAGAAGAAGACATTGCATGGTTACAGCTGACGCACTCAGAAAGCACTTGCTGTTTTAATAAGTGCACTTTGCAAAGGGGGTGTCATTTGTCTCCTGACAACCAAGTACTGTTGTGTAAGTTCTACGTCTCTGCACGCCTACGCCTGTGAACTGAGCGGGACACTCGGGTAGACAGACTCAGCCTGTGTGGGACAGGGCCGTCACGGGCCCTCACCCACATACGCGGCACGGCTGTGGGGCGGAGCCAGCTGCCCTCTCTAAGCAGCTCCCGTGCACTGACGGTGGAGCCGGCAGCGAGCAGGTCCGTGGGCATTTAAGACTTACGTTACGCTCATTTTTTTTTTTGTTAAAAACAGTATTAGTGAAGCTAAAAATAAGTATTTAAACTCAGGCAAATTAACACTGTATAAGTCAACTCGAACTTAAGCAGCTAAAAAGTAGTGTATTTTTGTTTTGAGACGGAGTTTCGCTGTTTTGCCCAGGCTAGAACGAAGTGGCGCAATCTCGGCTCACTGCAATCTCTGCCTTTCCGGGTTCAAGCGATTCTCCTGCCTCAGGCTCCCGAGTAGCTGGGATTACAGGCGCGCGCCACCGCGCCCGGCTAATTTTTTTGTATTTTTAGTAGAGACGGGGTTTGACCATATTGGCCAGGCTGATCTCGACCTCCTGACCTCAGGTGATCCGCCCGCCTCGGCCTCCCAAAATGCTGGGATTACAGGCGTGAGCCACAGCGCCCGGCCTAAAAAGTAGTTTTAAAGAACTTTTCCTGTGCCAAGGGAAAGGAAAAACGTCGACGTGGCACTGGTATGAACAACATGCGATGAGCCCCATGAAGCAACAATCACTGCGTCGAGTGCAGTTTAAACTTTGCAAATCGTCTCAAATGTTTCAGCCACTAGAACCAGAAACACCTGGGCAGCACCCAACACTTTTGCTCAAATCCCCATCCCAACATTTAATCATAATGCATTTAGTAGTTCCTTCATTTTCAAAAGGAAATTTTCCCAATACACTGAAGGTAAGTTTAGTAAGCACGAAGTGAGGCCTTTTGTTCTTCTTTTTCCTTACCTAGAAGAGAGCGGTCCCAGAGGGGTTCTAAAGCAGGGCACGCCCCTAGGCCGTCGTTTCCTAAAAGCCTGTTCTATTAATTTGCTTTCAGAGGCTGGGTCTATCCTCCAGAACGAGCCTTTGCCTGGTTCTTCCTGGGAACGCGGCACTTTGATGAAATAACGATTCAGAGAGAGATTGTGGCGAATTGAATTCTATGAAACATAAAAAAATACGTAGAATTCATATATTTATTTGCTGAGAAATAAAAATGTGTCCTCGTTTTAGTGCCCTAAAAAGCAGAAACCTACATGTTGGGCCTGGCAGACTGCAAGAGTGAATTTTTTTTCTTTTGCGTCACACAAGTAATGTGCTGACAACATAACAAGATTTAAGGAAGGCCCATCCTATGGGGAAGCGTGAAAACCCAGTCATCATGCTTATAAACGATGACAGAGAGTGACGTTTACAGGCTGTGCTGTGTGGAAGGAGCAGCCCTCCCGCCTGGGTGAGCAATTCTCAAGGGAAGTAGCAGCCTGGGGTTTGAGCCCTTCAGCCCAAGGCTGCTATGGGCTTCCAAAGAGGAAAGGACACCTCACTCTGTGGCAGAACGGGCCCCGGGAGGCAGGGTGGAGAGCTGGCAACAGGAGGGATGAGCAATCCACACAGCGCAGACAGAGGCCATTTCTGACTCCATCTCCTTTCAAGGTGGGAAACCCAGGACTGCAACTGTCAGCACTGAGCATTCCAGGTGGAGGCAATGACTTAGCTGCCAACCTCTCCCTGCTTGGAGACAAACAGAGCTGATGTGAGCCATTCTGTTAAAATACTTTTTCGCACAGAATTAGCTTACAGAATCTGTCATGCCATTAAAAGTAAATTAATCCAGTATAAAGTATTTGGTAAACCAGCAAAAAAGAAAAATGAGCAGGAGGCTGAAAATCAGGATGGACACCATCTTCCAGGAAGAGAGGACTTGGCAAAGTACCTGTTTTTTTATTTGAACTCTGAAATAATTTCGTAACGTACACAGGAAAAATTTCCCTCCCAGCTCCTCATCAGTGCATCATTCTTTCTATTACAAAAAGCCAGACGGGCGCAGCGGCTCAGTTGAGGTCAGGAGTTTGAGGCCAGCCTGGCCAACATGGTGAAACCCCGTCTCTACTGAACATACAAAAATTGGCCAGGCATGGTGGCTCACGCCTGTAATCCCAGCACTTTGGGAGGCCGAGGCGGGCGGATCACGAGGTCAGGAGATCGAGACCATCCTGGCAAACACGGTGAAACCCTGTCTCTACTAAAAATACGAAAAATTAGCGGGGCGTAGTGGCGGGCACCTGTAGTCCCAGTTGCTCGGGAGGCTGAGGCGGGAGAATGGTGTGAACCCGGGAGGCAGAGCTTGCAGTGAGCCGAGATTGCGCCACTGCACTCCAGCCTGGGCGACAGAGTAAGACTCCATCTCAAAAAAAAAAAAAAACCCACACAAAAATCATCCGGGCACAGTGGCCCACACCTGTAGTCCCAGCTACTAAGGATGCTGAAGCTGAAGAATTGCTTGAAGCCGAGAGGAGGAGGTTGCAGTGAGCCCAGATCGCACCACTGCACTCCAGCCTGGGCAATAGAAGCAAGACTCCATCTCAGAAAAAAGCCCAGCTAAGAGTTGACAGACACCCTGAAGAAAGCCCCCGCTGGGACCTGACTCAGGCCAAAGCCGGACGAACGTCATGGGTTCATAGAAACATTTCGTGAATTTACATTAATGTGTAGATTTAAAATTAAGCTATTAAAGTGTTAAAATGGTGATCACTCAAAACAAAATCTGGAGCTATCCAAAAATCATTTCTAAATTCCCCAATTAACCTTATTAGAATTGCAAGCCTCAGCCTGAATTTCAAATCGTCAAAGGTGACTAAGAAATCCAACATACAAAATATAAAATAACACTTTACAACCCATCTCAGGGGTTGTCCAAGTGCCATCCTAATGCCTCTGGGCCCTGTGGATGGAGCTACTTCACGGGTGACATGGAGAGGAGGGCTAGGCCATGTGTGGGAGGGATCTGGGCCCTGTGGATGGAGCTACTTCATGGGTGACATGGAGAGGAGGGCTAGGCCATGTGTGGGAGGGATCTGGGCCCTGTGGATGGAGCTACTTCACGGGTGACATGGAGAGGAGGGGTGGGCTATGTGTGGGAGGGATCTGGGCCCTGTGGATGGAGCTACTTCACGGGTGACATGGAGAGGAGGGCTGGGCCATGTGTGGGAGGGATCTGGGCCCTGTGGATGGAGCTACTTCATGGGTGACATGGAGAGGAGGGCTAGGCCATGTGTGGGAGGGATCTGGGCCCTGTGGATGGAGCTACTTCACGGGTGACATGGAGAGGAGGGGTGGGCTATGTGTGGGAGGGATCTGGGCCCTGTGGATGGAGCTACTTCACGGGTGACATGGAGAGGAGGGCTGGGCCATGTGTGGGAGGGATCTGGGCCCTGTGGATGGAGCTACTTCATGGGTGACATGGAGAGGTGGGCTGGGCCATGTGTGGGAGGGATCTGGGCCCTGTGGATGGAGCTACTTCATGGGTGACATGGAGAGGTGGGCTGGGCCATGTGTGGGAGGGATCTGGGCCCTGTGGATGGAGCTACTTCATGGGTGACATGGAGAGGAGGGCTGGGCCATGTGTGGGAAGGATCTGGGCCCTGTGGATGGGAGCTACTTCATGGTGACATGGAGAGGTGGGCTGGGCCATGTGTGGGAGGGATCTGGGCCCTGTGGATGGAGCTACTTCACCGGCGACATGGAGAGGAGGGCTAGGCCATGTGTGGGAGGGATCTGGGCCCTGTGGATGGAGCTACTTCACGGGTGACATGGAGAGGAGGGCTAGGCCATGTGTGGGAGGGATCTGGGCCCTGTGGATGGAGCTACTTCATGGGCGACATGGAGAGGTGGGCTAGGCCATGTGTGGGAGGGATCTGGGCCCTGTGGATGGAGCTACTTCATGGGCGACATGGAGAGGAGGGCTGGGCCATGTGTGGGAGGGATCTGGGCCCTGTGGATGGAGCTACTTCATGGGCGACATGGAGAGGTGGGCTAGGCCATGTGTGGGAGGGATCTGGGACCTGTGGATGGAGCTACTTCATGGGTGACATGGAGAGGAGGGCTAGGCCATGTGTGGGAGGGATCTGGGCCCTGTGGATGGAGCTACTTCATGGGTGACATGGAGAGGAGGGCTAGGCCATGTGTGGGAGGGATCTGGGCCCGTGGATGGAGCTACTTCATGGGTGACATGGAGAGGAGGGCTAGGCCATGTGTGGGAGGGATCTGGGCCCTGTGGATGGAGCTACTTCATGGGTGACATGGAGAGGAGGGCTAGGCCATGTGTGGGAGGGATCTGGGCCCTGTGGATGGAGCTACTTCATGGGTGACATGGAGAGGAGGGCTAGGCCATGTGTGGGAGGGATCTGGGCCCTGTGGATGGAGCTACTTCATGGGCGACATGAAGAGGTGGGCTAGGCCATGTGTGGGATTTGTGAAACTGTTTATAGGTAAGGGCATCAGATGAGATTTCAAATATTCTAATAACCACAGATACTGCTATAATGTTTTATTTGGCTTTAGCTGACGCCCAATCTTTCTATCAATTCCTCCAGAAAATCAAACATGACTGTTATTGGTGCCCCGACAAAGACAGAGAAGGCAAAGCTTTGCCAACTGCTCTCAGAATTTTAAGTGTGAAGTAGAAGGTAGATTCTGAGACTAGGACTGAAGAAAAGCAAACCCACACGATGGTAATATAAAACCCTCAAGCAGTGCAAATGGCAATCCCAGCCACTGCCTGAGAAGGACGACTTCCCCTCTCGCTGTTCTACCAGGACCAGTCCTCCTAAGCGGGGACTCAGAAAGAGCTACCCCACGCAGCATCCGAGTCTGAAGAACAGACAACAGTCAACAAGCCCCGAAGTGAAGGCTGTGGCTGTACTGACTGATGTGGAGTCATTTAATTTGCATGCTCTTAGGAGGAAAGAAGGTTAGCACAGTGGGAATGTGGAAGCAGAAAAGGTGACTTTGGGGCCATACTCCAGCCATGTGAGCAGAAGAACGTGACACGGGCCAGAAGCCCTGCCCCTGCGTCACCACCACCATCACTTACGAGACGCAAAGTAAGTCTGTGGAATTGGGGAGCTGCTATTTTCTGTCCTGAAAACGTAAAAGAACCCAGTTCGCAGCATCAGAATAGATTCTAACCTATTTTATTCTCCAATCCATCTCCCTGACAACAACTCCAAGGGCAAATGAAGAAAGATTACTTGTGATTTGCCAGCCAACAAGACTCCAGAAAATATGAGGAATTAATGAGACATTTAATGTAGACACAAATAGAATAAAGTAACTATGTTTCTAAGGTAATTTAAGGCTGTTGTAATTTGATCAAACCCAGGATGGATGTTCCTTCATTCTGTTGCTACATGTATTAAAACCACATTGACTGGACTCTAATGATTCAGAAATTTTAAAGCTTTCAGAGAAAACGTGGGCTGTTATTCTTTAACGCTAAACATGAAGAAAAGGATTTGCAATTCTGAGCAATTACCTTTCCCCCAAAGGCTTTCCAAATTGAGCGTCTGCTGAAAATCAGCCCTCCCTGAGCACCAGCTCCCTCCCTTCCGGGGCTCTCCTCTGTGCCTTCCTGCAGCCTTCCTAAGCAGACCTCACGTTTCTCAAGGACGGTTTGTCTGTTTCCTCACCCAGCCCTGAGTGCGCTCCCGTGTGCACTCTGCACAGTAAGGACGTGTACAGAAACTGAGGAGAAGGAACAGGACAAGTTCCTTTCAGAGGATGGGTCTAATGTCCAGGAACGCTTCCAAAAGTGCAAGGGTGAGGGTGAGTCCAGAGTACAGTCCTCCCTTTAAAAGAGATCAAGTGACGGGTGCGGTGGCTCACGCCTGTAATCCCAGCACTTTGGGAGGCCGAGGCGGGTGGATCACTTGAGGTCAGGAGTTCGAGACCAGCCTGGCCAACATGGCAAAATCCCATCCCTAGTAAAAACACAAAAATTAGCCGGGCATGGTGGCATGCACCTGTAGTCCCAGCTCCTCAGGAGGCTGAGAATGGAGAACCACTTGAACCCAGGAGGCAAAGGTTGCAGTGAGCTGAGATCGCGCCACTGCACTCCAGCCTGGGCAACAGAGTAAGACTCTGTCCCCAAAAAAATAAATAAAACAAAAATAAATAAAAGGAACCAGCTCTAGTCCCTTTGGAGGCTGAGAGGCCCGTCCTTTCAAACTTCTCATAGTCACAACAATTATCTCAATTCTGGGTGAAGTAAAATCATAAAACCATAAAAATCATTTTGGAGTCACCGAGACCTTGGCCCGCAGTGTCGGCGGTATGCACAGAGGGCCCGGCGGGGCCCTAACCCAGGGCTGGGCCTGGCACGCAGGTGCTGCCCTGACTGGGCAGTGAGCACGCCGCAGCTTTGGCTGCGAGACCTTAACCCGGCCGCCCGCCACGCCCTGCATGCAGGTTGGGCCACAGGCGGGGTAGGAGCCTGCTCGGGGCTGCAGTGATGGACACCTTAGAAGAAGAGAGCTTTGTGCTGTCTTT
Source organism: Homo sapiens (assembly GCF_000001405.40). Classification (NCBI taxonomy): domain Eukaryota; kingdom Metazoa; phylum Chordata; class Mammalia; order Primates; family Hominidae; genus Homo; species Homo sapiens. The sequence continues at coordinate 82,577,354 of NC_000017.11, read as the reverse complement.
CTCCTCCACCTCTGATGAATTTGCTGTTGTGGTTGGATATTTAGAGAACGTTATCATGGATAACGAGTTCCAGTTATTACAGAGAAATTACATGGACAAGTACTACCTGGAGTTTGAAGACACGGAAGAGAATAAACTCACCTACACACCTATTTTTAATGAATACATTTCTTTTTTTCTTTTTCTTTTTTTGAGACGGAGTTTTGCTCTTGTTGCCCAGGCTGGAGTGCAATGACGCGGTATCAGCTCACCGCAGTCTCCGCCATGTGGGTTCAAACAATTCTCCTGCTTCAGCCTCCTGAGTAGCTGGGATTACAGGCACGCACCACCACACCCCGCTAATAATATTGTATTTTTAGTAGAGATGTAGTTTCTCCGTGTTGGTCATCTGGTCTCGAACCCTCCAACCACAGGTGATCTGCCGGCCACAGCCTCCCAAAGTGCTGGGATTACAGGCGTGAGCCACCGCACCCAGCCTGCATACATTTTTTTGGTAGAAAAATATATTGAAGAACAGCTGCTGGAGCGGATTTCTGGATTCAACATGGCAGCTTTCACCACCACATTACAGCACCATAAAAATGAAGCAGCTGGTGACATATTCGACATGCTGCTACGTTCACGGTTTTGGACTACAGAGCAGAAAAAGAAGGCCGAGGACTAGACTTAAGCAGTGGCTTAGTGGTGACTTCGTTGTGTCAATCATCTTCTGTGCCAGCTTCCCAGAACAATCTGCGGCACTGGGTCCTCCCTCCAGCCAATGAATTGGAACATTCTGGATGTCACCAGCCCAACAGGCTCAGCTCATGATGACAGAATACATCTTGGAAAAAGACTGACTCTGTTTTGTAATTCTTCATTTATGTTAAGTATTGACAGGTCAAAACCAAAATGACTTAACCCTCCTAGACCTATTTCTCCTGAAACACCTTCTTGTATTCATTAACCGTAGTATTCCTCCCCTCCTCAAGGAGACACTTCTCTCAGGAGCTTCTGAGTCAGACGCCTCTGGAGCGAGCCCATGTCCAGCACTCCACTTGGGGGGTCCTTCCCCGAGCACACACGCTGGTGTGGACGAACCCGCCGCCGCCACCCGAGCACACACGCTGGTGTGGACGAACCCGCCGCCGCCACCCGAGCACACACGCTGGTGTGGACGAACCCGCCGCCGCCACCCGAGCACACACGCTGGTGTGGACGAACCCGCCGCCGCCACCCGAGCACACACGCTGGTGTGGACGAACCCGCCGCCGCCACCCGAGCACACACGCTGGTGTGGACGAACCCGCCGCCGCCACCCGAGCACACGCTGGTGTGGACGAACCCGCCGCCGCCACCCGAGCACACACGCTGGTGTGGACGTGTGGACGAACCCGCCGCCGCCACCCGAGCACACACGCTGGTGTGGATGAACCCGCCGCCGCCACCCAAGCACACACGCTGGTGTGGACGTGTGGATGAACCCGCCGCCACCCTCTGTCCCAGCAGGCTCTGCGTGAATCTTTGCGCATCTGCATCTCTTTATCTCTTCTTCACATGGGTCAGTTTCAGTACTTCAGCCTCAATGGGGTTCCTGATGTCTATCTAGGGTGTTACTCAAGCCCAGCTTGAGATTTCAGAATCTCCTGTGATCACAGCTTGTCTCGGCTGTAGCAATCAACAGAAAGAGACGTCCTCTACATAAAAGTTCCACGTGAAAAGCCACTCCTAGTCTTAACATTTGCAGTCCTTGTGTCGCTGTCTTCTGCTCCTGATGTAGTCCCACTGTTTCTAGAAGTCTCTTTTAAGCATTATTTTAAAAATATATATTTTTATAGATGAATACTCAGGCTAATCTAGTGGATATGATCTTGGGACTTCCATGCTTATCCACTTAAAGATCAAAGTACTATATGCCGTGTGCTTTTTAGGTGTTAGTGCTGTGAAGGCAAAAATGCTTTCTACAATGGCGTTCCTTCCTATTTGACTGGGCACCTACGAATTTATGCTGTGTGCTAGAAATAGACTAAAACATTCTTACAGCATGTTAGTGTGTTTGCGTGTTTGCTGAAGATCACTTCGGTATAAACCAGTTTGTTAGGCTCTCTGGGTTAGGGACTCTGCATTTTCTTCCTCTCCTACCGAGATGGTGTTCCACTGGTCCAGCCCGGCAGGAGCAGCAGGCAGGGCACAGCTTTACTGGCTGTTTGCTGCTTTGCTTTAGTGCAATGTGTGGTACATTACTTATCAGAAAACACGTATGTCATCTCTAGAAAGAAGAAAAAGCATAGTAGTTCAATGCCCAGTGTGTCCCTTTGATTTGTTTAATAGTAAAAATAAGACTCTGTACTGACTTTTCACTTGGCCGTCCTGGTTTTAAAGGACAAGCTACAAGCTCTGTGTTTTCTGTACTGAAGTGTCACTTATTAAATACTTTTGTACCATGAAAAAATCAAATCATAGGACGTAAATGCAAACAAAAGAAAGACATATGGCATCTTTTCAAATAGGATTCCTCAGACCATCTCATTTCACCCTCAGATGTCCTCTGTGGATTGACCAAAAAGCTATACCATAGGTAGACAATACAAAACACCTGGCTTTTGTTGTAAGCCAGGAGGGAGGAAGTCAGAATAAGGTCTGAGGCACTGGGAAGGGCGGCTCAGAGAATCTCATGGCACAGGAAGAGCCCGTGAGGGTCAGTATTCTGACAGCCAAGGGTACAGCTGAGGACAGAAAGAAATTCAAAGTACATTGGCCAGGCGCGGTGGCTCACGCCTGTAATCCCAGCACTTCGGGAGACCGAGGCAGGCAGATCACCCGAGGTCGGGAGTTCAACACCAGCCTGACCAACATGGAGGAACCCCGTCTCTGCTAAAAATACAAAATTAGCCGGGTGTGGTGGCTCAAGCCTGTAGTCCCAGCTACTCATGAGGCTGAGGCAGGAGAATCGCTTGAACCTGGGAGGCGGAGGTTGCAGTGAGCCGAGATCGCGCCATTGCACTCCAGCCTGGGCAACAAGAGCAAAACTCTATCTCAAAAAAAAAAAAAAAAGAGAGAGAGTAATGTCCATGAACTAGGAGGAATCTGGAGAAACTAATCCCTCTCCCGCTTAATTAGCTGGAGCCACGAGGCATGAAATGACACAGGAGTGGCCTTACTGGGGAAAGAGATGCAGCTGTAGACTTACAGACCTCCATCTAGACAGGAGAGAAAATGTTTCAACAGAAACAAGTTTAATAGCAGTTCAGCAGAGAAGGGTGCCTGACGTGTGCTAGTCTGTCATTCCCTGCCGACGTGAGCTGTGCAGGCACCTGCAATAGACGACAGAAAGCAGGGCATGCATGAGGGGTCCCGTGGGGTCCTCGCCACTTCACGACTGTGGTCCAGGAGAGCCTTGCTCCAAGGGCTCTGCTCCCCAAAAGACCTGTCCTGACTTGGGCCCCCCCAAAACTGAGGCCAGGCCTTTATCCAGCCACCCTCTTTAGCAAGAAAGCCTTGTCCTGTTCATAGGTAGTTCTCAAATAAATGGATGTTAGAAAAAACACACAGAAATACCACTTAAGAGAAACACATTAGAGTCTAATAAAGCTTCTTAGAAACACACTGACAAAGCCCCAGGTAACTGGTATCTCAAACCATCAGAATAAGCTGTAAACTCTGAGGGACCCTCACACACTCCCACAGAGCAAGCTGGACCCCATGTGGAGTTTCTCTCCTTGACAAAGCCATAAAGCCATGGTCACTGGAACATGGGTAGAAGTTATTATCTGGTTGTGTGTGTGTGTGTGTGTGTGTGTGTGTGTGTGTGTGAGAGAGAGAGAGAGAGAGAGAGAGAGTGTGTGTGTGTATGTATATAGTTTGAAGCACAGCCTCAGTTTTATAGAGTAAATACGGCCAGAATTTAGCATGCAATATGTTAAGAGACCCTGACATGTAACTGAATATGGAACTACTCTCCAAATCCAGCATTTTCCTAATGGTCAATTAAGAGATACCCCCTTGCTGTAGACAGGAAGGCAGGCAGGACAGGGTATAGACACTCCAGGTATGGGGGGTGGGCACAAGGTGGGCCAGAGGGGAGGCTGGGTCTCATTCTGTACCTTCCATGATTAAAGACCCCCAAGCCCCTCCACAAAGGAAATATGGAAGACGTGGCTGGTAGGCTTTTTTTTTCCTTTTTGAGACAGGGTCTTGCTCTGTCACCCAGGCTGGAGTGCAGTGGTGTGATCACAGATATCTGTAACCTCTGCTTCCTGGGCTCAGGTGATCCTCCCACCTCAGCCTCTGGAGTAGCTGGGACTACAAGCGTAAGCCACCACACTCAGCTAATTTTTTTTTATTTTTTGTAGAGACAGGGTCTCGCCATGTTGCCCAGGCTGCTCTCGAAATCCTAGAGTCACGCGATCCACCTGCCTCGGCTCTCAAAGTGCTAGAATTATAGGCATGAGTTACTGTGCCCGGCCGGTAGGCTATTTTTTAACATAACATGTTTATACATCTGTGGTTAAAACAAAAAAGGTTTTTCCCCTTCAATAAATAGAAAACAGTTGCCCCTGCACCATCCTTACCACTAAGCCATGTAGTTTAGATGTTTTTTTAAAGGATCATTTACTCATTAAAGCCTCAAAGAAATTCTATAGATGTTCCTGGTTACTTAATGAATTAAAAAACTATAAGCATACATACATTTCTTCTCTATGTTTTTAATATTCTATATTTCAAACCTACCCACTGCCAAATTATTTCAAATAGCAAGATTCTCATATACATCCAGTAAACAGCCAACACAACACAGATACACAGAGAAAAAACCTACATAATCTAAAGGGTTAAAATTATTGGCATAACAGAGCGAGACTCTGACTCAAAAAAAAAAAAAAAAATTATTGGTGTGTGAGCTGACCAAAGGGAATATTTTGCAGATTTCAAAGTGTCTCTTGGGGGTAGCCCCGGGGTTCCACGACCAGGTGGGCTCCCCGGCTGAGACAGGGCACACCACGTTCATCTGTTTTTTACCCCGGCCAACTGGTTAAGATGTCTTCTAAGTGTTCCTTGGTAAAATGCGGTTTGAAAACTGTCTCTGCAAACTTCAAAACTTCTGTCCATTAGCAGGATTAGATGAGGAAGACAGGAGAATGCCAAAGGGAAGGATAGGCTGGGTTTTAAATTTCTCCTACATTTCAAATATGAACTGCATTGGTCAAAGGGAAATATCTCAAACAATCCACACTTCACAAATCCTATGCAGACACATGAATTTCCACAACAGTAAAGCATGCAGGCCTAGACGCTCCTCCAGAACCACGCTTCCTTCTGCTCCACACAAAGAAGGTGAGGCAGAGCATGGCAGCACCGGCCCCCAACTCCTCTTCCTCTCAGCACGGGAGGCTCCAACCCCCCCTTCTACCTTCCTATCCTGTGCCTGTGTTCCAGACAGCAGCCGCTCCACTTTCTTCTCGGTATCCATCAGCCTCTATTTAACAACAAACTGAAGGCATTTACCTGCCAGCCCTTGTCCGCAGTCCTGTAGTAGGGATAATTTTTAGTGATGTGTGTATAAATCCCGTTCAGGGTGAGCTGTTTGTCGGGAGCCATCGTAATCGCCTGAACTATCAGCTGCGCGTAGGAGTAAGGCGGCTTTGAATCATCCTGTATTTAAAAAACAAACACAAAACGAATATTGAAGTTACCATATTTTGTATTAAATTTACTAGATTTAAAGATTCTCAGTGCTTTTAAGTGTTCCTCTGATACCTCATTTGTCTTTTTTTTGAGACAGAGTCTCGCTGTGTCGCCCAGGCTGGAGTACAGTGACGCGATCTTGGCTCACTGCAGTCTCCGCCCTCTGAGTTCAAGCGGTTCTCCTGCCTCAGCCTCCCGAGTAGCTGGGATCACAGGCGCCTGCCACCGCGCCCGGCTAATTTTTGTGGTTTTAGTAGAGACGGGGTTTCACCATGTTGGCCAGGCCGGTCTCAAACTCCTGACCTCAGGTGATCCGCCTGCCTCGGCCTCCCAACGTGCTGGGATTACGGGTGTGAGCCACTGCGCCCAGCCTGATACCTCATTTTTCTTACTATGAAAGTAATACAATTCGAAAACATGGAGGAAACAAATGGAAAACTATAAAGAATATTAAAAATTACATAAGGAAAAAATCCAAATGTCAAAAATGAAGACATAAAGGCTGCTTGACCTCAGTGGAGTCCAAGGCAAAGCACCTCAACCACGACCAGATCCTGTCAGCTACCCCAGGGGTACAGGCGAGGGGTGGGTAAGGCTGGCTGAGGGCTCACAGCCAGCAGCACCCCTCCCCAGGCATAAGCACCAGGGGTGGCCAGGGCTGCCCAGAGCCCCTGGGACTCACCAAATACCCATCCACAAGGAGACCCTGCCGCCCATGAGGAGGAGCCCCCTGGCCCACGAAGAGCCCCATGGAGGCTTCACCTTGGGGTTGGAGACATCCTGGCTGCTGAGTGCCCCGCTGACAGGCTGGCATCCCTGGTCCTGGCTCTTTCAAGGCCACTGGTGGCTCCCTGTCATAGTGACAACTTGAAACCCACACTTACAGGCACGAGCCCACTGGGAAAGGGAATCACTCCTGGTTGTGAACTTCTGGGCAACACGCTTGTCAACATGGATGAAGAGCAACAGATAATGTCGGATGAAAAAATACATTCAAGATGATACTATATACATGGAGTTTTACAATGAACAATTATAGATACTGTTCAAGGATAAACACAAATGGAATGGGAAACAGGCAGGCTGACAGACAGGAGGCAAGGATATCAGAGGCGCCCACATGGGCTTCCATAGCACAGGCCGCGTTCAGCGCTGACAGCTCAGAGTGGGCAGAGGGACGTTTGTCTTTTCTTTTCTGGGGACACGGTCTCACTCTGTCGCCCAGGCCAGAGTGCAGTGGTGTGATCACGGCTCACTGAAGCCTGAACTCCCAGGGCTCAGGTGATCCTCCCACCTCAGCCGCCCCAGCAGCTGGGACTCCAAGCTCATGCCACTATGCCTGGCTAATTTTTGGTATTTTTGTAGAGACAGGATCTTGCTTTTTTGTCCAATCTGATCTCAAACTCCTGAGCTCAAGTGATATGCCCACCTTGGCCTCCCGAAGTCAAATTTGTCTCTCTTTTTTTTTTGAGACAGAGTCTCGCTCTGTCACTCAGGCTGGAGTGCAGTGGCGCGATTTCGGCTCACTGCAAGCTCCACCTCCCGGGTTCACGCCATTCTCCTGCCTCAGCCTCCCGAGTAGCTGGGACTACAGGCGCCTGCCAACACGCCCAGCTAATTTTTTGTATTTTTAGTACAGACGGGATTTCACCGTGTTAGCCAGGATGGTCTCGATCTCCTGACCTCGTGATCCGCCCACCTTGGCCTCCCAAAGTGCTGGGGATTACAGGCGTGAGCCACTGCGCCCAGCCTATCGCTTTTTTTTTTAAACAGAAAAATGTAATCACAAGAAGACCCTCCACATACCTAATTCTTTCTTTTTAGACAGGGTCTTGCTATGTTGCCCAGGCTAGAGTACAGTGGCTATTCAAGGATTGATCGTAGCTCACCACAGCTTTGAACTCAAGTGATTCTGCCTCAGCCTCCCGAGCAGCTGTGACTACAGGTGCATGCCACACTGCCCGCTACGTCTCTTCCTTTAAACAGCTAACAAAGCCTTCGTCACTGTGCCTGTGCTGTTGACTTCCCTGTGATTTTTTTCTATGTTTCTAAAAACTTTTTAAATTGAAAAACATATAAAACAGACAGAAAAGCTCATGATACATTTATGTCAGCTGAACAAATTTTTGCAAAGTGAACATCAGTATACTAGGTCAAGAGACAGGGCACCACCAGCATCCCCAACATGCTCGTATGGGCCCTCTCAGCCCACTACCTCTACTTCTCCAAGAGGCCACCATTACTACTGACTTCTTAGAGTGACCACAGTTTTGCTGGGATTTACTACGTTTTACCACTTGGCTGCATCCTTAAACAATACAACTTAGATCTGTCCAATTGTAAGCCTGACAGAAACAGCACCACACGCGACGCGCCCTCCTTGCCTAGCACCCTGTGTTAGACGCCGTAGTCGGCCGCAGGTGGGGGATGCACAGCTGTGGCTTATTCATTCTCATGGCTGTGCTGCGTTCTGCTGGGATAGATCACACTTCCTCAATATGTCAAGTAATACCATGCATGGTTCTTACTCTCTTTCTTCCACTCAGCATTACATCTGGAATATTTCCATATCAGCAAATACTCTGCATGCTATTCCCTAAGTGGAAGCACAATATCCTAATCACCATTCCCCTAGGGACACTGAGGTTGCGTTCTTTTTATTTTTTATTTTATTTTTTTGAAACAGGAGCTCACTCTCTCACCCAGGCTGGAGTTCAGTGGCGTGATCTCAGCTCACTGCAACCTCCGCCTCCCGGGGTTCAAGTGATTCTCCCGCCTCAGCCTCCAGAGCAGCTGAGATTACAGCTGCGTGCCACCACGCCTGGCTTTTTGTATTTTTTTTTGGTAGAAGCGGGGTTTAACCATGTTGACCAGGCTGGTCTCCAACTCCTGACCTCAAGTGATCCCCCCGCCTTGGCCTCCCAAAGTGCTGGGATTACAGGCATGAGCCACCACACCCAGCCGCATTCCATTGTTTTATACAAACTTTCATCCATTTCCTTTGGTCAAAGTCCTAAAAGGAAAATTACTGGGTCAAAGAATACAAACGTGCCAGGTCATAGTGTGACTCTCAACAACTGCTGTCCAAACAAGTGACAAACGTGCCCTATACAAACATGAGTGGCAGGGTGTGCATTTGCATAACCTTCAGAGTTTGGGACAAGGGGATAAACTCCGGCACAAACACACATGAGCTCCACAAAGACCAAGGTACTCCTCCATCTTCCGCTGTCTGCCCAGCCCTCAGCACCTGGGCCTACAGCTATTAGGGAGACCCTAAGATGTGCGTTGAATGACTAAACGAGTACACTTGCAAAAAGCCCCAATACCAAGAACACAGCAGCAACACCAGAATCAAGCCCACATCCCCACCGATGCCCTGGCAGGGCTGTCACTGGACAGGCAGGTGAGTGACAGGCAGGTGACATTGAGGGCCCTGTGGCTACACACTGTCCCCCAGGGGCTGCTTCAAGGCTACAAAGCCTTTACCTTCGGGCTGTCTCCACCTGAAGCTTCCTTTTCATTTTCAGGCTGTGAGTTGTCAGCCATTAAATTGAGGTCAGATGGCATCACTCGGCCCACCTTGTACCCTGAAGACCCCGCTCCCCGGGGGCTGGAGGGGCAGGAGTTTGCAGCGCTGTGGAAGAGAAAAAGTTGTTCCTATTAGTCTATCACAGTGCACGCATCCTACTGTGCTTCAGCAACTGGCTTTAATTACAGGGATAACAAATACAGAAATGTTAAAAAAAAAAAAAAAAAAAAAAGGAAGAGAATATCAGCATTTCCTATGGAAACACAGATTCTTATAAATGATCTGTGAAATTTAAGATCGTCCCAAGAAGCAATGTGGAAATAGGGTATTTGCTTCTATAAACGTCAGCTCATGAAATGTGACACAAGCTCTCAGGGGAGGCAGTGGCCCACTCATTTCACCAGTGAGGAAACTGAGGCTCCGAATGGTTCCAGAACTTATTAAAGACACAAAGTGACACAAGATAGGCACAGAGGTCCTCACTGAGGAGCTGTGACAGGGGGCACAGAAAAGACAGGGAAAGTCGGGGTGGTGGGGGAGGGGAGGGGTCTGCCAGCCAAGGCCCCTGGAGCTGAAGTGGAGCAAGCGGTTCCACTGAAGATGAAGCCGTGGACATGGACACCTGCTGAAGGCACAACAGCAGTCAGCTGGGGGCGCCCGGGACGCAGCAGCGGGTCAGCTGGGGGCGCCCGGGACACAGAATCAGGCCCGTTTTCAAACAGCCACTTTTTCCCACCGGGCTGGACGGGGGCTCAGGGAGTGTTCTGATTCTTGATCTCTGTGCCGATTAAAGGGCACGTGCATTTCTGGTAAGTCAAGGAGCTGCAGATTCTCTCCATGCCTCATTTTCTGCACTTCAATAAAAAGAACGAGCCATTGAAATGGAACAATATCAAGGTAAGATTATCTTATAAGTCAGAGAGGTGTGTTTGGGGAAAAACATTGCAAATGCATAGAGAAGGTCTAGAGAAAATCACCAAGAAGCCTAAAGGCATGACCTCTGAGAAACAACTCCAAAAGGAGGGCCAGGGAGATGGAGAGGTGGGGGGGAGGAGGGAAAGGGCAACACACGAGTGGCCTTGTACCCTCTGCAGTGCTTCTTAGACTCTCCGCCATGAATATGCACCACTGGTATACTCACTCACCCATTCAACAAGTATTTACTCAATGCCAGCAACCATCCTTAAAGCACTGGAGAAAAAGCATCTACAATTTATGAGTTTAAAGAGCCAACTTTTAACAAGTGGAGGATGCAGCCAGTGTGGCCCGAGGAAGGCGAGTGACCTGCTGGGTGGACGGCAGGTTTGGAAAGTCAGGTTGCTCAGGCTCGCTCCACCTGGAGGCCCCGGGGACCTGGGTTCCCCCTGACAAAGGTCTGTGCAGGTGTGGGGAGGGGCAAGCAAGGAAACGCAGGATGAAAAGAAAGCAGCAGGTGGGAGGAGAGGCGGAGTTGGGAGCCGACCCAACCTCAGGGTGGCAGCTGTGACCCACCCTTCCCCTGCACCCACCGCTGCTGTCAGTCACACTTGAAGTGGGGTCTTCAAGGCTGCTGCTTGGCGGTGAGCTGTATGTGACTTACGTAAACTTGGGCACATTCTACTCCAGGGAATTCTGTGCCCTTTTCATGCAGTGCTTAATAAGCACTGGGCGGCAGGACTGACTTGTGCCTACCCACTTGCACACTTACTATTTGGCCCACTCAGTTATGTTCAGCCAAATTCAGCCAAGAGAGAGGGCAGCCTCTCAGCAAAGGAGCAATGGGAGAGAGGGCAGCAACGAGAAGGCCCTGATGCCAGCCGGGGCGACTCTCAGACAGCACCAGGCACAGGATGGTGGCCAGAGTCCACTGGCCACACCTCCATTTCACAAACACATGCACAACGGATGTTTTTCCAGGGGGCCTATTTTTTTTTTTGTGGTAAAATACACACAACATAAAATTTACCATTTTAACCATTTTAAACTGCACACTTCAGCAGCATGAAGCGCATTCACACAGAGGTGCAGCCATCACACCACCCCGCTCCAGAATGTTCTCATTTCCCAAACTGAAGCTCTGTCCCCAAGAAACACCGGCTCCCCCTCCCCGCCCCCAGCCCCTGGCCACCTCTCCATTCTGCCTTCTGTCTCTGCAAATGTGATACTCTAGGAATCTCAATGACTGGCTTATTTCACTGAGCATAACGTCCTCAGGGTTAATTTATGTTTCAGCATATGTCAGGATTTCCTTCCTTTTTAAGGCTGAATAATATTCCATTGTATCTTCTATTCTCTGGAAATTGTGCATAAGGCTGCTATGAAAACAGGCATACAAATATTTCTTCAAGACCCTGCCTTCAGTTTGGGTCTATATCCAGAAGTGGGGTTGCTGGATCACATGGTAATTCTATTTTTAGTTTTGTGAGGAACTGCTAGTCTGTTTCCACAGCAGCTGCACGGTTTGGCATTCCTTGCAACAGCACACAACAGTTCCAATTTCTCCACATCCTCACTAACACTATTTTCTGGGTTTTTTGTTTTTAATAGCAGCCAATCCAATGGGTGTGAGGTGGGATCTCATTGTGTTTTGATTGGCATTTCCCTAATAACTACTGATGCTGAATATCTTTTCATGTCCTTATTGGCCATTTCTATATCTTCTTTGAAACAATGTCTTTCACGTTTTTGAACTGGGTCTTTTGTTTCTTTGTTGTTGAGTTTTAGGAGTTCTCTCTATAATCTGGATATTAATCCCTTGTCAGATGTATGATTTGCAAATACTTACTCCCATTCTGTACAACACCTTTTCACTACTGATGTTGTCTTTTGATGCAGAAATTTTTTAAATTTTCAAGAAGTTCAATTTGTCTTTTTCTTTTGTTGCCTGTGCCTTTGGTATCAAATCCAAGAAATCAATACCAAATCCAATGTCATAGGTTTTGCCTATGTTTTCTTCTAAGAATTTTATAGTTTCAGGCCTTACATTTAGGTCTTTGATCCATTTTCAGTTAATTTTTGCACACGGTATAAGATAAGGGCCCAAATTCATTATTTTCCATGTGGACATACCGTTTACCTGGTACCACTTGTTGGGAAGTCTGAATGAATGGTGTGGGCATGTGGGCACCCTCGTCAAAAACCATTTGATGAGGCCAGGCGTGGTGGCTCACGCCTGTAATCCCAGCACTTTGGGAGGCCGAGGCAGGCGGATCACCTGAGGTCAGGATTTCAAGACCACCCTGACCAACATGGAGAAACCCCATCTCTACTAAAAATACAAAATTAGCCGGGCGTGGTGGTGCATGCCTGTAATCCCAGCTACTCAGGAGACTGAGGCTTGAGAATCGCTTGAACCTGGGAGACAGAGGATGCAGTGAGCCAAGACCGCACATTGGACTCCAGCCTGGGCAAAAAGGGTGAAACTCCATCTCAAAAAAAAAAAAAACCATTTGACTACATTATGTGAGGGTTTATTTCTGGGCTCTCTACTCTTCTTTAAAAAAAAAATAAAGAAAAAATGTTTAATTGGCTCATGGTTCTTCAGGCTGTGGGCTCTCTAAAAAAAATTCAAAATTAAAATTTTGAAAGGGCAGACTTTAGACCACTGTCTGCCCTTTCATTTATACTCCAATAAAAAGAATCCAGGCCAGGCACAGTGGAGCACATCTGTTGTCCCAGCTACTCAGAAGGTCAAGGCGGGAGGATCACTTAAGTCCAGGAGTTTGAGTTCATCCTGGGCAACACAGCCAGAATCCATCTCTTAAAAACAAAAAACAAAACAAACAAACAAACAAAAAAAAACCAGCCAGCTGTGGTAGCTCACGCCTGTAATCCCAGCACTTTGGGAGGTGGATGACGAGGTCAGGAGTTTGAGATCAGCCTGGCCAACACAGTGAAATCCCGTCTCTACTAAAAATACAAAAAATTAGCCGGGTATGGTGGCACATGTCTGTAGCCCCAGCTACTCAGGAGGCTGAGGCAGGAGAATCACTTGAACCTGGGAGGCAGAGGTTGCAGTGAGCCGAGATCACACCACTGCACTCCAGCCTGGGGAACAGTGCAAAACTCCATCTCCCAAAAAAAAAAAAAAAAACCACTTTAAAAACATCTTTTAAAGAATGAGTAAACAGGCCAGGTGCAGTGGCTCAGCCTGTAATCCCAACACTTGGAGAGGCTGAGGTGGGCGGATCACTTGAGGTCAGGAGTTCAAGACCAGCCTGACCAATATGGTGAAACCCTGTCTCTACTAAAAATGCAAAAATTAGGTGGGCGTGGTGGTGGGCGCCTGTAGTCCTAGCTACTCAGGAGGCTAAGGCAGGAGAATCGCTTGAACCTGGGAGGCAGAGGTTGCAGTGAGCCAAGATAGCACCACTGCACTCCAGCCTGGGCAACAGACAGAGACTCCTTCTCAAAAAAAAAAAAAAAAAAGGGAATGAGTAAATAAAAACCAGGAACCTTTGGGAACTGCATTTCATAATGCAGGAAATTCAGAGCAGAAATCCAATGATATTTTAAACACCACCTCACATTCTCTCTCTCCACATAAGTCAGCACCAGGGAAGGAGAAAGGCGTTACTTGGGGCTGCCACTGGGACTAAGGATGCTCCAGTCCCCCATCCCCATGGCCGCACCTGATGGTTCCCGTGGGGGAGGGCAGAGGGCTGATGAGGTGGGCCATGGTGTCTGGAATGTTGATGGTCAGGGGCGAGATGTGTGGCTGTACGGCCTTCACTGGAGACTCAGACGCCTCCTGCTTCTCTCTCTTCTCGCTGGACAGGGCAGTGAACGTTATCTTGATGTTTGTGCTCGGGAACCTGAATGTGCACCTGGAAAAGAAAAGCCCACCATCAGCACCTTTTGCTGTTCCAGCCGGGGCAGGGCAGAGTCCCCACATGTCCCCACAACACTGGAGCAGCTGAGAACATGGATGCAACACTTCCAAGCTCAGCTCACCGTGTTATTATAAGTCGCCAAACAAACAAAACCACAACTAAGGTGCTTCATGACTTTAAAAACACCAGTAAGAAAACGCTACTTAGACCAGCCATACAGGAAAATAAAAAGCACAGACAAGGCCAGGTATCGTAGCTCATGCTTGTAATCCCAGCACTTTGGGAGGCTGAGGCAGGCCGATGACTTGGGTCCAGGAGGTCAAGACCAGCCTGGGCAACACAGCAAGACCCCACCTCTACAAAGACTACAAAAAATTAGCCAGGCGTGGTGGTGCATGCCTGTGGTCCCAGATACTCAGGAGGCTGAGGCAGGAGGATTGCTTGAGCCCAGAAGGTCGAGGCTGCAGTGAGCTATGATAGTGCCACTGCACTTCAGTCTGAGCAAGAGGCCCTGTCTCCCCCGACCAAAAAAAAAAAAAGCATAGACTCAAAAAGACTCAAATACTACTTAGTTTACATGACTGCTTTTAAACTAAGTGCCTGAATATGTTTTGGGTCTTATAGTAGACTTAAAACAAAACTCAAATACCACCCAGTGTCTATTTTTCCTTTCAAAACAAACATACAAATGTATCTGGGTCACAAAGCAATAACTTTGTGGTAGTTTTCTTATTTAAGAAAAATAATTCCTTTCCTTTTTTTTTTTAGAAACAGAGTTTCGTTCTTGTCGCCCAGAATGGAGTGCAATGGTGCTATCTCTGCTCATTGCAACCTCCACCTCCCAGGTTCAAGCGATTCTCCTGCCTCAGCCTCCTGAGTAGCTGGGATTACAGGCATGCACTACCACGCCCGGCTAATTTCGTATTTTTAGCAGAGACGGGGTTTCTCCATGTTGGTCGGGCTGGTCTCGAACTCGCGACCTCACGTGATCCGCCCACCTCGGCTTCCCAAAGTGCTGGGATTACAGGCGTGAGCCATGGCGCCCAGCCTCCTTTTCTTTAAATAAAAAATCCTATCACCCTTTTCACTGTTGGCTCTGGCAAACAAAGAGCCAGGGACATTAAGCTACAGGGGAGAAGGTTTGCAGTGAACACTCTGGTTCACACTTCATGTAGCTTCCTTGACATGATTCAAGTAAAACATAACCAAACAAAGGTCATGCAAGCCAAATACCTTCAAAGAATAAAATTTAAAAATAGCCATAGACTCTGAGAGTCTCTAAGTCCCCACCACGAACCCAGTTCAACAACAGCCTATTTGTATGTCCACAAACAACGCAAACAAGTGGCCGGCCACACTCAGCCCAGCACACATCCGCGCACCCGGCGCGGGACTCAGCCCGGCTCACATCTGTGCGCCCAGTGCGGGCACCCCCCCCCCCCAACAGAGGAAGACTCTGTCCACCACCCTGCCCTAGGGGCACCTCCAGCCTGTGGAGGTCGGAGGCTACGCCATGGCCCTCCCGCTTCAGGCACCTGCCCAAGAAGGGTCCAGCCTGTGGAGGTCGGAAGCTACGCCATGGCCCTCCCGCTTCAGGGACGTCTCCAAGAAGACACTTCCCAACCCTCTAGCCGGGGTCGGGAAGGACAGCACCTGAGGGGTTTCAACACTCGCTTCTTTGCCGTGCTGCCGCTGCCTCCCCTCGCCCTTCTCCTTTCCCCGTGAGGCACACGCAGGACGGCCAGTCCTCCCCACGGTCTTGGTGTACAGAGCAGACCCTCACAGAGTGGCCACCTCCTGGATGTCCAGGACACCAGACTCTGGTTCCCACTTTGCAGCACTCCTTTCCAACCCCTTACCGGAGCCTCCTCTCTTTACCGCCCGATGTTCAAGGTTCAATGCTCCAGGCCTCGACTCCAGTTTCTCCCTCTACCCTCACTCCTGGCTCATCCAGGCCTCAGACCTTGAACTCTACACATATACCCAAATGGCTCCAAAATCCCCACTTCCAGCTCCAGGGTCTCCCTACACTCTGGCCCCTCATATGCATCAACACTGGGGGTCTCAAACAAGACTCCCAGCCCACGCTCCTCTCCCAGGACTCCCCTCAGCAGTGACAGGCAGCACTCAGGTGCTCAGGCCAGAATACAGGAGTCCATCCACCAGTGCCATCAGCTCTGGCCTTCAAAACGCGCCCATCATGAAAACTGAAAAAGCTTCTCTGCCAAAACCCCTGTTAAGACACTGAAAAAGTAAGCCACCTTCTTTGCTTGTTCACCTTCAGGAGAAAACGTCTGAAGGCTGGGCAGTGACTCACATCTGTAATCCTAGCACTTTGGGAGGCTGGGGAGGGAGGATTGCTTGAGTGCAGGAATTTGAGACTAGCCTGGCCAACAAAGACCCCTATGACCCAGGCTGGAGAGCAGTGGCACGATCACTGACCCACTGCAGCCTCGAACTCACAGGCTCAAGCGATCCTCCGCATCAACTTCCTGAGTAGCTGGGACTAGAGGCGCATGCCACCATGCCAGGCTGTTTCCCAGGCTGGTCTCAAACTCCTGGGCTCAAGTGATCCACCCACCTCAGTCTCCAAAAGTGCTGAAATTACAGGCGTGAACCACCATGCCTGATCTCGTCTATAAATGATATATTTAAGACAACGATCTTTTGGTCTATAAAGCTCTATTTTATTTTACATCCTTGCAAATTATTAACTGAATCAACGAAGACCAAGAGAGAAGCAGACCACTGGTATCGAAACCAATGGAAACAAAGGAAAAATAAAAAGAATCAGTCAAACAAAAGACAGCAAAATGCTTCCAGCTGCACCACAGCGCCAGGGTGGAACCGCCGGAGCCCAGGAGCTCAAAGCCAGCCTGCGCCACACAGTGAGACCGCTTCCCTTAAATAACAGCGAGGAGGGCCGGGCACGGTGGCCCACTCCTGTAATCCTAGCACTTTGGGAAGCCAAACAGGAGGATAGTTTGAGACCAGCCTGTGCCACACAGTGAGACCGCTTCCCTTAAATAACAGCGAGAAGGGCCGGGCGCAGTGGTTCATGCCTGTAATTCCAGGACTTTGGGAGGCCGAGGCAGGCAGATCATGAGGTCAGGAGATCGAGACCATCCTGCCTAACACTCTGAAACCCCATCTCTACTAAAAATACAAAAAAAAATAAGCCAGGCATGGTGGCACACACGTGTAATCCCAGCTACTCGGGAGGCTAAGGCAGGAGAATCTCTTGAACCCGGGAGGCAGAGGCTGCAGCGAGCCGAGATCCTGCCACTGCACTCCAGCCAGGGCGACAGAGCGAGACTCCATTAAAAAAAAAAAAAAAAAAAAAAAAGTCTATCCAGAGCAAAGATCTGCAACACTTCACATTCAGTGGCATTCACTGCTGGCTTTAGACTTTCCAGATGCAAACACCTGTTTATCACTACATTTTAGAAGAAAACCGGCACTTAATCTCTCAAGTCACCCACTTGGCCCTCTTCCAGGTGTACTTTACCTCTTTTCCTTCCTGCTCTAAAGCTTTTTAATAAGCTTTCAGTGCTGCTCTAAATAAATACATAATAAATAATAAAACTGATCACCTGCCATGTATCTGAGATCCGACTGAGCTTAGCTCCCTTTCAACAGACATTACTTCTAGAGTCTGCAAACAAGGGGGGTGGGTGGGGGGTGGTGTGTGTGTACAGCTGTCACCTCCTCTGAGGACAACAAGGAAGACCAGCCTGGCACGAGGTTCCAGCAGGATCTGAAAGCCACCCTAGACTCCCACCCATCATCTCCTGAGTCCTCCTCACTGCTAATGAGCAGCCCGTCCCACGTGGGGACGTGTTCCCAGGACCACCCACCCTCTCATACCAGCCTAACGGCTTAAAACCCAGGGGTTCTCACGGCAGAACCAGGTGGACACAAACAGGGCAAGGTGCTTGGATGCCAAGTGGCTCCGCCATCTCTGCTGGGCTCTGCACACGAAGCTGGCTCTGAGCTGAGCGCAGCTGTGGAGTCCGCACGGTCGCCAGCCAGTAGCAGAGATGGGAAGAACAGCGAGCACCAACCGCGCAACCTCAGACTGAAGCTCAGTGGAAAACCGCACTCCACATCCACATACAGACACTCAGGACACCAAATCAAACACTGTACTACTAAGCCAGGCTCAGTAGCTCACGCCTGTCATCCCAGCACTTTGGGAGGCCGAGGCAGGAGGATCCCCTGAGGTCAGAAGTTCGAGACCAGCCTGACCAACACGGTGAAACCCCATTGCTACTAAAAACATAAAAATTAACCAGCGTGGGCCAGGCGCAGTGGCTCACACCTGTAATTCCAGCACTCTGGGAGACCAAGTTGGGCAGATCACGAGGTCAGGAGATCGAGACCATCCTGGATAACACGGTGAAACCCCGTCTCTACTGAAAAAAACACAAAAAACTAGCCAGGCGTGGTGGCAGGCACCTGCAGTCCCAGCTACTCGGGAGGCTGAGGCAGGAGAATGGCATGAACCCAGGAGGCGGAGCTTGCAGTGAGCCGAGATCACGCCACTGCACTCCAGCCTGGGCGACAGAGCTCTCAAAAAAAAAAAGATGTAAAGATGTGAACAGTGACTTCTTCCCACAGACACATCTGGTGTCCACTGTGCTATATTTATTCCATGTCCACCCTGAACTTCTGCAGAAAGCCCAGCCTTGACCAGCAGAACAGACTCCCCGCCGGTCCTCCCAGGAGAGGGCTCCAGCAGTGTGCACAATTCCAACAGGGAAAGAGGCGATCTCTTCCTCCCCTGTGGGGGCAGTAGCCCTGGAATGATGGGGAACCCAATGTCCTCTTAGTGTTTCGTCTGCTTCTCACACAACAGGACCACACCCCCATATTATCTGTGAGCTCGTACTTCTCCGTAGAGTTACGCACAACGTCCTCGTCCAGACCCGGCTGAGTGCTCTCCGCGGACAGGGCACTGCCACACTGAGCCATCCTTCCCTTGCATCGGTTCTGTTTCCTTTTCGTTTTCAGGCAGGGTCTCGCTCCGTAGCCCAGGTTGGAGTGCAGCAACGCAATCACAGCTCACTGCAGCCTCAACTTCCCAGGCTCAAGGGATCCTCCTGTCTCAGCCTCGAGCAGCTAGGACTACAGGCACACGCCACCATGTTCAGCTAATTTTTATTATTATCATTTTTTGTAGAGACAAGGTCTCCCAATGTCACCCAGGCTGGTCACAAACTCCTGGGCTCAAGTGATCCTCCCGTCTTGGCCTCCCAAAGTACTGGAAGCACAGGCATGGGCCACTGTACCCAACCCCAATGTTTCCAATTAAAGACAACAGACAATTAGTGCTGTGAGGACATTCCACTGCAGAGGATCCTCAGGAGCACAGGGCATTTAAAATGAGGAAAGGGGCCAGACGCGGTTGCTCACACCTGTAATCCCGGCATTGAGGGAGGCCAAAGCAGGAAGATCACTTGAGCCCAGGAGTTCAAGACCAGCATCAGTAACATAGCAAGACCCCCACATATCTACAAAAAATGTTTAAAAACTTACCCAGGATGGTGGTGCACACCTGTAGTTCCAGTGACTCAGAGGCTGAGGCAGGAGGATTGCTTGACCCTGGGAGTTTGAGGCTGCAGTGAGCTGTGATCATACCACTGCACTCTAGCCTGGACAACAGAGCAAGATCCCATTTCTAGTTTTTTTAAAAAAGGCAGAGGCCGGACACAGTGGCTCACACCTGTAATCCTCAGCACTTTTGGAGGCCAAGGCAGGTGGATCACCAGAGGTCAGGAGTTCAAGACCAGCCTGGCCAACACGGTGAAACACCATGTCTACTAAAAATACAAAAATCAGCCAGGCATGGTGGCACGCGCATGTAATCCCAGCTACTTGGGAGGCTGAGGCACGAGAATCGCTTGAACCTGGGGAGCGGAGGTTGCAGTGAACTGAGATTGTGCCACTGCACTCCAGCCTGGGTGACAGTGTGAGATTCTGTCTCAAAAATATATATATATAAAAAATAAAAATAGGCCAGGCACGGTGGCTCACGCCTGTAATCCCAGCACTTTGGGAGGCTGAGGCGGAAGGATCACCTGAGGTCAGGAGTTCGAGACCAGCCTGACCAACATGGAGAAACCCCATCTCTATTAAAAATACAAAATTAGCCAGGCGTGGTGGTACCTGCCTGTAATCCCAGCTACTTGGGAGGCTGAGGCAGGAGAATTGCTTGAGCCTGGGAGGTGGAGGTTGCAGTGAGCTGAGATCATCACACCATTGCACTCCAGCCTGGGCAACAAGAGCAACTCTGTCTCAAAAAAAAAATAAAAAATAATAATAATAAAATAAAAATAAAAGAGAGGCTGGACACGGTGGCTCACGCCTGTCATCCCAGCACTTTGGGAGGCCGAAGCAGGTGGATCACCTGAGGTCAGGAGTTCAAGACTAGCCTGGCCAACATGGTGAGACCCTGACTCTACTAAAAATACAAAAATTAGCCAGGTGTGGTGACACGTGCCTGTAATCCCAATTACTCAGGAGGCTGAGGCTGAGGCTGAAGAATCGCTTGAACCCAGGAGGTGGAGGCTGCAGTGAACCAAGATCCTGCCACTGCACTCTAGCCTGGGTGACAAAGACTCCGTCTCAAAAAAAAATAAAAATAAAAATAAAAAAAAGAGGCAGGAAGGTGCTGCTGGCCATCTGCTCACAGCCTGACCAAAAGCATGGGGATGTGCTGTTCGTCCTCCATCCTGGCTGCCACAGAACAAGCCCAGCCCCAGCCCCAGCCCCAGCCCCAGCCCCAGCAAGGTGAGGGAGGTGCTCTGTGTTTTCATCTAAGTGTGAGCCTCTCCACGTTGATGAGCCATGGAATACATTTAAAAGCTATCCAGATGTCCTGGTAACTTGCTTTTTTTTTTTTTAGACGGAGTCTCACTCTATTGCCCAGACTGGAGTGCAATGGAACAATCTTGGCTCACTGCAACCTTCGACTCCCTGGTTCAAGCGATCCTCCTGCCTCAGTCTCCTGAGTAGCTGGGATTACAGGCGCCCGCCACCATGCCCTGCTAATTTTTGTATTTTTAGTAGAGATGGGGTTTCACCATGTTGTCCAGGATGGTCTCAATCTCCTGACCTCATGATCCGCCCACCTCGGCCTCCCAAAGTGCTGGGATTACAGGCGTGAGCCACCGTGCCCGGCCAACTTGCTTTTTCTTCATCTAGATTCTGACTGCGTCAGTGAGAGTTCCTGTGTGTAAAAATGCATCAGTTGCATACGCACGATACACACACTTTTCTGTATAGACAGTATACTTCAATAGACAGTTTAAAAAAATAAAAGCCGTCCATGCAGATGGATGTAGAAATGAGCAAAATGTGGATCATATGACAGGCGTGGGGGTTCACTGTGCCATTTTCTATGCTTTTGTGCTGACCATGACCTATTTCTTTTTTTTTTTTTTTTTTTTTTTTTTTTTTTGTGATAGAGTCTTGCTTTCGCCCAGGCTGGAGTGCAGTGGCACAATCTCGGCTCACTGCAAGCTCCGCCTCCCAGGTTCACGCCATTCTCCTGCCTCAGCCTCCCGAGTAGCTGGGACTACAGGCGCCCGCCCCCACGCCAATTTTTTTTTTTTTTTGTATTTTTAGTAGAGACGGGGTTTCACCATGTTAGCCAGGATGGTCTCGATCTCCTGACCTTGTGATCCGCCCGCCTCAGCCTCCCAAAGTGCTGGGATTACAGGCGTGAGCCACCGCGCCCGGTGACAGTGACCTATTTCTTTTACCTGGGTTGTGACTGCATGGACACCCACACTATAATTATAATTTATTTGAATGTAGGTTACATTCGAAACAAGATACATTAAAACTGTTTTCAGGTTCTCTATGGAGTTCAGTTACCTTGGAAATCCTTGTTCCCCTTTTCAAAACTAGAAATTAAAAACTGTGGAATAATTTTGGATGAGTTGCCTCATGACACTAAAAAGAGCCGCAAAATATTACAACAGAACGGAGGTGGGGGCGAAACCAGATGCCGGGGGTTAGATCCTCCTGGGACCTGTGTCTTCCCCACATGGCTGCAGGGCAATGAGCTCAGTGCAGGTCCACATGCAGCTGGTGTCTTGGCTAGAAGGGCCCCTGACTTCCCAAGGCCTGAGGTGCCTCTTCCCTGGCCCTGCAACTTTCCTCCACAGAAGCACTTGGGGTCAATGATGGAGTTTAAGTGTCTGGAAGACACTAGGCTGATGAGGGGGCTGTCTCATACAGTCAGCCTATCCCAATTCCTGGCACTGTGTGTTCCTAAAAGTACTTTATTTGGGGCTGGGAGCAGTGGCTCACGCCTGTAATCCCAGCACTTTGGGAGGCCGAGGCGGGCAGATCACCTGAGGTCAGGAGTTCGAACCCAGCCTGGCCAATATGGTGAAACGCTGCCACTATTAAAAACAAAAAAAAAATTAGTCGGGCATGGTGGCCCACACCTGTAATCCCAGCTACTTGGGAGGCTGAGGCAGGAAGAATTGCTTGAACGTGGGAGGCGGAGGTTGCAGTGAGCCCAGATCGAGCCACTGCACTCCAGCCTGGGCGACAGAGCGAGACTCTGTCTTGGAAAAAAAGAAAAAAAAAAAAAACCTCACTGGATTCTGCAAGATTTGTAATGAAGCTCAGTATAGACTAGGAATCTGTTTACAAGCCTGAGACGTCTGACCAAAAATGGAAGGAAGGGACAGGTTAAGAGATGCACTACAGGAAAGGAACACTAGGTGGCAGAAAGCAGAATGGCAAATCCCTAAGTAAAGTTTCAAACCTGTTCAGAGGGCCCTGATAAAAATTCCATTTCCTTCACTTGAACAAACCAACAACTTAAACTGGATTCAGTGTCGCAAACATCCTTCTCCCAGCCTGGCTCTCTCATTCTCCTGTTCTAGTTTCTTGTGGGAATGGAAATTATTACAAATGCAACGTGCAGGCCAATGGTCTGGAGTTTATGAATTAACAGACTCACGAAGAAGCTCTAAGGACTCCAAAGACAGGTTCCTTAGGAACAAAGCCAGACTTTGTTGCAAGACTTCAGTATTAACCAACATCATACAGCCCCACAGAAATGAATCAGATTTAAATAAGTCCCCAACTTTAAGGAGAGTTATATTTAGTGATGTCTCTTTATGCAAAGCAAGTTCAACCAACTAGCCGATTTGTCAAACTATTCCCTACAACCAGTTTCAAAAAAGTACTTGAGGCCACGTCCGGTGGCTCACGCCTGTAATCCCAGCACTTTGGGAGGCCGAGGTGGGCGGATCACAAGCTCAGGAGTTCGAGACCATCCTGGCTAACATGGTGAAACCCCATCTCTACTAAAAATACAAAAATTACCCAGGCGTGGTGGTGGGCGCCTGTAGTCCCAAATACTCGGGAGACTGAGGCAGGAGAATGGCATGAACCTGGGAGGCGGAGACTGCAGTGAGCTGAGATCACGCCACTGCCCTCCAGCCTGGCAACAGAGCAAGACTCCATCTCGGGAAATAAAAAAAAAAGTACTTGAAAGCAGCCCCACAGCCCATCCACCATCTGCGTCACAGCAACGGGACAAACGTCCGTCTGGGACAATCTCCACCACAGGCGCAACTGCTGTGTCCCTGGAGCTTAGCCGATTCTAGTGGTGGTTCATGTCTTAAGGGCTCAGCACACATCCCAAGGTCTAGGGGCCTCTTCGCAGCCACGCCTGTGAATGTGGATCTCATGAACACAGACCCAGAGTCAGACCCCTCCAGAAACATCCAAAGTCCCCGAAAACCATGTTTGTGCTTCTGTGGAGTGACGGCATGGCTGGGAACCTGCATAACAAAAGCCCCTGCCATTCAAGCAGGTCATGTGTCCTTGACATGCAGAGGAGACAAGGCCAGGGCCAACACAGCTCAGGAGCAGCAGGTCTGGTCCCAGGCAGTCCCACTCTGAGAGGCAAGCACAGAAGAGCTGCCTTTGGCCTTGGCACCTGCCTGGGCTGTGGCCTCCAGGATGGCCCTGCTTCCCCCAGACTCCTGACGTCCTTTTCTGCCGTGACACAGATAACTCAGGCGACTCAGAAAAAATGCTCCATGGGTGAGCTCCTTTCTGCCTGTTTAAAAAACAAGTCTGGCTGGGCACGGTGGCTCACGCCTGTAATCCCAGCACTTTGGGAGGCCTTGGCAGGCAGATCACCTGAGCTCAGGAGTTCGAGATCAGCCTGGCCAACATAGTGAAACCCCATCTCTACTAAAAATACAAAAATCAGCCAGGTGTGGTGGCGCGTGACTGTAATCCCAGCTACTCCGGAGGCTGAGGCAGGAGAATCGCTTGAACTCAGGAGGCAGAGGTTGCAATGAGCCGAGATCATGTCACTGCACTGCAGCCTCGGCAACAGAGCAAGACTGTCTCCAAAAATAAAAAAGAAAGAAAATCTAACAAACTCTTTCCAGTCTGTGATTTTACGTAACGGGGTGACCTACAGAGCACCTCTCCGGTTTGGAGCCTTGCAGAGCACGCGGAGACGCTTGAGCAGAGTGGCTGCAGAGGTCACTCTGCACTCCAGAGCCCTGTTTGGGATGCTGCTCTTCAACCACCTCAGCCAAGTGCTCACAGCCAGCATCATTGTCCACGGCACAAAACGACACCAGGGTAACACGGCCATGGTGCCCTGAGAGGACACAACTTCACCTCTAGAGTTCCTGCCAAAGGTAACTAACCTAGATCTAATCAAGAGGAAACATCCAACAAATCCTAACTGAGGGACGTTCGACGAAATCACTAATGCTGTGCTCTTCAAAAATATCAATGTCACAGAAGACAAAGGCTGAGGATGGCCACACATAGAAGAGGATTAAAGCGACAGGAGGGTTCAGTGTGACACAGGGCCTATCAGTGAAGGGCAGGAGCGACGGTGGGTGAAGCCTGGAGAAGGTCGGCCATTAGGACACAGTTGCCATAGCAGTTCTCACCAGGGCAGGCACAGAAGAGGATGCCTGCAGGGAAAGCGTCACCTTTGCAACTGCCCCTCGAATGTTTAAGGAGAGGGAGAGAGACTGAACATGCGGGTTTGGTGAAACACTAACGGAGTGGGAATCTGGGAAAACGGAAGTTCTCTGTACTATTTTTGCAATTTTGCTTTAATTCTGAAGTAATTTCAAAAGAAAAAGAAAAACATTTGTAAGCCTTCAACATGTCCAATGCAAACCTCAACACTAGTCTAGGCCTGTGGCCAGGCTGGGAGCGTGTGCCTTGGTCCACCGCGAGGGGAGTGCGGACATGGAGAGTGTTTGGAAGCCACTTCATTTTTTGAATAATTTTATGGTGCCTCACACCCTGAGGACTCCACAAGGGGGAGCCCAGGGCCCAAGGCTGCCACCACCCAGAGTGCAGCAGGTGCTTCCCCACAGTCCAAGGACCTGCCCCAGAAAGGGGTGTGCAGGAGGTGGAGCACCGTGCCAGGCCCAGGAATGGGCTCCCCTGCCCCTCCTTGGAGGAGGTCTGAGTGGCAAGTGTCATCTTAAAGCACATAAATTACAAATAAACAGCTTGACAGAGCTGAAGACCGTTTAAGACAATGAGAAATACATTAGAAACCCTAAATAGCCCACACTTTGTCATCAGCAATAAACCTCAAGCAGCAACTATCACCTCAGCCTCAAATTTTTATGTTTTTTATTTTTATTTTTTAGATAGACTCGCTCTGTTGCCCAGGCTGGAATGCAGTGGCGTGATCTCAGCTCATTGCAACCTCCATCTCTCAAGTTCAAGTGAGTCTCCTGCCTCAGTTTCCCAAGTAGCTAAGACTACAAGCACATGTCCCCACACCTGGCTAATTTTTTGTAATTTTTTTTAGTACAGACAGGGTTTCACCATGATGGCCAGGCTGGTCTCAAACTCCTGACCTCAGGTGATCCACCCGCCTTGACCTCCCAAAGTGCTGGGATTGCAGGCATGAGCCACCGTGCCTGGCCAGCTTTAACTTCTTATCCTTCAAAACTCATGACATGCCATCATGTTTATTTTTATTTTTTTTTTAATTTTTTTTTTTGAGATGGAGTCTCGCTCTATCGCCCAGGCTGGAGTGCAGAGGTGCAATCTAAGCTCACTGCAAACTCCGCCTCCCAGGTTCACGCCATTCTCCTGCCTCAGCCTCCCGAGTAGCTAGGACTACAGGTGCCCGCCACCACGCCCGGCTAATTTTTTGGATTTTTAGTAGAGACGGGGTTTCACCGTGTTAGCCAGGATGGTCTCAGTCTCCTGAGCTTGTGATCCGCCCGCCTCGGCCTCCCAAAGTGCTGGGATGACAGGCGTGAGCCACCACTTCCGGCCTTTCAGCACAAATCTTCTAACCTAAGCCTCCGAAGCTTAAAACAGGCTTTGACACCTAACGACCCGGCTCAGTACTGGCTTGCAAGTGTCATCTTTCAGTGACGCACGCTTACTGCACGCAGTGCTTCACAGTGACTTAGAAACCACCTAGTTTTGACACAGAACTTTTCCATACAGACAAGGCCGGTTTCAGGCTTGTGTGGCCAGCACAGCTGCACAAAGCCCACCTCAGGGCCGGCGCCGTGGCCCACACCTGTCATCCCAGCACTTTGGGAGGCTGAGGCAGGCGGATCACAAGGTCAGAAGATCGAGACCATCCTGGCTAACATGGTGAAACCCTGTCTCTATTAAAAAATACAACAAAAATTAGCCGGGCGTGGTGGCGGGCGCCTGTAGTCCCAGCTACTCGGGAGGCTGAGGCAGGAGAATGGCGTGAACCCGGGAGGCGGAGCTTGTAGTGAGCCGAGATTGCGCCACTGCACTCCCGCCTGGGGGACAGAGCAAGACTCCATCTCAAAAAAAAAAAAAAAAAAGCCCGCCTCAGAAGGGCCAGGCATGGAGTTTAATGCCTTACTGCCAACATCTTGAAATCCCTAATCATTTATCTTTAAATTGGTGTTCTGTAGTGAAGTTCAATGGGACACAGCCCATCTTGCTCCTGCACCCCCTTCTTCCCCCACAACTGTCCAATGTCCCTGGTGGGGTGTGAACAGGGGTGCCTTGCTTCAGACACGTATTCCTGGGAAAGCTTGAAGTCAAGTGGCAAATTAAAAACACTATGGCAGGCCAGGAATCCACAGAAGACATAAAGAAGCTCTTTGTGTGTGTGTGTGTGTGTTTGTTTAGAGACAAGGTCTTGCAGTGTCGCCCAGGCTGGAAGGCAGTGGCACAATCATGGCTCACTGCAAGCCCAGGCTGAAGCAATCCTCCCGCCTCAGCCTCCTGAATAGCTGGGACTACAGGCACGTACCACCACACCTGCCTGTTTTGTTTTTGTAGAGATGGGGGTCTCACTGTATTTCTGAAGCTGGTCTCAAATTCCTGGGCTCAAGTGATGCACCCACCTCAATCTCCCAAAGTGCTGGCATTACAGGCATGAGCCACTGGGCCCGGCCTTTTCCTGCTTTCTCAACTACAGGTCCCATGTTTTCATTCTGCACTGGACCCCACATGTTATGAAGCTGGCTCTATATTCTAAGGTATAAATATTAGGAAATGGCGGATGTCCTCAGGCAGATCCGCTTCTGTAGGCACATATCAGGGAGGCTCGATTCCAGAAACATTCATAACCAGGAGGCTAGTGTTAGGTGTTCCAACAACGCATGTGATGAGCAGCTCTGTAAGTGGCTATCGAGCATCCAGAGTTTTCCTTTGGCTTGGAGAGTAATTTGGGGGGTTTTGGCCCCCATCTCCCATTTGCTGCACTGCAACTGTAATAAGGAGAGTAATTTGGGGGGTTTTGCCCCCCATCTCCCATTTGCTGCACTGCAACTGTAATAAGGAGAATAATTTTGGGGTTTTGGCCCCCCTCTCCCATTTGCTGCACTGTAACTGTAATAAGGAGAATAATTTTGGGGGTTTTGGCCCCTCTCCCATTTGCTGTACTGTAACTGTAATAAGGAGAATAATTTTGGGGGTTTGGCCCCCCTCTCCCATTTGCTGTACTGTAACTGTAATAAGGAGAATAATTTTGGGGGTTTTGGCCCCTCTCCCATTTGCTGCACTGTAACTGTGATAAGGAAGTTGCTGGACAGGGCTGCCAGGTCTGCAGTTCGGTGTGGCAACTTGGTGTTGGGGTAAAGGCTGGCTCAGGAGCACACACCCTCACACTTAAGATCCTCACACTCGGAGCTACAGGCAAGGGCCACACCCAGAAGAGGAGGGAGGTGGACTTCAAGTGGCCTCGTAAAACAAAGACACATTCTCCTATAATGTTCAGTCATTCGGGATGTGTTTTAGACTAAGGAAGATTTCCACTCCAGGTCCTGCCAGAGGCTGCTGTGAGAAACTATCACGCTGGTCCTCTCATCTGGATCACCAGACAACAGCTGGGGATCTTAGTGCAGATGGCAGGGTCAGGCTCTCTGGAGGTCTCACGGGTGGTGGCAGTGGAAAGTGCACAGCCCTCCTGTGCCGATGCATCGAGACGCAACCGCTCCTCGGAGGTGAGAATGCTCTTGAGATCATTCTACCCCACACCCGCCCAAATGACATTCACGTAAAACCAAAAAGGGCTCTCTGCCAAACACCCATGCCTCCCCCAGGGTGAGGTCACGGGAGAGGCTGTGGGACAGCGCCTGGGTCCTTTCCTTCCTCTATTCAGTCCACAGCAATTCCTTCTGCTAATTCAGCTGAGCAGTAGCCTCCAAATGCTTTTGACTGTACACCTCTAAGTGAAAAATTAAGTAGAAATCAATATTTGAATATATGAAATACAGTATCAACAAACAGGGCAAAGGATGGAATGGGAGAAAATATTCACAATACACCTATCTCACAAAGGACTTCTGTTCAGGGTATATAAACAAAGCTTAATATTCAGTAAGAAGGTAAACAACCCATTAAAAATGGTCATTCACTACAGATGACATAGAAATGGCCAAAAGCACATGTAGAGATGCTCAACAGCAAGGCAAATTAAACCACGGTTGATGTAAATGATCCAAAGTATTAAAAAAAAATACACATACTGACATACCACTACACACCCAGATAATGGCTAATATAAGAAGACTGACAAAACCAAGTGCTGACAAGGATATGGAGCAACTAGCTGTCACATACTGCCAGCAAGAATACAAACTGGTGCAACTGCTCTGGAAAAGTGGGTCAGCTTTTCTGTGAAATAAATGCACACTGACCACCTGGCCCCACCACTCGTACTTGTAGTTATCTGCCAAGAGAAGTGAGAGCACCAGTTCACACAAATGTGACTCCTACACAGACGTTCACAGCAGCGTGATGCACAGCAGCCCAGACTGGACACTGTCTAGACAGTCAGCCGTAGGTGAATGGATCCACAAATGGGGGTACATCCATAGAAGAGAATCCACTCAGCTGCCGCCCAGCAATCGCAAAGGAAAACTGCCCACACAAGTAACACTGATGAACCTCAAATATACCATGTGAATAAGAGCGAGCCAAACACCAGTATATTCTACATGATTCCATGTTTATGAAACCCTGGAAGAAAACACTTCTACGGGAGGGGAGGCACAGAGTTGAGTGTCTGGGACTCTCCAGGGGGATGAGGCTGACTGCCAAGGGGCAAGAGGAAGGTTTGGGGTGAGGGGTAATATCTGGATCTATTATTTTGATTGTGATTTCGGCTACATGGTGTATACAGCTGTCAAAACTCTTTGAAAGGTACCCTTAAGTTTGTTTTATGTGAAATATTCCTCAAAAAAAAGTTTAAAGTAAAAATAAGCTGGCAACAATATATTAATATATGTATAAATTATATTACAGTATTGCACACTGTAAAACAGAAAAATAGCAACTAAGCAGGATGAAAAAAATAACCAGAAGTATTATTTTTCTTCCTAAACTCTTAAAACAAGCTTGTCCAACCCACGGCCCGTGGGCTGCATGCAGCCCAGGATGGCTTTGAATGTGGCCCAATACAAATTCATAAACTTTCTTAAAACATTATGATTTTTGTGATTTTTTCAGCTTACCAGCTCTTGTTAGTGTAGACAATACTTTTTCCAATGTGGCCCAGGAAAGCCTAAAGACTGGACACCCTGAATGTAAAGTATCACCTTGATCACTTCCGGGGAACCACAATGGAGAACCACAATACTACAATGTGAACCACAATACTACACCCTGAATATTCTAAACACAGGGAGTATGATGCTTAAGGTTGTAGCTTTAAAATCAGTAGTAATAGACAGTATACACTATAAGAGAGATCAGTGTATTCTTTCTTTCTTTCTCCTTCCTTTTTTTTTTTTTTTGATGGAGTTTTTGCTCCTGTCGCCCAGGTTGGAGTGCAGTGGTGCCATCTCGGCTCACTGTGACCTCCACCTCCCGGGTTCAAGTGATTCTCCCACCTCAGCCTCCAGAGTAGCTGGGACTACAGGCACCCACCACCACGCCCGACTAATTTTGGTATTTTTAGTAGAGACGGGGTTTCACCATGTTGGGCGGGATGGTCTCAATCCCCTGACCTCAGGTGATCCATCTGCCTCGGCCTCCCAAAGTGCTGGGATTCCAGGTGTGAGCCACCGCACCCGGCCTGAGTTCTTTATTTAAAAGCGAGTTTTAGGTTGGGCTCAGTGGCTTACACCTATTATCCCTGAACTTGGGAGTCTGAGGTGGGAGGAACACTTGAGCCCAGGAGTTCAAGACCAGCCTGGGCAACATGGTGAGACCCCCGTCACCGTTTAAAAAAAAGGAAAAGAAAAGCGAGGTGTTACCTCTGTTTGACACTGGGACGCAGCACTTCACTCTTGGGGCACTCTACAGATTACCTCTCCCTCCACTCGGGACCTGCAGCGAAGAGCTCCTGCATGTGCACTCAGACTCCTAGCTTCCCCACCACACTTACAAGGCGAGCTGCACCGAGAGGTGAACATTTGTTAATGTGCAGGAAAGTATTTTTAATATACCACGCTGGCTGGGTGCAGTGGTTCATGCCTGCGATCCCAGCACTCTGGGAGGCCGAGGCAGGTGGATCACCTGAGGTCAGGAGTTTGAGACCAGCCTGGCCAACACGGCGAAATCCCGTCTCTACCAAAAATACAAAAATTAGGCGGGAGTGGTGGCAGGCACCTGTAATCCCAGCTCCTCAAGAGGCTGAGGCAGGAGAATTGTTTGAACCCAGGAGGCGGAGGTTGCTGTGAGCCAAGATGGCACCACTGCACTCCAGCCTGGGCGACCAAGCGAGACTCCATCTCAAAAAAAAAAAAAAAAAAAACCAACCATGCTTGGTAGCAAGTAAGCACATAGAAGGATCTTCAACATCATTAGTCATTAGGGAAATGCAAATTAAAACCACAATACCTGCTAAAATACCTAAAATAAAAAAGAGAGAAAATGTCAAAAGTTGAGGCAGCTCTGAGGCACCCTGAACTGGATCTCACACAGTGTAAATGGCTATGAACTGCACAAAGCGCTTTCCAACATGTTGGTAAGAAAGCTGAACACATCGGCCAAGCGCGGTGGCTCACGCCTGTAATCCCAGCACTTTGGGAGGCCAAGGCAAGTCGATCATGTGAGGTCAGGAGTTCTAGACCAGCCTGGCCAACATGGTGAAACCCCGTCTCTACTAAAAGTACAAAAATTAGCCAGGTGTGCTGGTGCGTACCTATAATCCCAGCCACTCAGGAGGCTGAGATAGGAGAATCGCTTGAACCTGGGACGCAGAGGTTGCAGTGAGCCAAGATCGTGCCACTGTACTCCAGCCTGGGAGACAGAGCAAGACTCTGTCTCAAAAGAAAAAAAAAAAAAAGCCTTCCAACAACAACAAAAAAAAGACTATAAGAATATTCACAACAGCATTATTCATAATAGCCCCAAATAAAATTACTTTAAATGTCTACCTATAGCAGAATATTGAATCGTTGTATATCCACGTTACTACTTTCCAGTAATGAGAATGGCCAATAGCTACGTGCAAAAATATGGACTAACCTCAGAAACACAGTATTCAATAAAAAACAAACACCGTCTCCTACAAAGGACTCTGTACAATTTCATGGATATGAAGTTCAAAAGCAAACAAAACTAATTTATGGTTTAGAATTCGGGATAGGAATTCCGAGCTGAGGAGTGGGAGGCCCTGGCTGGGAGAGGTGGATGCTGATGACGTCACGTCTTCACTAGAACAGACCGTACCAGTGGTTCTTACTGAGCTATACTTAGAATCTGTGCACTTTTCTGTGTCTAGATGATACTTTTACAAAGTGGAGAGGAATGGAGACCAACTAAGAAACCCCTCCAGAAGTCCAAGTGAGAAACCACTAGGTCAGCAGCAATGGGGAAGAAGGAAGAACAGATGACAGGTCCGAGAAAAGCTCAAGTAGGACAGACGGGGCAGATCGACAATTCTTTTTTTTTTTTAATTATTTTTTTCCATCTCCGTAAACGCAGAGCAACAGAGCACACCATGGAGAGGGTGCGCCCCCGGGACCTGGGTGGGCAGCACTGGCTCCCAAGAGGAAAGGGGGACAGACAGTAGCACTGCAGACACAGAGCTGGACGGAAGCCAGGTCCCAAAGCCACTGAGGACGGCCACCCGCCAGCACTTCACTCTGCACACCCCTCCCACAGCGACTTGCCTGGAGTCGCTCTATGCCCCATAAAGGTCCACAATCCCTTTTCCACAATTCCAGAAAGCAAAAAAGCTCCAAAAAATCTGACCTGAAATCATCTGGCAGCCAATTCTGACCTAAACTGAGAAAGAACTAATTATACCCTTCAATTAGCCCACTTAGTGAGAATATTCATGAGTTCAGCAACAGAAATGCTCACATGTTGGATGACGCAGTGCTGGGAATAAGAAATCATACCCAGTACACACGCTGTGCTACTGTTGTAAAATCCAGTCTGCTCTGATTCCAAAGCATCTCTGGGCCCACGGTTTTGGGTGGCGTGTGTGTGTGTACTGTACCAGCACAGTGCCATTTCCCTAGGACTTTCTCCACAAATATTCTAATTTAAGGGGAAGATTAGGTGGCTTACATAAAAAAAAGAATAAATCCATTTAACTACTGTCCAGAGAAGATGATCAATAAGTATTTTTGTTGTTGTCACTAACAGATGATAAATGCACATGGCATAAAATGTAAAAGCCAAAGAATTTTCAAAGTAAAAGCTTGGCCGGGCGCAGTGGCTCACGCCTATAATCCCAGAACTTTGGAAAGCCGAAGTGGGAGGATCAACTGAGCCCAGGAGTTCAAGACCAGCTTGTGCAACATAGTGAGACCTCATGTCTATAAAAAAAACAAAAAGCTTGGCTGGGCACGGTGGCTCACGCCTGTAATCCGAGCACTTTGGGAGGCTGAGGCGGGCGGATCACGAGGTCAGGAGATTGAGACCATCCTGGCTAACACAGTGAAACCCCATCTCTACTAAAAATACAAAAAATTAGCCAGGCGTGGTGGCGGGTGCCTGTAGTCCCAGCTGCTCGGGAGGCTGAGGCAGGAGAATGGCATGAACCCGGGAGGCGGAGCTTGCAATGAGCCAAGATTGCGCCACTGCACTCCAGCCTGGGTGACAGAAGAAGACTCCGTCTCAAAAAAAAAAAAAAAAAAAAGCTAAGCATGCTGGCGTGTAGTCCCAGCTACTTAGGAGGCTGCAGCAGCAGGATCACTTGAGGCCAGGAGTTCAAGGCTGCAGTGAGCCATGATCACACCACTGCACTCTAGCAAGACCCTGTCTCACTAAAAAATAAAAATAAAAGAAAGACTCTTCCCTATCATGGCCTTCCTACTGCTCCGGTTTCTCATGACCATTCTCAGAGCAGAGCCCAGAACTATTCAAACAAGCAAAGAGAAGCTGCCAGAAGAGGCAAAAGCTCTGGGCTCCAAGTGGGCAGCTGTGGTGGACCTCTGCTCAGCTCCTGGGTGTGGCACCCCCACAGCAGGTGCTCACACAACACTGAGCTATCAGTCTGCCCCTTAAAAGAAGCCTTCATTTAGATGCCAGAAGTTCTCACCTACGGCCTCCCCGGATAACATGAGCCCGGGAGTTCCAGGCTGCAGTGAGCTATGACTGCACCACTGACACTTCCAGCCTGGGTACCAGAGCAAGGCCCTATCTCTAAAACAACACAACACAATAAAAAAGGTATCTCAAAATATTCTGATAGCATGTCCAGTTTTATTTACTAAGCATTTAAAAATAGTTGTGGATTTAGATAACAGTTTTAAGACAAAAATCACAGTATCAAACGAAACCCCCACGTGGGAAATGTCCTCTGCTGAGGACCCACTGGCCACTCTGGCAACAGCACTGAAGAAGTTTAACTTATTCTACTTTTCCTTTCCAGGTAAATAACCTGTTAAGTACCAGGGACCATTCATTCGTTTATTCATTTATACAGGGTTTCACTCTGCAATCACGGCTCACTGCAGCCTCAACCTCCTGGGCTCAAGCAATTCTCTCACATCAGCCTCCTGAGTACCTGGGACTACAGGTGCGCACCACCACACCCAGCTAATTTTTTTTATTTTTTGTACAGACAGGGTCCTACTATGTTCCTTAGACTGGTCTCGAACTCCTGTCCTCAACTGATCCTCCTGCCTCAGTCTCCCAAAGTACTGGGCATGAGCCACTGCATCCAGCCCAGAGACTACTTTTAAAGCTGACCAAGCCCTTGGTAATACTGCTTTGGCCGCACTCTGCACCTGTCCTCTCCTGCCAGCAGGGTCCTCTGCTGTTTCTCCTATCAACACCAAAACTGCCCTTCTGCCGGGTGTGGCAGCTCACACCTGTAATCCCAGTAATTCACGGTTGGGAGGCCAAGGCAGGAAGATTGCTTGAGCCCAGGAGTACTAACTACACCAACCTGAGCAGGACAGTGACACCCTGTCTGTATAAAATAAAATAAAATAAAAAACTGGGGAAGGGCATGGTGGCTCACGTCTGTAATCCCAGCACTTTGGGAGGCCAGAGACGGGCGGATCACCTGAGTTCAGGAGTTCGAGACCAGCCTGGCCAACATGGTGAAATCCCGTCTCTACTAACAATACAAAAAGAATTAGCTGGGCCTGGTAGTGCGCACCTGTAATCCCAGCTACTCGGGAGGCTGAGGCAGGAGAATTGCCTGAACCCAGGAGGCGGAGGTTGCAGTGAGCCGAGATCGCACCATTGCACTCCAGCCTGGGCGACAAGAACGAAACTGTCTCAAAAAAAAAAAAAAGAAAGAAGAAAAAAAAAATTTGTGGAGGGAGGCTGAGGCAAGTGGATCACTTGAGGCCAGGAGTTCAAGACCACACTGGCCAACGTGGCGAAACCCTGTCTCTACCAAAAAATACAAACATAGCCAGGCGTGGTGGTGCATGCCTGTAATCCCAGCTACTAGGGTGGCTGAGGCAAAAGAATCACTTGAACCGGGAAGGTGGAGGTTGCAGTGAGCTGAGATTGTGTCACTGCACTCCAGCCTGGGAAACCGAATGAGACTCCATCTCAAAAAAAAAAAAAAATTTAATTAGCTGGATGCAGTGATTTGTGCCTCTAGTCCCTACTACTCAGGAGGCTGAGGTAAAGAGGATCCCTTGAGCCCAGAAATTCGAGGGAGCAGTGAGCCATGATCGCACCACTGCACTCCAGCCTGGGCAACAAAGTAAGACTCCATCTATTAAGAAAAAAATCACCCTTCCTACCTCTTGAAACAGGTACAATGCAGTTCACAGTGTGTTAAGTATGAAAAAAAAGTTATCAGTTTTCATTTGAGTGTCATATCTGATTGTCACACAAGTATCAATTTGTAATACACAGATACAAGTTAATACATTTAAAAATTTGGCCAGGCGTGGTGACTCACATCTGCAATCCCAGCACTTTGGGAGGCTGAGGCAGGAGGTCAGGAGTTCGAGACCAGCCTTGGCCAACATGGTTAAACCCCGTCTCTACTAAAAATACAAAAATTAGCCGGGCGTGATGGCGGGCGCCTGTAATCCCAGCTACTTGGGAGGCTGAGGCACGAGAATCACTTGAACCCAGGAGACGGAGGTTGCAGTGAGCCGAGATCGTGCCACTGCACTCCAGCCTGGGCGATACAGCACAACTCTGACTGAAAAAAAAAAAAACTGTAAATCATTAGTTATTTAGAATCTACAACTATTTTAAAATTCTAACTCCAGAAACCTGTCTATTTCAGGCCTACTTGTGCTTATACCACACCCTTTGTCCCTGTCCCTGCACGCCCCTGAGGTTGGCCCACTGACACCTATGCTAAAAGGTGAATCCATCAGCAGAACCAGAGAAGACGGAGCTGCTCACACAGGAATTTGCTTGGTCTCAAACACCCTCCAACCGCTGGGAGGGCCTACTCCAAGGACAATGAAGCAGCAGCCACACGCCACACACACCCACTGTGGACCCCTGTCTGAGAAAGATCACACTCCAAGCTATGCCACTGTCAGCCCCCGAAGGTGCCACTCCATTTCAAGCCAACACAGTATTAACACATAAAAAGGCTTTTCTGTTCAACAAGCCCAGGTGTGATGCGCTGGGAAAAAAATAATAAATGCTCACTTACTGATATGGGACCTCAGCTGTCAACCTTGTTAGTGGGCATAAAACAATTAGAGAATTCAAGACAGAATAAACTGCTAACTTGATAACTATTTGCTCCCTCCCTAGATGGCACTGAGAGACAGATATAGGGAAAGCATCTGAGCAGGAACCTTCACGGCTGGTCTTACAGGAGAGGCAGCTGCAGAGTAGCATCCAGTGGGCAGGCGTGTGGGAGGAAGGAAAGGGTTACGCCTGAGGGTGGGTGCTGGACTGGAGTGTGCCAACTCCAGGAGAAAAGACAGGGGCATGAGTAGACAAACCATCCCCAAGCATCCAGGCCAATGGGATGGCTACACAGGGGAAAGGGGGTATAGACATGGGATCACTGGAAAGGCTTCAAACAGATTACGTGCAGAAGGACGCATACCCACAAACAACAATCGTGCAGGAAGAATGGACATAAGACAGGGAAGTGAAAGTCATTAACACCAAAATCTCTTACCTCCAATTCTCCAAATCATTCAAGCGGTTGAGCCCATTCTGAAAGGTAACTCTTTTTTTTTTTTTTGAGACAGTTTCGCTCTTGTTGCCCAGGCTGGACTGCGATGGCATGACCTCGGCTCACCGCAATTTCCACCTCCCAGGTTCAAGCAATTCTCCTGCCTCAGCCTCCCAAGTAGCCAGGATTACAGGCATCCGCCATCACACTCGGCTAATTTTTGTATTTTTAGTAGAGACAGGTTTTCACCATATTGGCCAGGCTGGTCTTGAACTCCCGACCTCAGGTGATCCGCCTTCCTTGGCCTCCCAAAGTGCTGAGATTACAGGCGTGAGCCACCGCGTCCAACAAGCTCTTTCAATTATCGATATTTTTTTTTTTTTGAGATGGAGTCTCGCTGTGTCACCCAGGCTGGAGTGCAGTGGCATGATCCCAGCTCACTGCAACCTCCACCTCCCAGGTTTAAGAGATTCTCCTGCCTCTGCCTCTTGAGTAGCTGGGATTACAGGTGCCTGCCACCATGCCCAGCTAATTTTTTGTATTTTTAACGGAGACAGGGTTTCACCATGTTGGCCAGCCTGGTCTCGAACTCCTGACCTCAGGTGATCCAGTCACCTCAGCCTCCCAAAGTGTTGAGATTACAGGCGTGAGCCACCATGCCCGGCCCATTTACATATATTTTTTAATTAATTTTTTTTTTTAAAACAAGGTCTCGAGTGTTACCCAGACTGGAGTGCAGTGGTATGATCATGGCTCACTACAGCCTTGACTTCCTGGGTTCAAGCAATCCTCCCACCTCAGCCTCCAAAGTAGCTGGAATCACAGGCATGTGCCACCATACAGAGCTAATTGTTTCATTTTTTTTGTAGAGACAGGGTCCATCTATGTTGTCCAGGCTGGTCTCGAACTCCTGTCCTCAACTGATCCTCCCGCATCAGCTTCCCAAAGTGTTGAGACTACAGGCCTGAGCCACCACGCCCAGCCACCTTACAGTGCTGAGATTACAGGTCTGAGCCACCACGCCCGGCCACCTTACAGTGCTGAGATTACGGGCCTGAGCCACCACGCCCGGCCACCTTACAGTGCTGAGATTAGGGGTCTGAGCCACCACGCCCGGCCACCTTACAGTGCTGAGATTACGGGCCTGAGCCACCACGCCCGGCCACCTTACAGTGCTGAGATTACGGGTCTGAGCCACCACGCCCGGCCACCTTACAGTGCTGAGATGACAGGCCTGAGCCACCACGCCCGGCCACCTTACAGTTTTAAAAGCTTCAATACTTTTCTATTTCTCCCTCCCATTCTCATACCACATTTTCTACCTCAAAAAGAAATCCCATCACCTCTCAGTCTTAAACATTCCAAACGTGTTTTTCTTTCCACCAGAAGATAAACCAGGAGAGGAAGAAGAATCAAAATTCTGAAGGACTCTTCATCAATACTCTTCTAACTGTTTTGGAAGGAGATCTGGCTGGGGCAACCCATGCTGGGCTGAGTGGCTGTGAGCTGTGGGTATGGCGTAGGGTACAAGTCCCTTCTCTGGGCTGGGCCTCAGTGTTGTCCAAGGGGTGAGCCCCAGGCCTGCCCTGGGGCCAGAGGTGACAGTGAGGGGCTTGAGGAAGGGCCCGGCTGGAAAGATGCATCCTAAGTTTGGTGGGGTTCTTTTTCATTCCCTATAAAACACGGTGCAGAGCATTTTGCTCTTCTACACCATACATGATACACAGAAAAACCCCATGCGGCTCCTGTGGGGACTGTGTCCACCAGCAGAGGACAAGGGCATTCTTCTGTCTGCAACAACGAAGGCAAATGCGAGGACGGTAATTTTTCCTTTGACAAAATGAGCTTAATGTTGTTTTAATTGGAGACAGGATCTTGGTCTGTCACCCAGGTTGGAGCGCAGCGGCACGAGCATGGCTCACTACAGCCTCAACTTCCCGGGCTCAAGTGATCTTCCCATCTTAGCCTCCCAAGTGTCCAGGACTGGAGGAATGCACGACCACACCTAATTTTTAAATTTTTTGTAGAGAAAGAAGTCTCACTATGTTGGCCAGGCTGGTCTCGAACTCCTGGCCTCCAGCAATCCTCCCACCTCCCACCCGGCCTATATCTTTTTTTTCTTTTTTCAGACGGAGTCTTGCTCAGTCGCCCAGGCTGGAGTGCAATGGCACGATCTCGGCTCACTGCAACCTCTGCCTCTTGGGTTCAAACGATTCTCCTGTCTCAGCCTCCCAAGTAGCTGGGATTACAGGCACCGACCATCATGCCCAGCTAATTTTTGTATTTTTGTAGAGACAGGGTTTCACCATGTTGGCCAAGCTAGTCTCGAACTCCTGACCTCAAGCAATCCACCTGCCTCAGCCTCCAGAAGTGCTGGGATTACAGGTGAGAGCCACTGTGCCTGGCCACGGATTTTTTTTTTTTTTTTTTTGGAGACAGAGTCTCCATTGCCAGGCTGGAGTGCAGTGGTGCAATCTCAGCTCACTATAACCTCCACCTCCCAGGTTCAAGGGGTTCTCCTGCCTCAGCTTCCAGAGTAGCTGGGATTACAGGCGTGTACCACCACGCCCGGCTAATTTTTTTATTTTCAGTAGAGATGGGGTTTCCATGTTGGCCAGGATGGTCTCAATCTCTTGACCTCGTGACCTGCCCGCCTCGGCCTCCAAAAGTGTTGGCAAACAGGCATAAGCCACCGTGTGCCTGGCCTTTTTTTTTTTTTTTTTTTTTTTGAGATGGAGTCTCACTCTTGTCGCCCAGGCCGGAGTGCAGTGGCATGATCTCAGCTCACTGCAACTTCCACTTCCCAGGTTCAGGCAATTCTCCTGCCTTAGCCTCCTGAATAGCTGATTACAGGCACACACCACCATGCCCGGTTAATTTTTTGTATGCTGGCCAGGCTGGTCTCAAACTCCTGACCTCATGATCCGCCCACCTCAGCCTCCCAAAGTGCTGGGATTTCAGGCGTGAGCCACCGTGCCCGCCCGGCAATGGATAATTTTTCACATCCACTTTTACGGTCTAAATGTTCTACAAGAAGTATTATTTCACAATATTTTTAAATTTAATAATATGTTAAACTTTAATCATTTAAGAAAGACTATAAGCATCATACCAATTCAGTCAACAAGTATCTGAATTTCTCAGGAATAACCTTCCTAACATAATACCAGCAGCTCCAGCCCAGCATCCCACTCACTGGTCAGCTGGAGGCTGGCCCCCACCAACTGCCCAGGAGCTGAGTGGATCCAGCAGCAAGAACCTTCTACAACCAACCGCTAAGCTTTATATTCTATTCTTTTCCTAAACAATGTTTTCTAACCTTAAGTGCCTACCAGAAGCTGCTGGAGACCTCATTCAAAATGTATTGTGTGTGTCTGTTCTAATGTGTCTGGAGTCTGACTGACACAAGGCACTCCTCTTCTGTTTTGCCTAAGTCAGATCCAAGGCCAAAAAAAGCTTAAAAACATTTCAAACCCATTTAACTCTCAGATGCCTGGGGCAGAAGATTACAGTCCCAACATACAACAGACTGCCTAAGGCGAAAACCTGGGTGTGTTTCTGGGAAATCAGGACATTCAGAGGCCTCAGTGTGTGCTGGAAAATTCAGAAAGCTACACACATGCCCAGGGCAAAAGGCCCCCTCTGCGAAGACCTCCTCGGCCTCGAGCTTGCTTTCACTCTGGGCTGATCCCTAGGCCAAGGGCAAGCCCATCAAGAGTTCAAGGAGGGCTCAGGCACAGAGCCAGTTCGTAAAGACTGTAAGAGTTCCTGGCATTCAAGGAAATCTTTGTCAAAACACCAACTAAACACAAGCTGAGGAACAAGGACTTCAGTGACTACATAACGAAGGAAGATAGTCTGCAATAACAATAGCTTGGAAAAGTCGTTAAATAAAAGGGCCCCTATATCCTTTGGCAAGCAAAAAACCCCACCAAACCCAAGGAAAGGAGAAGAATCTGATTTCCAGAGCTACTGCGTTCTCATCATCACAGGTCCAGTTTGCAACAACAACAAAAATCACAAGGCACACAAAGAAACAGGAAAGTATGACTCAGTCAAAGAAATAAAAACTGACAGAAACTATTCTGGGGAAGGCCAGATGCTGGATTTGCTAGACAAAGACTTTGAAACAACTGCCTTAAATATGCTCAAAAACTTAAATAAAAACACAGGCCGGGCACCGTAGCTCACACCTGTAATCCCAGCACTTGGGGAGGCCGAGATGGGCAGATCACCTGAGGTGAGGAGTTTGAGACCAGCCTGGCCAACACGGTGAAACCCCATCTCTACTAAAAATACAAAAAAAATGCCAGGCACGGTGGTTCACACCTATAATCCCAGCACTTCGGGAGGCTGAGACAGGCGGATCACCTGAGGTTAGGAGTTCCAGACCCGCCTGACCAACATGGAGAAACCCCATCTCCACTAAATATACAAAATTACCTGGGCATGGTGGCGCATGCCTGTAATCCCAGCTACTCGGGAGGCTGAGGCGGGAGAATCGCTTGAACCAGAAGAGGTTTCAGTGAGCCCAGATCGCGCCACTGCACTCCAGCCTGGGCAACAAAAGTGAAACTCCATCTCAAAAAAAAAACAAAAACAAAAACACACAACTAAAAGAGATAAGGAAAACAACGTGTGTGTGAACCAAACAGGACTATCGACAGAGACAGCATAAAAAGGAACAAAACAGAAATCCTGGAGCTTTTAAAAGGTACAATGACAAACATGAAAAGCTCATGCTAGCAGTTCAATAGCACATCTGAGCAGGCACAAGAAGAATCAGGAAACTTGAAGATGGGAAGACTGAGATTCTGCTCCCGCAAGTCTCCTCAGAAAGGAGAAAGAACAAAGAAGACGAGCAGAGCCTAAAGGACCTGTGAGATGTCAGCTCACCAACCAACCATGGAAGTTTGAAATGGGCAGAAAGAATGTCTGAAAAAATAATGGCCAAAACCTTTTCGAGTTTAATGAAAGACAAAAATTTTACAAATCCAAGAAGCTCAACAAACTCCAAGTAGGATAAACTCACAGGACCCAAAATGAAACACATTTTAATCAGTGTTGAAAGCCAAAAGACAAAAAAAGAGAGAATCTTGACAGCAGCAAGAGATAAGCGACTGGATAACTGTTAACAGCTGACTTCTCATCAGAAATCACGAAGGCCAAGGCCGGGCACGGTGGCTTACACCTGTAATCCCAGCACTTTAGGAGGCTGAGGCAGGTGGATAAGCTGAGGTCAGGAGTTCGAGACCAGCCTAACCAACATGTGGAAACCCCATCTGTACAAAAAATACAAAAATCAGCCAGGTGTGGTGGCAGGCATCTGTAATCCCAGCTACTCCTAAGGCTGAGGCAGGAGAATCGCTTAAACCTGGGAGGTGGAGGTTGCAGTGAGCCAAGATGGTGCCACTGCACTC
The DNA here is from genome assembly GCF_000001405.40 of Homo sapiens. Lineage (NCBI taxonomy): Eukaryota > Metazoa > Chordata > Mammalia > Primates > Hominidae > Homo > Homo sapiens. The sequence goes on along the minus strand of NC_000017.11, from coordinate 82,534,928 downwards.
CAGCTGGGCGACAGAGCAAGAACCTGCCCCCAAAAAATGTGTGTTTTTCAGCACTCAATAATTAACAGGTAGATTTGTGTCAACAAGAAAAGGCATAGCCTGAAAAACAACTTTTAAGAGAGAACAAGATAAAAGATCCATGGAAAATAAATATTACTTCTGGGGACATGTTTCAACGAGTTCGTTACCATCTGTAAGAGGAGACAGGAACAGGAGTGAGTGCTGAGGCACCCAGTCACTAAAGTCAAACCTGGATGGGCTGAAGTGTGTGGTGAGAAGGATCAGAGCTAGAGACCATCTCATGTGCGATAAGGATGTGCTCCAGTAGCGCAGTCCCAGGAGGGTCTCCTCCAGAGCTCTGCTAAAGTTCTCAGCAAGAAGGAGCCTGGCCCCTCCTCTAGCCTGAGGCATGACGACCTAGAGCCAGGTCTGTGCACATGCTCTGCAGGAGAAGCAGAAGAGCAGCACCCGGTGCAAAGACTCGGGAACAACAAGCCACCAACTTCATGGTCTGACTTGTTCCTATATTAGAGCCGCAACAACTATCAAGCAGTACGACAAGTCATGTGCCCTGACACACATTATTAGAACATTTTTATTCAATCACAAGAAATTTTGTCCATGTGCAGCCAGGCTTCCACAGGTTACCCCTCTACATATCAGCCATCTTTTCTTTTTTTTTCGAGTCGAGGTTTTGCTCTGCTGCCCAGACTTGAGTGCAATAGTGCAATCACAGTCCACAGCAGCCTCAACCTCCGAGGGTCAAGTGATCCTCCCACCTCGGCCTCCCAAGTAGCTAGGACTAGAGGCCCTTGCCACAACATCTGGCTATTTTTCTCTTTTTTTTTTTTTTTGAGACAGTGTCTTACTCAGTTGGGACTACAAGTGTGTGCCACCATGCCCGGCTATCTTATCTACCTATCGACCTGAGACAGGGTCTCCCCTTCTGTTGCCTGGGCTGGAGTGCACCGGTGTGATCTCGGCTCCCTATAGCCTCCACCTCTTGGGCCCAAGTGATCCTCCAACCTCAGTCTCACGAGTAGCTGGGATTACAGCTGCGCACCACCACACCCAGCTAACCTAGCTGTGCCAGGCCCAGCTAACCTACAGCTGTGCGTCACCACGCCCGGCTAACCTACAGCTGGGCACCACCATGCCCGGCTAACAAAATTCACGTCGTTTCAAGTCAATGATGGGCCGCATATATGAGGGTCCCGTTAAGATTATGATGGAGCTGAAAAATTCCTATTCCTAGCCATTGTGATGTCATAGTGCAATGAATTACTCATGAGTCTGGGGTGATGCTGGTGTCAACGAACCTACTACGCGAACAGCCGTATGAAAGTACAGCACATACGATCGCGTACAATATGTAATACTTAATAATAATAAATGACAGTTACTGGTTATGTATTCACTGCACTATACTTTTTTTTTTTGAGACAAAGTCTCACTCCATCACCCAGGCTGGAGTGCAGTGGCACGGTCTCGGCTCACTACAACCTCTGCCTCCTGGGTTCAAGCAATTCTCCTGCCTCAGCCTCCCGAGTAGCTGGGATTACAGGCGTGTGCTACCATGCCTGGCTAATTTTTTGCATTTTTAGTAGAGACAGGGTTTCACCATGTTGGCCAGGCTGGTCTCAAACTCCTGACCTCAGGTGATCCACCCGCCTGGCCTCCCAAAGTGCTGGGATTACAGGCGTGAGCCACCACGCCCGGCAGCACTATACATTTTATCGTTAATTTAGAGTATACTGCTTCTACTTATTTTTAAAAAGTTAACTATACAACAGCCCCAGGTAGGTCCTTCAGGAAGTATCCAGAAGAAGCCGTTATCACCGGAGGTGACAGCTCCATGCACGTTACTTCCCCTAAGAACTTTGGAGTGGAACAAGATGTGGAGGTAGAAGACAGTGATACTGCTGGTCCTGACCCTATGTAGGGCTAGGCTAGTGTGTGTTTCAGTCTTAGTTTTTAAACAAAAAAAGTTTAAAAAGAAAAAAATAATAATTTTACAAACAGAAAAAAGCTTATCAAATAAGAATACAAAAATATTTTTGTGGTCAGGCGCGGTGGCTCACACCTGTAATCCCAGCACTTTGGGAGGCCAAAGCAGGCAGATCACCTCAGGTCAGGAGTTCGAGACCAGCCTGGTCAACACGGCAAAACCCCATCTCTACTAAAAATACAAAAATTAGCCAGGTGAGGTGGCTACTCGGGAGGCTGAAGCAGGAGAATCACTCGAACCCGGGAGGCAGAGGTTGCAGTGAGCCACAATCACACCATTGCACTCCAGCTTGGGCCACACAGTGAGACGTAGTCTCAGAAAAAAACAACAAAAATATTTTTTTATGTCTGCACAATGTGTGTTTTAAACTAAGTATTAGTTTATAAAGTAAAAAAAAATTATAGTATGTTAAGACTAATAAATTATTTACAATTTTTTTCTTTTACCTGACAAGAAAACTCTTTTTAAATACATTTAGGCCAGGCGCAGTGGCTCACGCCTGTAATCCCAGCACTTTGGGAGGCCGAGGTGGGTGGATCACCTGAGGTCAGGAGTTCAAGACCAGCCTGGCCAACATGGTGAAACCCCGTCTCCACTAAAAATGCAAAAACTAGCTGGGCTGGTCTCGGGTGCTGGTAATCCCAGCTACTCGGAAAGCTGAGGCAGGAGAATTGCTTGAACCAAGGAGGCGGAGGCTGCAGTGAGCCGAGAACGCGCCATTGCACTGCAGCCTAGGCAACAAGAGCGAAACTCCATCTCAAAAAAATAAATAAGATGGGCACAGTGGCTCACGCCTATAATCCTAGCACTTAGGGAGGCCAAGGTAGGTGTTTACCTGAGCTCAGGAGTTCAAGACCAGCCTGGACAACATGGTGAAACCCCATCTCTACTAAAATAAAATAAAATAAAATAATTAGCCGGGCGTGGCGGCGTGAGCCTGTAATCCCAGCTACTCGGGAAGCTGAGGCAGGAGAACTGCTTGAACCTGGGAGGCAGACGTTGCAGTGAGCCAAGATCACGCCATTGCACTGCAGCCTGGGCGACAAAAGCGAAACTCCTTCTCAAATAAATAAAGTATAGCCTAAATGTCCAGTGTTTATGAAGTTGACAGCGGTGTACAGTCACGTCCTAGGCCTTCACATTCACTCACCATTTACTCACTGACTCACCCCGTCCTGCAAGCTCTGCTGACACTAAGTGCTCTAGAGAGCTGTACCTTTATCTTTTGTACCTTATTTTTACTGTGCCTTTTCTATGTTTTAATATGTTTAGATACACAAACACCATGTTACAGCATTCAATACAGTCACATGTTGCTTAAGTTTGTGCAGCATGTGGCTGTAGGCGCAACAGGATATACACACAGCCTGGGTGTGCAGCAGGCTGTGTCATCTAGGCTTGTACAAGTATGCTCTATGATGTTCGCACAACAATGAAATCACCTAACAATGCATTTCTCAGAATGATTTCCACAGTTAAGTGATGCATGACTGTACAAGGCCAAAAAAGTCACTTTGGGGAGTCTACCATCAACAAAAACAAAAAAAAGTGGGAGCAACTGTAGAATCAGAAGTGAATTTAATCTGACTTACATTTATAACTGTTTTACATGGTTTCCTATGGTACAGTAGTCACCCAATCCAAACTCAGAAGCCCACATCCAACCAATTCAGCAATAAACATTTGAGTCCTATCGAGTACCCAGAATTCCTGGAGGAGGTCACCCAGGGGTCAAAGGCTACAACCCCAGGAAGTGTACAATGTAAAGATGAATCAGCCCAGCCCACAGAACACTTACATGCAGTTCACTCAAGTGTACAGGATTTCAGCTGTGTTTAATCACGTGTGGACAAGTCCAGGGGGAAGCTTGGCAAAGTGGGAACAGGTCCTCAAGGAGGACCCAGAACAGACATTTTATATTTAAACCACATCTTCTTCCACCCAGCTCAAATGGCTATCAAAATGATGTTCATTATCCTAACATCCTCCAACAGCTCAGAAATGGCAAAAACACAGAATTTTTAAAACATTCTCTATATACTCAAAATGCTATCGTATTCTGAAAAATACAAGACCAAAAAAGCCACTTTGAAAACACAACAGTAGACCGGGCACAGTGACTCACACTTTGGCCTGTGATCCCAACACTTTGGGAGGCCAAGACAGGGGAATCACCTGCAGTCAGGAGTTTGAGACCAGCCTGGCCCACATGGTGAAACCCCGTCTCTACTAAAAATACAAAAATTAGCAGAGCGTGGTGGTGGCGCCTGTAATCCCAGCTACTCGGGAGACTGAGGCAGGAGAATTGTTTGAACCCGGGAGGAGGACGTTGCAGTGAGCTGAGATGGCGCCACTGCACTCCAGCCTGGGTGACAGAGCGAGACTCTGTCTCAAAAAAAAAAAAAAAAAACACATCAGTAGTTTTAAATTTCCTTATTTCGGGTTTTCTCTCTCTTTTTTTTTTTTTTTTTTTTTAGATGGAGTTTCACTCTTGTTGCCCAGGCTGGAGTTCAAGTGATTCTCCTGCCTTAGCCTCCCGAGTAGCTGGTATTAGAGGCATGCGCCACCACACCCAGCTAATTTTGTATTTTTAGTAGACACAGGGTTTCTCCATGTTGGTCAGGCTGGTCTCGAACTCCCGATCTCAGGAGATCCGCCTGCCTCAGCCACCCAAAGTGCTGGGATGACAGGCGTGACCCAACGTGCCCGGCCTATTTCAGGTTTTCTATATTCCATCTGTCCAAATGAAAGTCAAAAGATGAGTTTTCTTACTGCCAATTATTAATGACTAAACACCATTAAAAACAGCACCTTGAGAGCCATCTTTCCCAGCGTGGCTGTGCTAACAATGACGTCACATCATCAGTTCATTCTCCAGTGGAACCAGGAACACAAAAAACTGGAACAATTCAGCTACAGCTCATTGTCTTTTTTCCCACTAAAGATAAACGTTCTCAGAATATCTGTATCAATGTAACTAAGGTATTCCTAGTTCTCAGAATATCTGTATCAGCCTAATTAAGTCAATAAATACGACTAAGAGAACACATTACAAACGTAACAATGTTAGGCTACTACTGCCTTAAGGGACCTAGTTGTATCTTCTTACAACCAGGGATAGCAAGACAGAACTGCATTCCGAGAGTGTCCTTTCAAAGCTGCAAAGGGAGGAGTTATCTAGTGACTCCGCAATGAGTCTCAACCTCCAGGCTCTGTTTTACAAAAGGCACTTTCAGGTGGGGCGCCATGGCTCACGCCTGTAATCCCAGCACTTTGGGAGGCCGAGGCAAGCGGATCACCTGAGGTCAGGAGTCCGAGATCAGCCTGGCCAACATGGTGAAACCCTGTCTATTAAAAATACAAAAATTAGCTGGGAGTGGGCACGCGCCTGTAATCCCAGGTACTCAGGAGGCTAAGGCAGGAGAATCACTTGAACCTGGGAGGCGGAGGTTGCAGTGAGCCAAGATCGTGCCACTGCATTCCAGCCTGGACGACAGAGCAGAACTCCATCTTGAAAAAAAAAAAAAAAAAATTAGCCGGCGTGGTGGCACGTGCCTGTAATTCCAGCTACTCAGGAGGCTGAGGCAGGAGAATCGCTTGAACCCGGGAGGTGGACACTGCAATGAGCCAAGATCACACCACTGCACTTCAGCCTGGGAAACAGAGCAAGACCCTGTCTCAAAAAAAAAAAAAAAAAAAAAAGGCGCTTTCAAGTATAATTTGAACAGATGCTTTGGTAGCATAAAGGTTTTAAGCAGGAATCATCTGTAAAAAAAATTATTAAAACTTACCACCAGTAGGACCAAGAGTCATAACCAACTTTTATTATATTATCAGCTGCCAGGTTGCTACGCAACAGGCGGCTCTCCCCTCCTGCGTCCTGTGCGTTGTAAGATTTTTCAGTGGCATCCCTGGCCTCTGTCCACTAGATGCCAGTAGCACCCGTCCTCCCAGTCTATGCCAACCAAATGTGCCTCCAGACACTGTCATACGTCCCAGGGAGGGGAAGGAGGCAGACTCACCCCGGTGTCGTACTCCAATGCCCTTCACAGGACAAAGAACACAAGCATTCCATCTCAAATGACAAACTGCAGCAAAAACCAAATACTGTCTAGAAATCTACGGAATTCTCAGCAGAGCACCTTCTCTGTTCCTAACAAATCAGCAGAGGCGTTTGAAGCCCAATGTGCACTCTAAACTGACGTGCACGAGGAAAGCAGGGCCGCAGGGGCTGTGGCTCTGGCACGAGGTACTTTCTGGTCTCCCTGCCACCACTTCCTAGGTACAGCTGTAACACCTTGTTCCGTGCTCAAAGCCCGCTTCACATTGTAGAGATGGTAATGTGTGCCTTAAACATGCCCTCCTGTACTGCATTTTAGCAGCAAATTCAAAAATTCCTCATGAAAAAGTGTGGAGGTTGATTTACTATGACTGTCATTATTTAAGATATTATAAATTGCTCCAAAAACCAAACATAAAAGAAAACAAGAGCCCCACAAAAATGTTAAACAGATAAGAATACTACTACCCAAATGCCAACTGCTTTCACTAAAAGCTTCCTTAATTTAGAAATCCTCTTTTCTTCATTTTCCAAAAAAATCTTTCTCTTCAACAAAGCAGGAATAGTTACATTTTCACAATGGAAAAATCTGCTGTTACTGTAACAGCCTCATCTCCTGGAATATTTCCACCAATCATGCACAGAGCTGTGCTGTACTTCTGCAACCGCAGGTCTAAATGGGACCTGCCAGTAAATGGGGGAGCCACGCCTGACTACAATCACTTCACTATTAATAAATGATCAGCACTTGAAAACATGTATAGGCCAGGCAGGGTGGCTCGCACCTGTAATCCCAGCACTTTGGCAGACTGAGGTGGGGGGACTGCTTGAGGACAGGAATTTGCGACCAGCCTGGGCAACATAGCGAGACCCCACGTCCAAAAAAAAATAAATTAGCCCTGAATGGCCATGCAGGCCTGTACTCTCAGCTACACGGGAGACTGAGGTGGGAAGATCGCTTGAGTCCAGGAGTTCAAGGCTGCAGTGAGCTATGATGGTGCCACTGTACTCCAGCCTGGGTGACAGAGTGAGACTCTAAATAATAAAATAAAAGGAACACAGAGTTTTACCACTGGAAGAAGTACTAAACACTAAGGTGAGGCAGAAGTAAGTTGGTTACTGGGTTTTTAACTTAAAGTAACAATTATGCTAAAATAGCTGCAATGTGTTCTGTGTCTACAAATCAGTGATAACAATGTATCTCAATTTGCCAAATGAATATCTTCGGTTTTGAGACAAAGTCTTGCTATGTCACCCAGGCTGGAGTACAGTGGCGCCATCTCAGCTCACCACAACCTTCACCCTGTGGGTTCAAGTGATTATCCTGCCTCAGCCTCCTGAGTTGCTGGGATTACAGGCATCCGCCACCATGCCCAGTTAATTTTTGTATTTTTAGTAGAGTCGGAGTTTCGCCATGTTGGCCAGGCTGATCTCGAACTCCTGACCTCAGATGATCCACCTGTCTCGGCTTCCCAAAGTGCTGGGATTACAGGCAAGAGCCACCGGGCCCAGCCAAAATTTCTTTAAAAGCTATCTCTACCAAAAATACAAAAATTAGCCAGCATGGTGGTGCATGCCTGTAATCCCAGCTCCTCGGGAGGCTGAGGCAGGAGAATCGCTTGAACCCAGGAGGCGGAGCTTAAATACAGAGTAGTTATTAAAGGCAACTGATTTGTACACTGAACACTTTTCAAAGTGCAAAGCGCCATTTGCCCTCTGCTATGAACATCCCTTTATTTATGCCAACACATGCCAACTCCTGTGTCCCAGGCTCAGCTCCACTCACAAGCTTGTCAGGAGTTTCAGGTCGCAAAACGAAGGCATTTCAGCCACCTTGCAGCCCTTCAATACGGAAACACACCAGACTTTCCTAGTAGCTCCGTTCCGACCCGCTCTGCTCAGCTCTTCAAACAACACAATCTCGTTTTCTTTTCCACTGGGAGCTGTCCTCCTTCAGACATCGTCTGCTGTCTACTCGGCAAAGAGCTGACCAGGCCTCAACTCCATTTCTTTCTTTTTTTTTTTTTTTTGAGACGGAGTCTCGCTCTGTCGCCCAGGTTGGAGTGCAGTGGCGCGATCTCGGCTCACTGCAAGCTCCAATCTCCTGGGTTCATGCCATTCTCCTGCCTCAGCCTCCCAAGTAGCTGGGACTAGAGGTGCCCGCCACCATGCCCAGCTAATTTTTTGTATTTTTAGTAGAGATGAGGTTTCACCGTGTTAACCAGGATGGTCTCAATCTCCTGACCTCATGATCCACCTGCCTCGGCCTCCCAAAGTGCTGGGATCACAGGCGTGAGCCACCGCACCCAGCCTCAACTCCCATTTCTTGGTGGTTCCTTCAGCCACTTCACCTTAGTGATGAGGTTTCCGCTCCTCCTAACCCTAATCTCAACTCTGCTCTCCTTACAAGGTCCCCACTTTACATGCACTCCTTCTACCTCCACTCCTTCCTTATTCTCCAGCCCTATGTCCAGCCTCCTTCCTTATCCTGGAGACAACAGCCCTCTCAAAGGCTGCCCAAGACTTCCTGATTGCCAAGCCATGTCCCTTGGCCATCTCCTTCCCAGGACCCCCTCCTTCTTACTTCTTCTTTCTGGTACTGGGATTCTCCGGGAAGCTCAGTTCTGCCCATCTGCATTCTGAGTAGGACAGAATCACTGTGAGTTCCCTCAATTCATTTATTGGAGTCTCCACCTGGAAAGCTCCAGAAGCCACTGACTGTCGGCTCATCTCTCTCCAGTCTTCACCTTGGAAGATACTGTCTCTGATTTAATAAACAAGTCTTCAAATCTGACATTACCAAACACAATCTGCCACATAAGAAAGAAAGTGAGGGATTCATGCCACATAAAGTGAGGGATTCATGCCACATAAGAAAGTGTGGGATTCAGGCCACATAAGAAAGTAAGTGTGGGATTCATGCCACGTAAGAAAGAAAGTGTGGGATTCATGCCACGTAAGAAAGAAAGTGTGGGATTCAGGCCACGTAAGAAAGAAAGTGTGGAATTACCACTGGGTAGAACTGATAGAGTTCATTTGGCATAGGACAGGGGTCACTCTTCTAAATAAACAGAGTTTTAATTTAGCACGTTAAATAGTTGTAGGCAATAGTAAATTCAACTTGTTCTATTTATATTTGACTATTAGATATTCTGGGATCTTACTGATCAGAATGTGTCAAATTCATTTGACATTTTCAAAGTATAAACAACTGTTAAAGAGTTGCCTATTTTTATTCATAAATTATACTTAGTTTGTTACCATGGCAACAAAAATAGCAACAACAAACCCAAACTGTCCTGTCCAATTGATCTTCCTAAAAAACACTTTACTAATCATAGCCTCCAGACCAGGCCCTTGGACAAATAAGAACCTTGTCCTCGACCGGGCGCAGTAGCTCACGCCTGTAATCCCAGCACTTTGGGAGGCCGAGGTGGGCAGATGACCTGAGGTCAGGAGTTCTGACCAGCCTGACCAACATGGTGAAACCCCGTCTCTACTAAAAATGCAAAAAAAGTTAGCCAGGCATGGTGGCACGTACCTGTAGTCCCAGCTACTTGGGAGGCTGAGACAGAAGAATTGCTTGAACCCAGAACCCAGGAGGCGGAGGCTGCAGTGAGCTGAGACTGCGTCACTGCACTCCCACCTGGGCAACAAAGCAAGATTCCATCTCAAAAAATAGATTAATAGATAAATAAATAAAATACAAATACAAAAATTAGCCGGGCATGGTGGCGGGCATCTGTAATCCCAGCTACTCGGGAGGCTGAGCCAGGATAATCACTTGAACCCGGGAGGCGGAGGTTGCAGTGAGCCGAGATCGTGCCACTGTACCCCAGCCTGGGCGACAGACAGAGACCGATTTAAAAAAAAAAAAAAAGCCACCTTGTCCTCAAAGAGGGCATTTCAGTCTATCACTGGCAAAGTAAAAACACTCCCCACCAGACCCAGGCAGACCTCACACTCCAGCTGCTCCAAAGTCTCTTCCAGCCTGAATTGCAGGTTCTCCAGAGCCAGGCTACAGGGCCAGCCACACGTGGGAGGCAACCTCCACTGGCTCACTGCCAAGAGCCCTGCCAGGTGGGGCCCAGACACCCCCATGGAGCCCACCCTCCAGTCTCCCAGGAACACCTGCGCCTCAGGTCAGTCAGAGGCTCTAAGAGAGGAAAACGCTGCCTTTCCTTACACACAGCCCTGCATCCTGTGTATCCAAAAATCAAGGACTTGAAGAAGCCATTTGTTTTCCAGAAAACCACACACCCTGACAATCTTTGTACACACTGAGCCCCCACCAATCACACTGGGCTCGAGGCTCCCCAGCCACTGTGGAAACAGTACTTGGATCCACATCTTAGTCAAATTATTAAAATACAGCAGACAAGGACAGGATCATAGTCCTCATCTTTCTCTCTTCCCCCACATTAATACATTATTATTTCAATGAAATGAGCCAAATTTTAAACCTAAACTACTTATGTACTCTTGCAAATTTTCTGATAATTTTTAATATAAATTCAAAACATAAATTCATTTTGAAGTTGGAATTTGAATAAAATCATTGTGGTTCAAATAAGAGACCAACGACGGGTTGTTACATTATTTTCTAACTCTACAGTGATGTTAAATTTAGTAGACAAATCTGAAATAAGCATTAATAATATTTCAGCCTTAGGACAGGCGCAGTGGCTCACACCTATAATCCCAGCACTTTGGGAAGCGGAGGCGGGACGGATCACCTGAGTTCAGGAGTTTGAGACCAGCCTGGCCAACATGGTGAAACTCTGTTGCTACAAAAAACACAAAGCCAGGCCTGGTGGTGGGCTCCTTAATCCCAGCTACTGGGGAGTCTGAGGCAGGAGAATGGCTTGAATCCAAGAGGCCAAGGTTGCAGTGAGCCAAGATCACGCCACTGCACTCCAGCCTGGACAACAGAGTGAGACTCGTAATAATACTTTGGCCTTTACATAATTACTCTAAGTTACGTGTGCTTTCAAGCTTATACATTTAATTTGATTTTTAAACTTAAAAAGAACTTGTATCATCAACCTGAACACTGAGCTTAAATTCAGAAAAAAAGATTTTAGGGCCAGGTGTGGTGGCTCACACCTGTAATCCCAGCACTTTGGGAGGCGGAGGTGAGCAGATCACCTGAGGTCAGGAGTTCAAGACCAGCCTGACCAACATGGATTAACCCTGTCTCTACTAAAAATACAAAATTAACTGGGTGCGGTGGTGTAGTGCACACCTGTAATCCCAGGTACTCGGGAGGCTGAAGCAGGAGAATCGCTTGAGCCCAGGAAGCGGAGGTTGCAATGAGCCGAGATCATACCATTGCACTCCAGCCTAGGCAACAAGAGCGAAAAACTCTGTCTTAAAAAAAAAAAAAAAAGATTTTAAACAATTTATCTGCATTTCACTGGTACCAATTCTTTATGATTTATTCCATTAACCTGTGTTACTGCCCTACACCACAAATTTGGAAATGATACCTTACAAAAAAGGAAGTGCTGAAATATCCTCTAGGTTAATAATTTAATTCACACCGCACAAATGCTAAACTCCCCTCTGTGAAA